>NW_009646206.1:0-370917 GCF_000001405.40 Homo sapiens | reverse complement strand
GATCTTTGTGAACTTGCTTTGGTGTTGAACATTTGAAGAAGTAGGCATCCCTTCTAGTCTTTACAGACTAGCTTTGGTAGTGAAAGCCCTTCATCAGAGATATTGGGTGGGCTGTATAGAGAAGTTTGTGGGTGGGATTACTGCTGAAGTTATCAGACATGCTGGTCTGGTGCCAGGGTCAACAAATGGATAGGCCTGAGGACTGTCCATGGGAACCAGCCTGAAGTCTGGGTCCACAGAGGTTGACCTGGTGCTGGGGTGGTCTGGACATAGGCCCATAATATGCCTTGGTCTTGAGCTCATAGGGGTCACCCTGCTTCCAGGATCCGCTTGGGCAGGCGTGGACCCTGGGTCCACTGGAGCATAGGGTCACAAGAACCAGCCTGGAGCTTGGGTCTGGTCTGGGGCATATTTGGGTCTGGATTCCACAGGGGTCAGTCTGAAGCTTGAGGCTGTGGGTGCTGTCCTAGGGATATGGAGGCCAGCCTGGAGCCTGTGTTTTTAGGTGTGGTTCTAAAGCTTTGGTCTCTAGGAGCTGGCCTGGCACTTGGGGTCTCCTGGGCCAGGTCTGGATATTGGATGCGGTGGAGTGGGTTTGAACCCTGGGTTTGTCAGAGTGTAGGACCATGGGAGCCAGCTTAGAGACTGGAGCCACAGGGGCTGGGTAGGCTGACAGCCTGTATCCATGGGGGTTATCCTGGAGCTTGGATCTGTGGGTGCCAGCTTTGTGCCTGGAGCTGAGGGTGCCACCTTGGAGTTTGGGTCAAGGGGGCCAGCTGGTCATTGGGTTTCAGTGGAGTAGTCCTGCTGCCAGGGTCCACAGCAAAGTTGGTGTTCACTTTATTCATCCTCTAACACGGAGGGTATCTCACCACACTATAATTTCTGGGCTGGGCTTGGGAGAGTGATGGACTAGGTAATGCAAAACGCTCCTTCTTAGCCTCTTTAATGTATCTTTTCCTGTTTCTGTGCTACAGCAAGGTGCTCTAATCTCTTACTTGGATACTTTAGCTCTTGTGAAAGTTTGTTCATGAGTAAACAGATGTTTAAATTGATGTGAGGGCTAAGTGCTGGAAAGTCCCATTCTCCAATCTTGCTGACATCACTCCTCTTAAGATTTTCTATTTCTTCTTGAATCAGTGACAGTTTGTGTAAAGAATTGTTCCTCATCACACACTGGGGCCTGTCGGGGGTGGGGGACTAGAGGAGGGATAGCATTAGGAGAAATACCTAATGTAGATGACAGGTTGATAGGTGCAGCAAACCACCATGGCACGTGTATACCTATGTAACAAACCTGCACATTCTGCACATGTATCCCAGAACTTAAAAGTATAATAATAAATAAATATTGCAAAAAAAGAATTGTTCCTTTCCATTTAGTTTATTTTGTTGGCATACAATTGTTTATAATATTCTTCTATAATCATTTTCATTTCTGTAAGGTTAGTAATGTCTCCACTTTCACCTCTGACTTTAGTAATTTGAGTCTTTTCTATTTTTTTCTCAGTCAATCCAGCTAAGATTTTGCTACTTCTTTTGATCTTTTCAAAGAACCACTTTTAATTTTGTAATTTTTCTGTATTATTTTTCTATTCTCTATTTAACTCCACTCTTATTTTTATTATTTCCTTCCTTTCTTGTCTTCTATTTATTTATTGTTTTGCTATTTTTCATGTTCTAATTCCTAAAGTTGTACAGTTAGGTTGTTGATTTGACATCTTTCTTCTTTTATATAGGCATGTAGAGCTATAAATTTTTCTCTTAGTAATAAGCATATCATAAACTTTGGTAACATGTGTTTTTATTTGTATTTATCTAAAATATTTTCTAAATTTTTGTATTCATTCTTTAATCCTTTGGTTGTTTAAGATTGTGTTGATTTGGCACAAGACAAAGATGTCTTCTCTTACCACTCCTATTCAACATAGAAATTCAACTGAATTTCAGTTATCAGAACTGGCCAACATGAAGACAATGGGATTTAGTCCTACAAATTAAGAAAGAAACTGAATGAATTAAGTCATGAAATATCAGATGGCATACAGGATTTAATTTTGAAATTCTTCAATTTTACTGAGGAATTTCTTCAGCTATGGGAATAGTCTTTTGATGATGCTCCAATTTTTAACTGGATCAATTTGCAATTTGTGTCAGAATGGAGCGCAGTTGAGAAGCCTTATGTTACTGCAGCATCTAAATTTGGCTTAACATTCAAAGGAATCATAAATAGAACCAATATGTTTGCCTTGTAAAGATAATTATCAAAGAAATGTACCCTTCTTAGGGTACAAAAAAGAGATGGCAAAAAAAGAGATGTACCTTGAAGGCAAGATACATTAACTACAAGAATATGAACTGCAATCTAATTTTTCCATATTCAATATTCACAATACTTGTGAGGATATCTTCCATTTCATTGGATATATTCTGAGACTTCTGGTTACCTTAGTATATACAGAGTATATATCTCAGTTTAAAAAGTATGGTGTTCAGAGAAGAGTCATTTGAAGGTAGCTATAATTTTGAGTTTATTAAACATAAAGTCCAACATTGAAGATTGCATAAAATTTTATCAAAATTTAAAAATAATAGACCACATTGAAAGAAAATACTTAAAAAGAATGGTGATATTGGTTAGGAAATCGATTAAAGTATCAGAATATACTTAAATATAATTATTCTCCGCTTTATTCTAATGTTTAGTCAACATAAATAGCTTAAAAATTTTTTTCCTTACTACAAAATTGTTATTTTGCTTTAACGTATATATGTTATTGTTTCACCCTTTAGGATATAACAGAATATTATAATTAATACAGGAATTTTTCAAACATTACATAATTTCAATTACCTTAGTATTCATACCTTTTCGAATTTGTACTACTTTGGACAATATATTATATATTCAGCTATTATTGAGTTCTAATTTAATTCCATTTTTGTCAAAGAATATGCTTTGTATGACTCGAATCCTCTTACATTTATTGAGACTTGTTTTATGGCCCAGAATATGGCCTATACTGGTAAGTATCCCCTGTCCACATAGATGAATTTTACTGTCATTGAGGAGAGTGTTCTCAAATATAAATGAGATCAAGTAAGTTGATATGTAGCTCAAATCTGCTATACCCTGTTGCTTTTCTGTGTTTGTTCTATCAATTACCAAGAGAGATATATTGAAATATCTGACTATAATTGTGGATCTGTCTCCTTTTCGATCTAATAGATTTTTCTTCCCATACTTAGAAGCTTTGCTTTTAGGAGCAAAATTTATGTTTGTTTTTTTCTACTCGATGAGCTATCTCCTTTATCATTATTATGCCCTTCTTTATCTCTGGTAATAGTCTATGTCCGGAGTCTACTTTGTTTTTAATAAAGCCACTCCAGCTTTCTTTTGACTAGTGTTAGGATGGTGTATATTTTTCCATCCTTTTACTCTTAACCTTTTAGTGCTTTTCATTTAACATATTACCTGTAGGTAGCACCCATTTGGGTCTGACTTTTTGTTTATTTATTTATTTAATTATCTTTTTTTATTATACTTTAAGTTCTAGGGTACATGTGCACAAAGTGCAGGTTTGTTACATATGTATACATGTGCCATGTTGGTGTGCTGCACCCATTAACTCGTCATTTACATTAGGTATATCTTCTAATGCTATCCCTTCCCCCTCCCCCGACCCCACTATAGGCCCCGGTGTGTGATGTTCTCCACCCTGTGTCCAAGTGTTCTCATTGTTCAATTCTCACCTATGACTGAGAACATTTGGTGTTTGGTTTTCTGTCCTTGCGATAGTTTGCTCAGAATGATGGTTTCCAGCTTCATCCATGTCCCTACAAACGACATGAACTCATCCTTTTTATGGCTGCATAGTATTCCATGGTGTATATGTGCCACATTTTCTTAATCCAGTCTATCATTGATGCACATTTGGGTCTGACTTTTTAAAAAATCCAATCTGACAATCTTTTTAAATTAAGGTGTTTAGACCATTTACATTTAATGTGATTATTGATATGGTTGAGTTAATCATCTTATTTGTTTTCTGTCACAATTCTGGAATGAAAAGACGTTTTGCTCTTTATTATTACATGTTTCCTCCTTATGTAGCATAGGAAACTAGAAAAATGATTTTGAAAGTTAAATATTGTTAGACTACAACAGTGAAATCAGGCTCTTCCTAGGAAAAGCAAGCCCTTTTTTGCATTTGTTTATACTATTTTAACAAAGTGTTAATTATTCATCCTTCAAGATAAGGCAAGTAATTATCTGTGTATTTTTATCCGTTTCCATGTCGTCCTGAATCACGTTTTTCTCTCCAGATAACAGGAACATTGTCTCGAAGAATCCAGGACATTTGATTCTGAAATCTCCAATGTGAACCACACTTCCTCTCCTAGTATATAACCAACCAATTCTTTAGTTCAAGCTTTTCAAATTTATCCTAAGTCCCCTTCAAATAGCACAGAGAAGTGGAAGCCTATCGCTGGGGTCTGAGACAAAGGAGTTAAAGCACCTACATGTTGACATAATTTTACTTTAAATTCTTCTTTCTTCTTTAAAAGTTCTGCTCATTTGCATTCTCCATGGAGAGAAAAAGTAAATTATACTGACGCTCCGAGAGGGAAACGCTCTTCTCACATGGGGATCCTTGCTCATGGCAACAACCTGTGCACCCCGCGGGCTGGAACTCCCACGAATCCACTAGGCTCGGCTCCCTTAGGGGTCAGCCCCCATAGTATGCTGGGATCAACCTGAACGGATCACAGCTCAAGGCTTCTGAGGCTTTTTCTGTTCGGGACTGTATTTCCCAGCGGCCACCGCGCCAGTCCACTTCCGGTCTCCGGGGTCGACGACATAGCGGGGTAAGGTCTTCACGTCTGAGGAAGAGATCTGTGGCTGCGGGAGATCTCTGCGGATTGGGGCTCCAGCCTGACTGACCCGACAGTGCGGGTGGCCTAGGGGGAGGCGCTCAGAGTAGGAACCCGGGGGTGCAGACGGGATCTGCCGGATCCCCAGGCGTGTGTGTGCGCGGGTATCAGAGGAGGGGGATTGTGAGATCATGAGTGACGGAGGGGACTGTGAGTGTGTGCGTGAGGTTCTATGCACAGGCCCGGGAGGGCGTGTGGACGCAGCGCACTTTGCTGAGTGACACTGTGCCGGTGCCCCTAGGCTCCTGCTGCTTCCTCCCTCTTTCCGCTTCACAGCTGCGGGGACTGCAGCAGAGGAATGGCCCCAGTAGGGAGGTCAGATATTGAGCCGAGAATGAAGCTTTACACAAGAAAGCGCAGAAGTGCCCCCGAGTGTTCCCCAGGGGGGCAGCTACATGTTGAGAACCACAGCGTCCTCAGAGCTCTGTCCCCAGAAACCAGCTCCAAACTGGTTGTACTGGTTGAATCGATTCCTCTTCCTTTTACTTCCTTCCTATTTCGTGTGAAGTGAGGGAAATTGTGGCTATGGAGGGAGGGTGTTTTCAAACTTAGTCTGCGCTCCAAGAAATGCCTGGAGTCTCACGCTTGCCGTATCCTTCTCCAGTCGTATTTTTATCCAAAAGAAGGACCTGGAGGAGGATGAGAGCGTTACTGCTGCACACCTAAAGTCAAGGGTGAGTTTGTGCTTTGTATTTGTTCAAGACATGCGTTTTTGATTTTAGAATATTGAGATTTCCCCTTAAATTTTCAGTGAAACTAGGGGGATATGCAAATTGATTCGTGCCCCCTCCTTCACCTTTCCACTTAATAGTCACAAAACAATTTGGCAAATCGTTCACACCTTCCTGTGCGCTCTCTTTTTCGAAGCTGGTATAGAAATACACCTCCAGTAGTTAATATTAAAGCTCCATTTTAGACCCATATTTGGGAAGGAGGAGATTAGTGTTTAGGTGGAATCACACACTAGACATCAGTTGGTCTTTACAGACCTCCTTTTCAAAACAGGGAAGAATGGAGATGGTTGGATGATCTCCATTGCCTGTGAGGCATTCGGTAGTGGAAAAGTGACCGCACAGAAATTGGTATCAACAAGAGCCAGGATTTTTCCAGGGAGTCCATGAGATGATATTTGTAATACTTGCCAGATCTCTCTGAGGTTTGGCAGCTCCAGTTGTGTTTTAGGCGTGTGTGTGTGAGTGTGTGTGTGTGTGTGTGTGTGTGTACTGTGAGAGGCAGTACACTGTTGTGGTTAAGAATAGGGGAGTGGATCCAGAGTATCTGGGTTGGAATATTGGTTCTGTCATTAGAATGAATTAATATCGTAAAGCCCCTTAGAGCAGTGCTAGGCATATAATAATGTTTAATATGTTTTAACTGTTGTTTTTTGTGTAGTCATTTTAAGTCATTCCCCTTGACTCTCTACAGAACAGGAGCATTGGGAATATGTGATTCATTGCGACTGCTGGTTGTATATTAAGAAAATGAGTGAGGGGCTCAAATGATCTAGGACAGAAATTCTTTCTTTTTAAATCGACAGATATAATTGTATGTATTTATCATGTGCAACATGAAGTTTTATGGTATGTATACATTGTGGAATGACTAAATCTAGCTAATTAACAATGCATTACCTCACATAGTTATCATTTTTGTGGTGAGAACACTTAATATCCACCCTCCTAGCATTTTTCAAGACTACAGAATATTGTTATTAATTGGAGATACCCTGTTGTGTAATAGATCTCCTGAACTTATTTCTCTTATCTTCCTGAAATTTTGTATCCTTTGACCAACATTTCCCCAGTCAACACTGCCCTCCTTCCTCCCTCACCCACATTACCCCAGATCTGTAAATACGATTCTACTCTCCACTTCTATGATATCAACTTTTTTAGATTTGGCTGAAGAGTGAGATCATATGTCTTTCTGTGCTTGGCTTACTTCACTTAATATGATGTTCTCCAGGTTCATCCATGTTTTTGCAAATGACAGAATTTCCTGCTTTTTATGGCTAAATAGTATTCCCTTGTGTAAATATACCTGCATATATACCACATTTTCTTTATCCATTTATTCATTGTTAGACGCGTAGGTTGATGCCATATCTTGGCTATTGTGAATAATGCTGCAATAAACATGGGTATGCTGATATCTCTTTGACATACAGATTTCATTTCCTTTGGAGATATATTCCCAGTAGTGGGATGGCTGGATCATATGGTAGTTCTATTTCTAATTTTTTGAGGAACCTCCATACTGTTTTCCATAATGGCTGTGCCCATTTACATTCTCACCCACAGTGTGTAAGCGTTCCCCTTTTCTTGCCAATACTTGTTAACATTTGTCTTTCCAGTAGCCACCCTAACAGGTATGAGCTAATATCTTATTGCGGGTTTAATTTTCATTTCCCTGATGATTAGTGATGTTGAGTATTTTTTCATAAACTGTTGGCCATTTATATGTCTTCTTTTGGGATGTGCCTGTTCAGGTCCTTTGCCCATCTTTTAATCAGGTTTTTTTTTGCTGTTGAGTTGTTTGACTTCTGCATACATTTTGGATCTTAATCTCTTATCATATATATGGTTGCAAATATTTTCTCTCATTCTACAAGATGTCTCTTCACTTTGTTGATTGTTTCCTTTTCTGTGCAGAAGCTTTTTAGCTTGACATAATTTCATTCGTTCATTTTTGCTTTTGTTACCTGTGCTTTTGAGGTCATATCCCAAAAAAAATCATTGCTCAGATCAGTTTCACAGAGCTTTCCCCCTATGTTTTCTTCTATTTGTTTCATAGTTTAGGATCTTACATTTAAGTCTTTAATCTGTTTAGAGTTGATGTTTGTATAATGGTTTGAGATAAGGGTCTAATTTCATTTTTCTGCATATGGATACCTACTTTTCACAACAGTATTTTTTGAAGAGTCTCTCTTTTCCCCATTGTATGTTCTTGGTACCCTCCTCAAAACTCGGTTGGTTATAAATATATGGATTTATTCTGGGCCTCTCTATTCTGTTTCTTTGGTCTATGTGTCTGTTTTTATGTCAGTACCTTGTTGTTTTGGTTACTATAGCTTTGTAGTATATCTTGAAGTCAGATAGTTTTGATGAGTCCAACTTTGTTCCTTTTGCTCAAGATTGCTTTGGCTATTTGGGTCTTTTGTGGTTCTATACAAATTTTAGCATTTTTGTTTTTTTCCTGTTTCTGTAAGGAATGTAGGACAGAAATTCTTAACCTGAGTTCCTGTGACTCCATTTATGGTCTCAGGGACCAAAAGCTCTTGAAATAAAATATTGAAGTATTATAGAAATTTATAAATGTGGGTTTTAGGGGGAGAAATAGTGTATCATTTCATAAGATTATCAAAAAAATTTATGTGACCCATGAGGTTTGGATCCATTGATCTAGATAGAACATTGGTTCTCAGCTGGGGTGATGTTTAGAAACTTTCGGTTGTCATGCTGTCGGGGAGGGTGCTACTTAGATCTAATGGATAGAGGTCAGGAATGCTGCTAAACATTGTGTTATGCACAGGATAGCTCTCCCCACTCTCCCATCTAAGAATTATCCAGCACAATATGTCAGTAGTGCCTAGGGTGAAAAACTGTAGTCCAGAATCAAAAGATTGTGATATCTGGAATGACATTGTAAATGATCTTGTATAAAATAAGTGTCCTATAATACAGAAATCATTAAGCTAATCATACTAGACTCAAGTGATAGAGTATTACACAGGTAATAAAATGATGTCTATAAGGAATTATGAAAAGAAAAATATTTGATATATCATTAAGCAATATTCATGCTATGAACAATAATACTCAAGAAAATGTTACATGGGGCGGGGCGCGGTGGCTCACACCTGAAATCCCAGCACTTTAGGAGGCTGAGGCAGGCAGATCATTTGAGGTCAGGAGTTTGAGACCAGCCTTGCCAACGTGGTGAAACCTTGTCTCTACTAAAAATATAAAAACTAGCCGGGAGTGGTGGCAGGCGCCTATAATCCCAGCTACTCAGGAGGCTGAGGCAGGAGAATTGTTTGAACCTGGGAGGCTGAGGTTGCAGTGAGCCGAGATCAGGCCACAGCACTCCAGCCTGGGTGACAGAGTGAGACTCCACCCCTGCCCCCCAAAAAGAAATTGTTATGTTTTATATGAATCCCATATACTAAGATAGGGTTTTTGTATAAGAATTCTATAAGAATTCTATCTGAAGGCATTCTATAAGAATTATATCTAAAATAATATTTTAATTGGTTATTTGGTGAAGAAGGGAACCAAGCATGGTGGTGTATATTTCACAAATTTTCTCACATAGTTTGCAAATGCCACTTATCTGCATTGTGTTCATTCAAAGAAGAATCTTGATAATGAGAATATCTAATTATATTGGTGAGATACAGCTAAAGGATATTAGAACTAGCTGATGTTATTTGTTGTAGTCACTTTAACCTCTTTTGTTGAATCTCGTGACAGGCTCAGGTTTTTTTCCTGATAACTCTGTTTTTATTTTTTACTTCAAAAGTAGAAATAGACTATCATTAATGCATACAAGACATTGGTTGGGGACTTGTAGACAATTTTTTCTAGAGATTGCTCCAACATACATAGAAAAACATAGACATCTTAGTGTTGGTCAAGAATTGGAAAATAAAGGAAACAAACTTGTTAAGTAAAAACAACAGTTCATTAGAGTATGCTGATTTCCCACCCCAAGTTCAAAGGGAGATATCTAAATAAAAAGTGTCTTTCATCTAATTTGGAGAAGTTTCCTCATAGGAAAGAAATGTGTATGTACATTTATATATGTCCATATATAGAGATGCATACACACACACACACACATATATATATATAAATATATATATACACACACACATATATATATACACACACGTGTGTGTGTGTGTGAATATAACTATATATATTCCAAGTTAATGCTTGGATGTAGTTACAATTTTTTTTTATATGAAGGCTCGCTCTGTTGCCAGGCTGGAGTGCAGTGGCACGATCTCAGCTTACTGCAACCTCCGCCTCCTGGGTTCAAGCGATTCTCATGCCTCAGCCTCCTGAGTAGCTGGGATTATAGGCATGCACCACCACACCCAGCTAATTTTTGTATTTTTAGTAGAGACGAGGTATCACCATGTTGGCCAGGTTGGTCTCGATCTCCTGACCTCGTGATCTGCCTGCCTCAGCCTCCCAAAGTGCTGGGATTACAAGTGTGAGCCACCGTGCCCGGCCATGAAATGCTCTTAAGCAAAAAGAAGAAAATTGGAGCTACAATACACAGAGGAGAACTCTTAACATGTATATAATTTTCTAAATTTTTTTCTATTAATGTCTGTTAGTCTTTTTATTAGTATTTCTATATACATATATTTTACAAATGTAATCATATTATCTATCCTGTTTTGTAACCTGATTTTTCTGTTAATCATATATCTTGAACGTTTAATATTTACTTTGTATTCTATTAAGTGGATGTTCTGAACTGTATTAACCAACTGGCTTTTGCTGAATTTAGAATGCTGAACACTGTCAGTGCAATTTGGTGCAAACACTGCCAGTGCAAATATGCTTTCCAGTTCTCATGCCTTCCCCCACTGCACCCAATCCTGATTTCACAAAGAGGTTCTGGTTTGGATGATGCAATCCCTTCTCAGCTCTGAAAGGTGGGACTGGGGGAGGAGGATCTGCTAAGGGCAGGATCAGAGGTCCAGACCTAGGCCAAGATAGGTATCCCAAGAATGGAGGACTGGCTGGAAGCCACAACTTCAAGGCAGAAATGCCTGTGCTCGGCATTCATGCTTCTGCCGCAGGTTCCCTGGGATGCAGGCGAGAGCTTGGTTTCATCCCTACTCCACCCGTTCACTGCCAGCTATTTGTGAGAGAGTGTGTGTGGGGGCAAGGGGAGTGATGGGAGAAGGGTGGAAGTGTGCGTGTTAGCAGGAGTAGTTGAGAAATAGGAACGGAGGATAAAATAGTTATTTGCTTTTGAGACACAGCTTTAATTGTGGCCTTTTTGTTGTTGTTGTTTTCCAGGGGAGAAGCCCGAGGAAGATTGACCAGTTTTGTAATTCTAGCAACATGGTCCATGTAAGTTTGTATTTCTCTCTTTTCCTTGAAATATGGTGACTTTCAGGTTAGGTGACTGTTATTATTTAACCTGAAGCTTCGTACCTAGAATTCACGATCTTACACCCCAGTTTGTCCCATTACAGTGAAGGTTGGTGACAAAAAAAAAAAAAGTCACTGCTCTTCCTATTTGTACCTCTGTTTCCTACTGGCTTTGATGTTTTCTTTGAAAAAGTTATTCAGTCTGTGCTCTGTGCTCAGACCTTGGTCAGGAAGAATATTGGAACAGTGGAGGAATCAGTCCCCACAGGGAAACAGGGTCTTATGGGTTTGATAAGTTACAGATGATTGACCACACTTGGGAACACTTTGAAACTTTACAGACTAGAGCTTTCCAGGTAGCTAAGGTAGAATTCCATAGTGAGTAGCCTCAGTCTGCAAGTGTGACAAGGTGATCTGCTTTATGAGGCTTTTAGGAAAATGATAGGTGAGGACAGTGGGCAGTAGCAGGGAGAAGATAATTCAGGGCATGAATGATAGGTGATTACAGATTCTCTGGCTGGACATGGTGGCTCACGCGTGCAATCCCAGCACTTTGGGAGGCCGAGGTGGGTGGTGGATCACTTGAGGTCAGGAGTTTGAGACCAGCCTGGCCAACATGGTGAAACCCCATCTCTTCTAAAAAAAGAAAAAAAAAAATTAGCCTGTTGTGGTGGTGCGCACCTGTAATCCCAGCTGCACAGGAGGCTGAGGCAGGAGAATCGCTTGAACCTGGGAGGTGGAGGTTGCAGTGAGCTGCGATCGTGCCACTGCACTCCAGCCTGGGTAACAGAGTGAAATTCTGTCTCAGAAAAAAAATAAAAAATAAAAAATTCTCAGAATTGGGGAAATCCTTAGAGGCCCTGGCCATCCTCAACGTATAAATAGAAAAAAAATGAATAAATCTAATATGTGAGTTCTATTGACTTTAATGCAGCTTATAAAAATCAGTTGTCATGACAAGAAAAAATACTTTTGCTGTCATCTCATACCATAATGAACTTGAGGATTAAGAACATTCTTTAATTGTATGCCACCTTTTTTTTTTTTTTTTTTTTTCTCTGAGACAGAGTCTTGCTCTGTGGCCCAGGCTGGAGTGCAGTGGCGTGATCACAGTTCACTATAGCCTTGAACTCCTGGGCTCAAGCAATACTCCTACCTCAGCCTCCCGAGTAGCTGGGACTACAGGTACGTGATACCACACACAGTTACTTATTTAATTTTTGCAGAGATGGGATATCATTATGTTGCCCAGGCTGGTCTCAAATTTCTAGGCTCAAGCAATCCTCCTATCTCTGCCTCCCAAAGTGCTGGGACTATAGGCATAAGCCACCATACTCAGCCAGCAGGAGACTTCTTGAAGAATGTGCAGGCACTCTGTGAATTTCCATATTGCTTTTTTCTTACACTACACTCCTTCACTTCCTCTCCTTTCATCTTAAAACAACTTTCTTCAGTTTCACCATTATACATGTGTTTGTGGTTTCAGGGATCAGTGACATTCAGGGATGTGGCCATTGACTTCTCTCAGGAGGAGTGGGAGTGCCTGCAGCCTGATCAGAGGACCTTGTACAGGGATGTGATGTTGGAGAACTACAGCCACCTGATCTCACTGGGTAAGGTCGTTGAGTCCCAGCTATTTTTATATCTATTTTCTGGAATATCAGCTTTCTTCACCGTGAATTTCAGGGCTATCTTTTAAGAGGTGGCTGAATTCCTTCTTCTTGTTCCCAAAGGAATGGATTGGGATTTGTTGGGTTGAAAACAGGCACCTCCCTGGAGCCCCTGCATCTTGCCTACTCCACAATGGCCTCCTTCGTTACGCTGGTCCTCTCTGTAATTGCCTCTCTCTTCATGACCATGGGGCTGAATTTGAAATCTTGTACATTCATTGAAAGATATTGTCTAAGAACCAGATTTCATATTATGTTTGATCTCAGAATTACTGTAGATTTTCTGTTTGTTGGTTTGTTTTTGTTTTTCTAACCCATCTGTAAGGAGAAGAGTGTCTTGAATTTTTCTATCAGAGAAACCTCTATGATCACTGGGAGGTTGAGGCTGCAGTGAGCTGTACCCATCACTGCACTCCAGCCTGGGCAATAGACCGAGACCCTGTCTCAAAACCAAAAACAAACAAACAAAAATGTCTGTTATTTACGTATACTGATTGGGTTGACAGAAATTCATTTAACACTAAAGGGAATGCATTTCATTTCCTTCAATAAACATTCCATTGTTTTGCAGTTGAAAGTTTCAGACCATGGAGTTTATGTATTTTCATTTAGTGAATATACTGAGTGAGCTATAAATGTCTAAGGATGCAAAATAAATGACAATAATAAACAATAATTCTTGACTTTGTGCTACTGTACATCAGGCAATGTTAGAAGTATTTTGCATATATATAACTTATTTTGTCTTAGTATCAATCCTATAAAATAGGTATTGTATCATCCCCATTTTAGAGTTGGGAAAACTGAAGGACAGAGTTTAAGTGACTTACCTGAGGTCATACTGCTAGTGAGTAGCAGAGATAGGATTTGAACCTGGCAGTCTGGATTGAAGTTTCCTGCTCTCAACCATTCAGTTATACCTCTTTTCAAGGGATAAGATTCTGAGTTTAAATGAAAGGAAGTCCTTTTCTAACATAGTTAGAAAAGAGTTCTCTTACTCAACCTCTCACTCTTATCTGAAGTCTCTTTTCAATATTGTTTTGACTTGTAATTTATTGTAAGTTTAAGCAGGTCACAAAGATTTGAAAAAAAAAAATCTGTATTAAAAAAATTCTACATGTGTCGTTTCTTTTAAGCAGGAAGTTCCATTTCTAAACCAGATGTAATTACGTTACTAGAGCAAGAGAAAGAGCCCTGGATGGTTGTAAGGAAAGAAACAAGCAGACGGTATCCAGGTAAGTGAGGGTAAAGCAGGCGGGGGGAAGCCATCATTGTCCTGGACATGTGCTCAGAAAGGAGTCATACACTTGAGATGTGGTTTGAAAAGCTTTCTTCAGTGACCCAAGTCCTGTTGGATAAAAATGCCCAAGACCTGGGAAGGAAATAAAGATTACAGCAGAAGCCATCACCAAGGAACTTCATCATTTACTAATCACCTAATTTCTGTTCTCTTATTTCCTTCCCCTTTTAGTGGAGTAAGTTCCCTCTTTTTTTCCCAGGGTAAACTTTTTTTTTTTTTTTAAGGTGGAATCTTGCTCTGTCCTGCAGTGTGGAGTGCAGTAATCTGATCTTGGCTCACTGCAACCTCTGTCTGTTGGGTTCAAGCAATTCTCATGCCTCAGCTTCTCAAGTAGCTGGGATGACGGGTGCCCACCTCCACACCTGGCTAATTTTTGTATTTTTAGTAGAGATGGGGTTTCACCATGTTGGCCAGGTTGTTCCTGAACTCCTGACCTCAGATGATCTGCCCGCCTCGGCCTCCCAAAGCCCTGGGATTACAGGTGTGAGCCATCGTGCCCAGCCCATTTGCCAACTTTTTAATTGGATTTTTTTTTTTTTTCCTGTTATTTGAGTCTCTTGTCAGAGAAATAGTTTGCAAATAATTTCTCTCATTTAATTTTGTCTATTCCCTCCGATGATAGTTTCCTTTGCTCTGCAGAAGCGTTTAGTTTAATATAGTCCCATTTGTCTATTTTTGTTTTTGCCGCCTATGCTTTTGCAGTGTTAACCAGAAAATTTTTGCCTAGGTCAATGTCCTGAAGCACTTCCTTTATGTTTTCTTTTAGTTGTTTTATAGTTTTGAGTCTTACATTTAAGTCTTTAATCCATTTCCAGTTGATTTTTGTATACGGTGAGAAATAGGGGTCTGGTTTCATTCTATCACATACGGATATCCAGTTTTCCAGCACCATTTATTTATTTATTTTTAATTTATTTTCCAACTTTTATTTTAGGTCCAAGGGGTACATAAGTGGGTTTTTTATATGGGTAAATTGCATGTTGTGGTGGGTTTGGTGTGCAGATTATTTCACCACCCCGGTAATAAGCATAGTACCCAATAGGTAGTTTTTGGATCTTCGTCCTCCCACCCTCTACTCTCAAGTAGGCCCTGATGTCTGTTTTTCTGTTCTTTGTGTCCATGTGTACTCGGTGTTTAGCTCCCATTTATAAGTGAGAATATGTAGTATTTGGTTTTCTGTTCCTTAATTAATTTGCTTAGGATAATGGCATCCAATGCCATCCATATTGCTGCACATAATCTTGTTCTTTTTTATGGTTGCATAGTATTCCTTGGTGTATATGTACCACATTTTCTTTATCCAGGTAACCATTGATGGACATTTAGGTTGATTCCATGTCTTTGCTATTATGAATAGTGCTACAATAAACATAGGCATTCATGTGACTTTAGGCTAGAACTATTTTCTTTTTTTGTTTCTTCCTTGTCTGGTTTTGGTTTCATGGTATGCCAGCTCCATAGAAAGAGTTAAGGAGAATTCCCTTCTCTGAAATTTTTTGGAATAGTTTGAGGAGAATTAGTTCTTTGAGAGTTTGGTAGATAGAATTCAGCAGTGAAGCCATCAGTCCTGGAGTTTTCTTTTTTGGGTGACATTTTATTACTAATTCAATCTCATTACTCATTGGCCTGTTCAGCTTTTCTATTTTGATGATCTTTTCTGTTTCTGTGGTGTCAGTGGTAATATCTCCTTTTTTTATTTCTGATTTTGCTTATTTCTTCTCTTTTCTTCTTGGTTAGTCTAGCTAGTGGTTTATTAATTTTATTTATGTTTTTTAAAAAACAACCTTTCATTTCATTGATCTTTTGTATTATTTAGCCTGTATTTTATTTAGTTCTGCCCTAATTTCATTAGATCGTTTATTTGAAATCTTTCTGCTTTTTCAATGTAGGTGTTTATTGCCATCAACTTTGCTCTTAGCAGTACTTTTGCTGTATCCCATAGGTTTTGGTATGTTGTATTCTGATTTTCATTTGTTTCAAGAAATTTTTTAATTTCCTCCTTATGTTCTTTCTTGACCCAGTGGTTATATAGGAGCAGGTTGTTTAATTTTCATGTGTTGTACAGTTTCCAAAGTTCCTCTTGTTACTGATTTCTCATTCTATTCCATGTCTGAGAAAAGACTTGATATAATTTTGGTTTTGAAGAATTTGTTAAGAATTGCATCCTAACATATGGTCTATCCTAGAGAATGTTCTGTGTGCTAATGAGAAAATGTGTATTTTGTAGCTATTTGATGAAATGTTCAGTAAATGTCTGTTAGGCCTGTTTTGTCTAATGTGAAGTTTAAATCCAATGTTTCTTGTTAATTTTCTATCTAGATGATCTGTGTAATTCAGAGTGGGGTGTTGAAATCCCCAATGATTATTGCACTGGAATACATCTCTCTCCCTTTTGATCTAATAATATTCACCTTATATATCTGGGTGTTCTGGTGTTGGGATTATAGTATGTTTAGAATTGTTATATCCGCTTGCTGAATTGATCCCTTTATCATTATACAGTGATCTTCTTTGTCTCTTTTTTGCTGCTTTTGACTTAAAATCTTTTTTGTCTGATATAAATATAGCTATTCCTGCTCACTTTTGGTTTCCATTTGCATGGAATATCTTTTACCATTCCTTTACTTTCAATCCATATATGTCTTTACCAGTGAGATGAGTCTGTTGGCAGCATATAATTGGGTCACTTTTTAAAAAATCCATTCCATCTATATCTTTTAGATGAAAAGTTTAATCCATTTACGTTCAATGTGATTACTGATATGTGAGGGCTTATTCTTGTCATTTTATTAATTGATTTCTAGTTGATTTGTGTATCCTTTGTTCCTTTCTTTCTCTTTTATTTTTCATCATTGTGGTTTGGTTGTTTTCTATAGGGGTAACATTTGGGTTCTTTCTGCTTATTTGTGTTTGCTGTGTCAGTGGGTTTTATAATTTTGTGTGTTTTCACAATGGCAGATATTCTTTCACTTCTAGGTGTAGGACTCTTAAGCATATCTTGTAGAGCTGGTCTGCCCTCAGCTTTTGCCTGGGAAAGATTATTTCTTCTTCATTTATGTTTTATAATTTGCTGAGGATAGTATCCTTGACTGGCAAGTTTTTTCTTTCAACATTTTGAATATACCATTTCATTCTCTCTCATTTCTTTCTGTTGAGAAATCTGCTGTTCGGCTAATGAGAGTTCCCTTGTAAGTGACTAGATGCTTTTCTCTTCCTGTTTTTAGTATTCTCTCTTTGTCTTTGACTTTTATATTTTGACCATAATGTGCCATGGAGAAGACCTTTTTGTGTTGTTATGTATTTGGGTATCTCTGAGCTTCCTGTATCTGGATGTCTACATCTCTTGCTAGAATTGGAAAGTTGCCAGCTGTTATTTCATTAAATAGATTTTCTTTCCTTTATTTTTTCTCTTCATCTCTGGGACCTCAAAATTTCAAATATTTGGTTGTTTTATGATGTCCCATATAGGGTCTTTGTTTCTTCTTCTTTTTTTGTTTTTCTATTTTTGTCTGACTGGGTTATTTCAAAAGAATTGGCTTTATGTTCTGAGATTCTTCTACTTGATCTAGTCTGTTGTTGAAGATTTTGAATGTATTTTATATTTTATTCAATGAATTATTCAGTTTCAGAATTTCTGTTTGGTTCTTTTTTATAATGAAATTGGTAAGTTTCTTCTTCTTATCCTGAGTTTTTTTTTTCTGATTTGTTTGTATTGTTCTTCCGAATTCTCTTGTATCTCACTTAGCTTCTTTAATATAATTATTTTGAATTCTTTTGCTAGGATATAGCATTTTTCTCCCATTGGAATGTTTCTGGAGAATTATTATGTTCCTGTGGAGATGTCAAGTTTCCTTCTCTTTTTTTTTTTTTTGTTATTTCCTGTGTTTATTCTCATTTTTTTGAATTTGCTTTTGTAGGGGAGGCTTTTTTCCTAAAGATGTACCTATGGTTAATAGGGTTGGATAGGGCATTTTCGCTTTGATTCTGGGCGTGTGCAGTAGTGTTGTTATGTAGTGTTATGATTTTTTTTTTGGCTGTAAACAGTGCCTTTGGTGTCTGTGATTTCTTCCTTGGCTTTGGTTGTGATGGTTAGTGGAGGGTATGGTGAAGTTTTATTGGGGATGAGGAGTGATATAGTTTAGATATTTTCCCCTCTAAATCTCATGTTGAAATGTAATCCCCAGTGTTGGAGATGGGGCCTGGTGGGAGGTAATTGGATCATAGGGGTGGATTTCTCATGAATGGCTTAGCACCATCCCCTTGGTGCTGTCCTCACAATAGTAAGTGAGTTCTTGCAAGACCTGGTTGTTTAAAAGTATATGGCACTTCTTCTTGTTCTCTCTCTTGTTCCTTCTCTTGCTGTGTGACATTCTTTGTCCTGTGTTGCCTTCTTTTATGAGTAAAAGGCCCCTAAAGCCTCCCCAGAAGCTGAGAAGATGCTAGCGCCATGTACAACCTGCAGAACCATGAGCCAGTTAATACTCATTTTTTCGTAAATTACCCAGTCTCAGGTATTCCTTTAATGCAAGAATGGCCTAGCACGAGGACACAAGGTAGGCAAGTCCTTGGGCTCTGGTGGTGGCAGTGGCAGTCCAGATGTGCCTGTTTTGGGGCCCCAGCATAGTGTATGCTGGTACTAGTATTAGTGTGTCTAGGCACGTTGATTCTTTGGCCTCCTCGTAGTTTGGATAGTGCTGGCAGTGGTAGTGGTATGCTGGGTAGGTGGATGGGTTCTTGGATTCTTGGGCAGCAAGTGTGGCATGGGTGATGGTAGTAGTAGTGAACAGGACAACCTTCTGGCTCCCAAGCAGTAAGTGCTTAGTGTTGGAGGTGACTATGATGGGCTGGGTGGGCCAGTCCCCAGAACTTCCGGTTGTGAGTACAGGTGGGTACCAGTTGTGGAGGAAACAGCAGGTTGTATGTGTCTGACCTTAGGCCTCTGTGATGAGTGCTTAGGTAGCAAAGGTGGTAGATGGATCAGGGTGATCCCCAGGTCCCCAGATGGTGTGCTTGGGGACTTGGGCACAGAGCTGGGTCTGCTGGACCTGACCTTAGGCCCCCCAGTTGTACGTGCTGGTTCTTGTGGTAAGCAGGGGTGGGGTGATCCCCAGGCCCCTGGCAGAATGCTGCTGTTGATTTTCTTTTCCAATGTGAGTTGAAATTTTCTTGTATATGCCAGTATATTTGGATTGTATCCTGGACATTCTAATTACTGACTATGAAACTATGGGTCTCATGGTCTTAAGTCCTATAGAACATATCAATATGTTTCAACAGATAGTTGACCTAGTTAGGTTCAATCTTCTGTGGTTCATTTTCCTATTTTTACATGTACATAACCAGGCTGGCTCAGATGTGCATTTGCTTCCACTGGAAACAGAAGTGATATGAGAAAGGTTCTATCTACCAACTTTGTTGGTTTTGGCTAATAAAATCAATAAAGGTTTTATTGGTTTGAATTGATGGTTTCAGTTGACAAAAGGACTTTGTATGCATGTGTGTTATACGAAAATAAAATAGGTTTGCTTTCTTCATTTCTTTCAGATTTGGAGTTAAAATATGGACCTGAGAAAGTATCTCCAGAAAATGATACCTCTGAAGTAAATTTACCCAAACAGGTTATAAAGCAAATAAGTACAACTCTTGGCATTGAGGCCTTTTATTTTAGAAATGACTCAGAATATAGACAATTTGAGGGACTACAGGGATATCAAGAAGGAAATATCAATCAAAAGATGATCAGCTATGAAAAACTGCCTACTCATACTCCTCATGCTTCTCTTATTTGCAATACACATAAACCGTATGAATGTAAGGAATGTGGGAAATACTTTAGTCGTAGTGCAAATCTTATTCAGCATCAGAGTATTCATACTGGAGAGAAACCCTTTGAATGTAAGGAGTGTGGGAAAGCCTTTCGACTTCACATACAATTTACTCGACATCAGAAATTTCATACTGGTGAGAAACCTTTTGAATGTAACGAATGTGGAAAGGCCTTTAGTCTTCTTACCCTGCTTAATCGCCATAAGAACATTCACACAGGTGAGAAACTGTTTGAATGTAAGGAATGTGGGAAGTCCTTTAATCGTAGCTCAAACCTTGTTCAACATCAGAGTATTCATTCTGGTGTAAAACCATATGAATGTAAGGAGTGTGGGAAAGGCTTTAATCGTGGTGCACACCTTATTCAGCATCAGAAAATTCATTCCAATGAGAAACCCTTTGTATGTAAGGAATGTGGGATGGCCTTTCGATATCATTACCAACTTATTGAACATTGCCAAATTCATACTGGTGAGAAACCCTTTGAATGTAAAGAATGTGGAAAGGCGTTTACTCTTCTGACAAAGCTTGTTCGACATCAGAAGATTCATACTGGTGAGAAACCCTTTGAATGCAGGGAATGTGGGAAGGCCTTTAGTCTTCTCAACCAGCTTAATCGCCATAAGAACATTCACACAGGTGAAAAACCGTTTGAATGTAAGGAATGTGGGAAGTCCTTTAATCGTAGCTCAAACCTTGTTCAACATCAGAGTATTCATGCTGGTATAAAACCATATGAATGTAAGGAGTGTGGGAAAGGCTTTAATCGTGGTGCACACCTTATTCAGCATCAGAAAATTCATTCCAATGAGAAACCTTTTGTATGTAGGGAATGTGAGATGGCCTTTAGATATCATTGCCAACTTATTGAACATTCTCGAATTCATACTGGTGACAAGCCATTTGAATGTCAAGACTGTGGGAAGGCCTTCAATCGTGGCTCAAGCCTTGTTCAACATCAGAGTATTCACACTGGTGAGAAGCCCTATGAATGTAAGGAGTGTGGGAAGGCTTTTAGACTTTACCTACAACTTTCCCAACATCAGAAAACTCACACAGGTGAAAAACCATTTGAATGTAAGGAATGTGGGAAATTCTTTCGTCGTGGTTCAAATCTTAATCAACATCGAAGTATTCATACTGGAAAGAAACCCTTTGAATGTAAGGAATGTGGGAAAGCCTTTCGACTTCATATGCACCTTATTCGACATCAGAAATTGCATACTGGTGAGAAACCCTTTGAATGTAAGGAGTGTGGGAAAGCCTTTCGACTTCATATGCAACTTATTCGACATCAGAAATTGCATACTGGTGAGAAACCCTTTGAATGTAAGGAATGTGGAAAGGTTTTTAGTCTTCCCACCCAGCTTAATCGCCATAAGAACATTCACACAGGTGAGAAGGCATCTTGAATGTAAGGAATGTGGAAAGTCCTTTAATCGTGTCTCAAACCATGTTCAACATCAGAGTATTCGTGCTGGTGTAAAACCATGTGAATGTAAGGGGTGTGGGAAAGGCTTCATTTGTGGTTCAAACGTTATTCAGCATCAGAAAATTCATTCCAGTGAGAAACTCTTTGTATGCAAGGAGTGGAGGACGACCTTTAGATATCATTACCACTTATTTAACATTACCAAATTCACACTGGTAAAAAACCCTTTGAATGTAAAGAATGTGGAAAGGCCTTCAGTTTTCTGACACAGCTTGCTGGACTTCAGGTCATTCATACTGGCGAGAAGCCATTTGAATTTGAGAAATGTGGGAAGGCCTTCAATAGTGGCTCAAACCTTGTTCAACATCAGAGTATTCATACTGGTGAGAAACTCTATGAATGTAAGGAGTGTGGGAAAACTTTCAGATTTAGTTTGGTCCTGACTGCACATCAAAGAATTCATACTGGTATGAAACCCTGTGAATGTACAGAATGTGGGAAGACCTTTAGTTGTAGCTCAAACATTGTTCAACATGTTAAAATTCATACTGGTGAGAAACGCTATAATGTAAGGAATATGGGAAAGCATTTGCTGTGGATGATCAGCTGTCTCAACATCAGAAAATTCAGAATAGTTAGAAATTTTGTGACAATAAGGAGTGTGGACAAGCCTTCACTGTGTACGAAAAATTTACTCAACACCAGAGAGCTCATATTGATGAGAAATCTTGTGAACATAAAAGAATGTGTGAAGAACTTTCATCATGGCCTGGGATTTGCTCAACTTCTGAGTATTCATACTTCTGAGAAATCTTTGAGTGTAAGGAATGTGGGGCGTTTTATAGCCACACTAAATACCTTAGAGTTCGGAGAAGATAATTCTTGTGAGAAAGTCTTTGAATGAGGAATATAGGGTAGTTGTCATGTTCACAATGTACTCCCTATGAAATAATTTACCAGATACAGGCATACCTCGCTGAATTGTGCATTGCAGTTATTGTGTTTTATACAAACTGAAGGTTTGTGGCAACCCTGTGGTGAGCAAGACGATCAGGTCCATTTTCCCAACGTCAGGTGTGCATTTCATGTCTTTATGTCACATTTTGGTAATTCTCAGAATATTTCAAACTATTTCATTGTTATATATCTATCATGGTGATCAATGACCAGTGATTTTTGATGTTGCTATTGTAATTGCTTTGGGATACCACAAATTCTGCCCATAAAAGATGGTAAACCTAGTTGATACTTGTTGTGGGTTTTGAAAGAATAGTCAAATATACAATCATATACCCCAACCTAGATTCAAAATTGTTAACAATTTGCACGTTTATTTTTTGTATATTTGTTGTACCATTGAGAATAAGTTTTAGACATCATGACACTTTACCCTTTATTTAATCAACGTGTGTATCAACCAAACATGAAGACAATATAGACAATATCATATAGCCATTGTACCATAATTACCGTTAAGGAAAGTATTCATAATTCTGTAATATCATTCCATTTTCAGATTTCTTCATTGGCTTCCAAACCATCTTTTACAGCTATTCATATTCAAAGGAGAATCCATTGCAGAATCTGCATTGCATTTGGTTATCTCTCTTTAGTGTATTGTAGCCTGGAAATCCTATGAATGTAGGCGCTCAAATTTTGGTAGGTATTAGAATCAACAGTGGCACTTAGTAAAGCTACAGAGGCTTAAGCCCTAGCTTATAATTCTGGGCCTCTATGTTTTTTATTATTTCTCCAGGTGATTGTGATACCAACCAGAGTTAGAGAGCCACTGACCTAGAACATTTCTCCTTTCTCCTCATTCTTCTTTTTTTTTTTTTTTTTGCAGTTGCAAGATTTAATAGAGTGAAAACAGAGCTCCCATACAAAGGGAGGGGACCCAAAGAGGGTAGTCGTTGCCGGCTCGAATGCCTGGGTTTATATCCTGATCATTGTCCCTCCCGCTGTGCTCTCAGGCAATAGATGATTGGCTATTTCTTTACCTCCTGTTTTTGCCTAATTAGCATTTTAGCGGGCTCTCTTTCTTACCTGATGGGTCGGGTGTGAGCTGAGTTGCAAGCCCCGTGTTTAAAGGTGGATGTGGTCAACTTCCCATCTAGGCTTAGGGATTCTTAATCGGCCTAGGAAATCCTGCTAGTCCTGTTTCTCAGTACCCCCTCTCAACAGGAAAACCCAAGTGCTGTTGGGGAGGTTGGCCAACAACTGCTCTAATTGCTTCCTGCTGAATTGGGGTGTAGTAGGGGTTGTGCAGTTGAGATTTCCTCTGGAGGGGTGCCTTCGATGTCATTAACATTGGAGCATGGGCTAGCAGGCCGGTCCAGGGGTCCGCGGTAGATTTTAGTCATGGACTGCATCTGGGGCTCCATTTGAAGAATGAGTTGTGGCTTTACAGCTTCGATTCTGGAAAAGACAAACTTAACAAGGAGGTTAAAGATACAGAGATTGAAATGTATGGCCTGCAGTGCAGGGGATTATTTCTTTGGCACACTTCACAGGCCCTGACTATCTGCTTGATAGTTTTGAAAAGGCCTGGTCCATCTCCTCATTCTTAAAAAATGAGATTGAATTTTGATTAGCCCAGGAAAATTGTCTATGTGTTTAGATTTCTTTCTTTATAGTGTCATTTAGTGTTGTTCTCTTTGTTGCATATTCTGTACAAGGGAATTTGAGTCCAGAGGCTCTGTTAGGTCAGATTAAACATTTTGGGGAAGAATACTTTGTAGGCTATTTGTATGGCATATTTCACTGTCAGAAAACATTTAAGTACAGGTCCTTGCATTAGTGAAACTAAGTTTGATCATTTGGGTAAGCTGGTAACCGCCATAAGTCCATTGTAAAGATCTAATTTGTAGTGCATAAATAATCTATGGAGAGACTTTGACCTCTGAATATTTATAATCATGTGTATTTTAGCTGTGGATTGAATACAAAATGAAAATTGAAATAGACTATTCAAAAATGAATGCCATTAAGGTTGTCAACATAAGTCAACTTGTGTGATAAGGCTGACAGTATATTCAGTACAAAATTAGCACCCTCTAGTTTATTCAGGGAGCCAAGATTATTTTGTCTGGAACCTTGTTTTTGTTCAGCATTTATCATCAGCACCTATACATCATGGCTGGTATGTGAGCTGTTGATAAACTTTGAAAAAAATTAAGCCTTTAAATCAAGCTATAAAACATGATACCATTGTGGCATCATGAATTAGAGAGATTAACTTTTTTAAAGATCAATAATAATCCTTTGTGATTTTATTCCAGTGCATTTAAAAATCTATAAAATGATAATTTATATTGATAGCTTTCTTCTTTTTGTGAATATATCCTTATCAGATTATTATGCTTTTGATAGACTACTTAATTCTATTTCTTAACATTTAATTGTATCTATAATCATAGGTAAAGTTATAATTTTCTAAACATTTTTCAGGTTTTGTTAATGCAGTGATCTTATAAATCTTACAAAACGAGGCTATTTAAAACCTGGCTTTCTAGTCTCATGTTCCTATTTTTTATTTCCACTTTCATCTTTTTCATATTGATTCTCTTTGACTTTCTTTTTTGAACTCAACAGATTCCCTGGGTATTAACCCAGCACAACTCCTTTATGGGTCATTGCACATTCTGGTATCTCATTAAGAATTGTCATAAAAAAGAGATCCCAGGAGGCCTTCCAGTGAAACTCTATCATCATGCAATCTTGGGATTTCTAAGTTGGAAGTCACAGTCCCTTTGCAAACATAATAAAACACTTTAAAATATTTGCTAAAGTTACAAACCAATTATGTAAAAATTTAAAAATCACCTACTACTTTTAAAAGCAGAGAAGGCATCCATAGACTATTTCCTTGCTTACAAGCTCAGTGAACATACTGAATTCACTTATAAAAAGAATTTTCTCAATTTTAGTTGCTTTTCAAAAAATTCTTATTCCTTTTATTTGTAATTCTTTGACATTGTTGCTGCTTCACAGTTTTGGTAATTGGACAGTTTGGTCTTTATTATGATATTAACATTTTTACCTGTCCTGAAACAAGGAAATACAATCAAAGAAACAGAAGATTGGTGGACCTTGAACCACATTATGATATCAGATGACCCAGAGTCATGGTTACTAAGTTGCTTAAATTTTTAGTAACAAAGATGTATTAGAAAGTGACAGGTCAATTCAATAATGGTTTTTTTGGATACATTTAATTATATAATCCCCTTAAGTTGTGCTTAGTCAGCAGTATTTAATCTGTTGTCTATTATATATCTAACTGGTCTGTTATGTTTATTATATATTTATATATTGCTTATTCATATCTTATTGGAGTAACTCATTTTTAAAACAATATATTTCATCTCCTAGGAGAAGAGGATCGAGTATGTGTTTTTATTCTTTTTCATTAGGACATTGGGGTATTTTCTTATTGTGAAATGTATTGAATATTTCATTTATTTGGTTTGTGAGTCTGACCTTCACTCCCTAGCACTGATTTTTATTTGGCCCTCCTTTTACCTGATTCATAGGAGTTACGAGTAGCCGTTAATATGGATACATTTTTCCCATTTCTAGTACACTGCCCCTTCCAAAAGTGTCTGGCTTACTCAAACTTTTCTGTATTTGTTCCATCTTGCTTTTACAGATCAATACAAATAGGTAACTATACCTTCTAAACAAACATCAAGTTGGTGGAAAAAAGGCATATGAACAGTTCTTTCTCACCTACTATCAACAAACAGTAAATTAAACATTCCTAACTGCAGCCTCCTTTTGTAAAATTTATAACCATTTATCTTTTGAGTGTGACATGATACTAGATGTATGATAATTACATGTTTTGTGTATCAGTATGAACATGATTTTTAACAGACTTGTTCCAATGAACTATTATAGAGATGGTCCCCAACAATGTCAACTAACAATTTCTCAGCTTTATGATGGTACAAAAGTGATATGTTGCTATAGTTTGGATATTTGTCCCTCCAAATCTCATGTTGAAGTTTGATCTCAGTGTTGGAGGTGGGGCCTAATGGAAGGTGTTTGGGTCATGGTGGAAGATCCCTCATGAATAAATTAATGCCCTCTCTGGATTGAGGGGTGAGTGAGCTATCGCTCTGTTAATTTTTGTGAGAGCTGGTTGTTCAAAAGAACCTGGCACCTCCTCCCTCACCCTCTTGTTTTCTCTCTTGCCATGTGATGTCTGCATACACTGGCTCTCCCTTCATCATCTGCCATGAGTGGAAGCAGCCTGAGACCCTTAGCAGAAGCAGATGCTGCACCATGATTCTTGTACATTCTGCAGAACAGTGAGCCAAATAAACCTCTTTATTAATCACCCAGCCTCAGATATTCTTTTGTAGCAATACAAAATGGACTAAGACATACTCAGTCAGAGTATGCTCCTCAAACTAAGATGGGGCTATGTTAAGTTGAAAATATTGTAGGTCATAAATACACATTTGGCATATGATGTTTTCAATTTGTGATGGGTTTATTTGGATATAACGCTGTCATAAGTTGAGAAGCATCTGTAGTAATTATGATAATTTGATGTGTAGCCAGTAGGAGTCCAGTTACATTTGTTTTTTTGACTTCTTTTTTTCTTTTTTTTTAAATGAATATTGTGTTCAGGTCCTAAGAAGATGTTTTAGACTGATCCTTCTTTGTTGGTCCATGTTCCCCATGCCTCTTGTCCTGAGTCATGGAATCAACCCATGATTCAGTACCCTCGTAGGGTGTCCTGGTTCTATTTAGAGGAAAAGAGCCTTTGAGACCAAGAAATCTGGCTGCTATGGGTGCACATGGCAGTTACAGGTATGGAAGAAGATGCTGGTTTTGTTAGAATTCTTTTAATAGTTTCAGAGTAGAAAATGTCATTGTAAGGTCAGAAGTTCACTCTGATTTTTCTCAACTTACATTTCTATGATCTGCTCTTGTTTGCATTTGATATTTTATTGAATTATAAGGTTTTATGTATGGTGATAGCTGAGAAGTTTATCTCCTGCTAGGGCCTGCCTGAAATGACACATTAATCTGCTTGCCCATTTTTGGAGATATTGGTCTGATTCAAATTTGTCATGGTGTTTCTGAGCAGTGTTATGAAGAACATTCAATAATGGATAATAGATAGATAGATAGATAGATAGATGGATAGATTTATATTTGAGATGGAGTTTTGCTTTTGTTGCCCAGGCTGGAGTGCAATGGTGCAGTCGTGGCTCACC
Source organism: Homo sapiens (assembly GCF_000001405.40). NCBI lineage: Eukaryota > Metazoa > Chordata > Mammalia > Primates > Hominidae > Homo > Homo sapiens. Next base: position 343,405 of record NW_009646206.1, on the reverse strand, counting down.
ACAACCTCTGCCTCCCAGGTTCAAGCGATTCTCCTGCCTTAGCCTCCCAAGTAGCTGGGATTACAGATGCCTGTCACCACGCCCAGCTAATTTTTGTGTTTTTAGTAGAGACAGCTTTCAGCATGTTGGCCAGGCTGGTCATGAACTCCTAACCTCAAGTGATCCGCCCGCCTCAGACCCCAAAGTGCTGGGATTACAGGTGTGAGACATCTTGCCCAGCCGACAATAGATAATATTTTGAATGTTCATAGATTCTCCAGAAAAAAACTGGACAGAAGATTTCTGTCATCCTTTTTTTTTTTTTTTTTTGAGACAGAGTCTCACTCTCTCGCCCAGGCTGGAGTGCAGTGGCGCAATCTCGGCTCACTGCAAGCTCCGCCTCCTGGGTTCACACCATTCTCCTGCCTCAGCCTCCCGAGTAGCTGGGACTACAGGCGCCCGCCACCATGCCCAGCTAATTTTTTTTGTATTTTTTTTTTTTTTTAAGTAGAGACGGGGTTTCACCGTGTTAGCCAGGATGGTCTCGATCTCCTGACCTCGTGATCCGCCTGTCTCGGCCTCCCAAAGTGCTGGGATTACAGGCGTGAGCCACCAAGCCTGGCCTTCTGTCATCCTTTTATAGGGTATTATGATAATCCAGTTTGCAGTATGGGGGATGAGAGACCTGTGTGTTCTAATTTCTAGGATACCATTCCATTTCTATGAGTCTTCTGCACAAGTGTGGTCTCTAGGGTTGCACTGTGGTTATTTGTAATTGCTGAAAGTGAAACTTTCTCCTTGGATTCCCCAGCGGGTCAGAGTCTGTTATTACAGATTAGAGTCCAGGATTATAGAATCAGTAATTTTTATTAACAGTTGGCTATGACTATCTAGAGTAAGCACTGCATTTATTTTTCCAAGATGTTGTCATGTGACATAACTTATGGCCAGTAGGATGTAAGTGAATATTTTTGGCAGTTCTGGAAACCTCTCTTAAAACACAGCTGGCTGAATATATTAATATTTGAGAAATCTGGGTGAGGGATATCCAGAAATTCTTTACGATTTTCCCCAGTTCTGTGTAAGTCTGAGAGCTCATACCATTCTGATGCCAGCAGTGGAAGAATTCATGATTGGTTTGGAGCAAGGCCACAATATCAGGCTTACATCCATATTATATGACAGAGAAATTAACCTTATCTTGTTTTATCCACTTTAATTTGATGCAGTTTTACTATTTTACTCACAACCAAATTTAATCTTAAATGATACACCTAGATTGTCATATATTAAGACTAAGAACAGTCAATATATTCTTCTATGTTCTGTAGCTCAAAAGCACAGATCTGCAGAGAGCAGAGCATCTATCCCATGCATGTTGTCATGTACTTATCCCACACCCTATTAAAACCACAGTACCTGTAAGGGAGACATTTTTTTTCTTCAAGAATATGTATTTCTGCCACATCTATGATTCTCCAAAATGAGATGACAGAAAATGCTAAACGATTGTTAGATGACTGTATGAAGTTCCACTTCTGGATGATAGGATAGGGAGACTCTGCAGGCTCATTTACCAGCAAGACAAGTAAAAGTGAAAAAAAAACAAAAAACAAAAACTATTTTTAAAACCTTACTATTTGAGATCTGAAAGAGTGCAAAGAGTATACAGTGAATGAAATATCTAACAACAAAGTCTACTAAAACTTGGTAAGAGCAGTGAGAATTCGTGGTATTTAAGACACAGCCCACTCTCTTCTTGTCTTCACAGCTCAGTTTGATGGAAGCTTCACACTGGGTGGATGCTGCCAAGATTATGCGGCTCCAGCTCTCAATCAAGTTTTATAACAACAGGAGGGTCAGGCTTCCAGGGATTCTTATTCCCACCTCCTCTCAGTTGAAGAGGCTAAATTCCTGGTGATGCAACCAAGAGGCTTGGGGCTCCATTGCTTCCCCCGCTCCCACCCATAGGTTGGAAGCTCTACCCAGGCACAGTGAACTCAGATTTGGGCCCTGATTGCCTTTGCCTCAGCTTGCTTGTAAGGCAGAGGTTTCACAAGAGAAACAAAATGGCTACCACCCAGCCCATTGCCCAGAATGGTGGTTCAGAGATTTTGTCCAGAGGGAGAGACAGTGTATAAGAATAGAGCTCTGAAGCTCTCTCAAGAAGAATGGAATTTATTTGAAACAGTGTCAGAAACTTCCCTTAATTAAAAACAACATGAACCGTAAGTCAGCTAGTTAATCAGGTAATTCCAGGGGAAGACACAGCTAAGGAGCCCTTCTAAGGTCAAAAGAAACCTTAAAGACTGGCCTCAAAAACTAGCCCTGCTTGGCTTAAATTATACCAAACTGCTTAGTAATTAATGCTCCAAGGACTTGTGGAGAACAGTAGACTGATCAGACAGAAGCCAGTGGAGCCTAGTGGGCTAGAAATAATACCAAAGGAGACAAACATCTTAACAGAGAGATCAGGGAAAGATGGTCAAAGAGACTCCTGTTTAAAACCATACCAGGGTATATTCTGCGTATGTCCAAGGCTGTACCCTCTGAAGAGCAACAAAATGCTTCCCACTGCCAGCTATTTCACTAAAATAGCTTAGTGAAAACACAAAACAAATAACTACGAGTAACTCTGCATATGTCCAAGGCTGCACCCTCTGAAGAACAACAAAATGCTTCCCACTGCAAGCTACTTCACTAAAATAGCTTAGTCAAAGCAGAAAACAAATAACAAAACAAAACAAACAACAAAACCACTCTGAAGAACAACAACAAAAACCACTCTGAAGAAGGGGACAGGGAATCAGTATCCAGAATCGCTATAGTATGTTACCTAATATGTCCACTTATCAACAAGAAATTGTAAGACATACAAAGAAACTGAAATGTTCGACTTATAAACAGGAAAAAAGCAGGCAACAGAAATGGCCTTTGACAGGGAACAGATATCAGATTTAAAAGACAAAAACTTCAAGGTAGCCATTATATATATATTCACAGCAGTAAGGGAAAATACAAAGATAATGTCTCATCAAATAAAGAATATCAATAAAGGAAATCATAAGATGAACCAAATGTAAATTCTGGAGTTGAAGACTATAATAACTAATATAAAAAATCATTAGAAGGGCTAAATAAGTTTGAGCTGGCAGAAGAATTAGAAAACTTTCAAATAGATCAATAGAAATTATGCAACCTCAATTCCATCTTCCCATTAGAAAATAGAATAGGAAAATGAAGAAATAGGATGAGAAAATAGAACAAAGAAATATAAACAGAGCCTCAGAGAAATTCAGGACGCCTTTCAGTGCACCAGTGTACATGTAATGAGAATACCATAAGGTGAGGAGAAAGAGAAGCACAAAAATATTCAAAGAAATAATGGCTAAAAACATCCACAATTTATTGAACAAACATTAATCTATACTCACAAGCATCTCAACAAACTGTGAACAGAATGAATGCAAACATATCCACAAACAGACACGTCATAGTAAAAATGTTAAAAGTGAAAGGAAATGTTGAAAGCTGTAAGAGAAAAACAATGTGCCACAAGGGTACCCCAATAGATTAACAGCAAACTTCTCATCAGAAACAATGGAGGGGATGAAGGCAGTGGGATGATACATTCAAAGTACTCAAAGGACAAAAGCTTTGTGAACCATGATCTTATTTCTAGTAATGCTGCCTTCAAAAAAAAGGTGAAACAAAGCCCTCCCAGATCTGCCATATGAGAAATTGTAAAAAAAAAAAAAAAAAGTTATTAATACTGAAAGCAAGTAAAACACATGAAAATTTAAAATCACATTTTTAAAAAGAACAAAATTAATATTTATAATTAAAGGTAATTATAGCCAGGCATAGTGGCTCATGCCTGGTATCTCAGCACTTTGAGAGGCTAAGGCGGGCAGATTGCCTGAGGTTGGGAGTTCAAGACCAGCCTGGCCAACATGGCAAAACCCCGTCTCTACTAAAAATACAAAAATTATCTGGGCATGGTGGTGTGCACCTGTAGTCCCAACTACTCGGAAGGTGAGGCAGGAGAATCGCTTGAAACCAGGAGGCAGAGGTTACAGTGAGCTGAGATCATGCCACTTCACTCCAGCCTGGGCAGCAAAGTGAGACTCTGTGTCTCACACACACAAAATGGTAATTATAAAAGGCAGCATAAATGCACATTTCTTTTACTTTTTTCTCTTAATAGATTTAAAAAGCAATTGTATAATATGTACATAATTGTATTATTGGCCATATGACATGGAAATGTAATATATTTGACAATAGCAGCATAAAGGAAGTAAATGACAGCAGAGTTGTATTGGAGTAAAGAAATGATACGCGATAGTAACTAGAATTCATAGGAACAAATAAAAAGAAGTAGAAATAGTAAATAAAAAGCTATATATCAAAAATACCATATAAATATATATATACTCTATTCCATCCTTAATAGACATAAACCTATACAGAATAAGTATAATAATGTATTTTTGAGTCTGTAGCATGTGTAGACATAATAATGTAGAACAATAATAGAATTGAAAAGTAGGATAGATTAGAACTATATAAATAACATTTATATATCTCACTGGGATCAAGTTAGTATTATTCTGAAGCTGATTCTAAGATGTATATAATAAACCCTACAGCAGCCATTAAGAAAATAACAAAAATACAATGAATAAAAAATTTAAATGTGTTATTATAGAAAATCAACACAGAGGAAGGCAGTAAGAAAAGAAATGTGGGACTGGGTGAACTATAGAAAAAAACAACATGGCAAAAATAAGTCATTCCTTATCAATAGTTACTTTAAATGTAAACGGATCAAACTTGGCAATCAAAAGACATAGATTGGGAGACGATAAATGAACGAGATCCAACTAAATGCTATCTATAAGAAAGTCACTTTAGATCTAAGGACACACATAGTTTGAAAGTGAAAAGATGGGCCGGGCGCAGTGGCTCACGCCTGTAATCCCAGCACTTTGGGAGGCCGAGGCGGGCGGATCACCTGAGGTCAGGAGTTTTAGACCAACCTGACCAACATGGAGAAACCCCGTCTCTACTGAAAATACAAAAACTTAGTCGGGCTTGGTGGCGGGCGCCTGTAATCCCAGCTACTTAGGAGGCTGAGGCAGGAGAATGGCGTGAACCCAGGAGGCGGAGCTTGCAGTGAGCCGAGATCGTGTCACTGCACTCCAGCCTGGGTGACAGAGCGAGACTCCGTCTAAAAAACAAACAAAAAGAAAGTGAAAAGAAGAAAAAAGATATTTCATGCAAACAGCAATTAAAAAGAGTGGGCATGGCTGTATTAATATCAGACAAAATATACTATAAGTTAAAAAAGGTTAGAAGAGACAAAGAATATATAATAAAAGGGTCAACTTACCAAGAAGATATATCAATTACAAATACATATACACTAAACACCTGAGCTCCAAAATATATGAAGGACACATTGACAGAATTGAAGGAAGAAATAGACATCTATGCAATAATAGTAGGAGACTTCAATACACTACTTTTAATAATATGTAGAGGAACAGGACAGAAGATAAATAAGGAAATAGGGGACTTGAACCAATTGGACCTAACACACATATATACATAACATTTCCACTCAACAATAGCAGAGTGCACATTTTCCTCAAGTGCATGTGGATTATTATCCAGGATAAACTATGTCTTAGGCCACAGAAGAAGTCATAATGTTAAAATATTGAAACTAGAATTCAATAGCATAAGTAAAACTGTAAAATCCACAAGTATATGAAAACTAAGCACACTCTAAACTAGTGGATCAAAGAAGAAATCAAAACAAATGAAAATGAGGTAAATGAAAATGAAAACACAACATACCAAATTTATGGGATGCAGCAAAAGCAGTGTTAAGGGAATTTTATAGCTGTTAGTGTTTACATTAAAAAAGAAGAAAGATTTCAAGTCAGCCCCCTAACTTTATGCCATTAGAAACTAGAAAAGAAGAAGAAACTAAATCTGAAGCTAGTAGAAGGAAGGAAATGAAAATATTAGGCTTGAGATTAACATATTAGAGAATAAAAAATAGAGAAAATTAGTAAAACTAAGAGTTGGTTATTTGAAAAGCTCAACAAAATTGAGAACCATTAGGCAGATTGATTAAGAGAGGAAGACTGAAATAACTAGGATCAGAAATGAAACAGGGAACATTCCATTCCTACCAACTGTATACTAATAAAAAGCATTATTCAAGAGTACTTTTTACAACGGTATTCCAATAAATTTGATAACCTAGACAAAATGGAAAAGTTTCTAGAAACACACACCTTTCTAAGACTCAATAATGAAGAAATAGAAAATCTGAATATACCTATGACCAGTAAGAAGAATGAATAGCAATCTAATACCTCCTAACAAAGAAAAGCCAAAGACTACATGGTTTCACTGGTGAAGTCTACCAAATGATTTTACATCTTTATTCTTTTCTAGCACTATAGGCATTTAAAGCTAAAAATAAAAACATATTTAGCTGCTCCAAAAATTTGGATTGTTTTTGTTTTTATTAAAAATACATTCTAGGCAAGGTGCGATGGTTCATGCCGGTAATCCCAGCATTTTGGGAGGCCAAGATGGGAGGGTTGCTTGAGGCCAGGAGTTTGAGACCAGCCTGATCAACATAGTGAGATTCTCATCTCTATTTTTAGGAAGTAAAATAAAAAATACATCCTAATTTCTCTTATAATTTATTCTTTGATCCATGGGGTATTTAACAATGTGTTGAATAATTTCAAAATATTTTTACATTTCCCAAATTTCCTCAGTGTTTGATTTCTAATTTTATTTTCACTGTGGTCAGAGAATATACTTAGCATGACTTACTTATAAAAAATATTATGATTTGCCATATATAAGTCTAGTATATTGTTTAGTTTAGAAAATGTTGCATGTTGAGTATGTATTTTATTGTTGGTTGAGTGTTCAACCAACCATCAGTTAAGACAAACTAGTTTGTAGTGTTGTTTAAGTCTTCTATATCCTTGCAGATTTTCTGTCTAGTTGTTGTATGTATTGAGAATAGAGTGTTAAAATCTCCACCTTCTATTGTTGAGCTGTCATTTTCTCTCTTCAGTTTTGTCAGTTTTCCTTTCATGTATGTAGTCTCCTGTTTTTAGGAGCATATACGTTCATTGTAGTTATATTTTTCTAATTAACTTGCCCTTTTATCATTAAATAAATCTCTTTTTCTTTAGTAACATTTTGAAAGCCTGTTTTGTCTGATGGTAGTATAACCATTCCTATTCTCTTCTGATCACCATTTGTATGGTATCTATTTGTATCTTTTTCCATCCTTTTGTTTTCCGTCTGTTTTCAGCTTTTAAAAAGAACTAATGTATATCTTAGCTTAAAAAAATCTAATTGAGATTATTGCTAAAATAATAACAGTAGTCGTCAGGCATGGTGGCTCACACCTGTAATCCCAGCACTCTGGGAGGCTGAGGTGGAAGGATTGCCTGAGCCCAGGAGTTCACGACCAGCCTGGGCAATATAGTGAGACCCTGTCTCTACAAAAAATTAGAAATAAAATTTTAAAAATCAAAATAAATAAAATAATATCAATAGTATACAGAAAGTTTACTCCAATATAGCTCCCTTCCTTTGTGCTATCATAGTAATATGAATGTGACACAAATTACAACTTTATACATTATGAACAAAATAATACAATTGTATAATTATGGTTTTATGCAGTTATCTTTAATCAGTTAAAATAAAAAAGTAAAAGTGTATATTATCTTTTATTTACCTATGTAATGACTTTAATCAGTGCTCATTATTTCTTTGTGTGGATTCCAGTGACCATCACCTTCATTCTAAAGAACTTTAATATTTCTTATTAGGAAAGTCTGCTAGCAACAAAGGCTTTCAGTCCTTATCTGCAATTCTCTTTATTTTATCTATATTTTGAGAGAGAATATTCTGGATATAGAATTCTTGGTTGACTGGTAGGGTTTTATTTGTTTTTGTTTTGTTTTGTTTTGTTTTTTGTTTTTGTTTGTTTTAGTACTTTGAATCTCATCCCACTGCCTTTTGTTCTCTGTTGTTTCTGATGAGAAGTCAGCCAGTAGTCCTGTTGAGAATCTCGTTTATATGATGAATAATGTTTCCCTTGCTGTTTTCAAGATTTCCCTTTGTTCTTGGCTTCTGACAATTTGACTCTGGGGTAGCTCTCCTTGAGACATGTTGATTAAGTATTAATATCTGGGTTTATCCCACTTGGAGTGTGTTCACATTCTTGTAAATGTAGGTGTGTGTGCATGTGTGTGATCAACTTCACAGAGAGTTTGGCCATTATTTTTCAAGCATTTTTTCTTTTTCTTTCCTTCTGACCCTCCTCTTATATGTATGTTGGTTTGCTTGATGGTGTACTACATGCCTCTGATGCTTTCTTCATTTTTATTCCTTCTGTTTTTCTTTCTGTTCTTCAGACTGCATAATTTTATTGACTTGACCTATTTTCAAGTTCACTAATTCTTTTTTCAGGTTAAATCTGCTATGAGTTCTTCTAGTGAATTTTTCATTTCAGTTATTGTGCTTTTCAACTCTAGAATTTCTACTTGGTTCTTTCATTGCAGTAATAATTTCCATCTCTCTGTCGATAGTCTCTGGCAGGGTATTATTGTCATACTCTTCTTTAAATTCTTTACATATGGCTTGTTTTAGTTCTTTGAACATAATTAAAATAGCTGCTTTCAGATCTTTGCTAAATCCAACATTTTTGCTGTCTCAGAGACAGTTGTCTACTAGCTGCTTCATTCCCATCCCCTCTGAGTGAGCTACTTGGATTCTTTAGCTCCTGTGAAAGTTTGTTCATGCATAGATATACGTTTAAATTGATGTTTCTGTGAGAGCTAAGTGCTGGAAAGTCCCATTCTTCTATCTTGCTGACATCACTCCTGTTAAGATTTTCTATTTTTTCTTGAGTCAGTGATAGTTTGTGTGTTTCTAGGACTTTTTCCTTTCCATTTAGGTTATTTTGTTGACATACAATTGTTTATAATTTTCTTCTATCATCATTTTCATTTTTGTAAGTTTAGTAATGTCTCCACTTTCAGCTCTGACTTTAGTAATTTTGATGTTTTCTCTTTTTTCTTGTTCAGTCCTGCTACAGTTTTGCCACTTTTTTTGATCTTTTCAAAGAACCAGCTTTTAATTTTGTAAGTTTTCTCTATTATTTTTCTATTTTCTATTTAATCTAACCTCACTTTTATCTTTATTATTTCCTTTCTTCTCCTGGTTTTGCTTTTTTTTTTTTTCTATTTTTCATATTCTAATTCCTAAGTGTATACAGTTAGGTCATTGATTTGACATCTTTCCTCCTTTTTATAGGCATGTAGAGCTATAAATTTTTCCCTGAGCAGTAAGCATCTCATGAACTTTAGTAAATTTGTATTTATCTAAAATGTTTTCTAAATTCTCTTTTTATTTGTTCTTTAACCCTTTGGTTGTTTAAGATTCTGTTGATTTGGCACAAAACAGTGATATCATCTATCCTTACTCCTATTCAGTATAGAAATTCAACAGAATTTCAGTTATCAGAACTTGCCAACATGAAGACAATGGGATTTAGTCCTACAAATTAAGGAAGAAACTGAATAAATAAAGTCATGAACTAACGTATTATATACAGGATTTAATTTTGAAATTCTTCAATTTTGCATAGGACTTTCTTCAGCTATGGCAGTAGTCTTTTGATGGTGCTCCCATTTCTAACTGGATACATTTACAATTTGTGTTAGAATGGAATGCAATTGAGAAGGTTTATGTTTCCGTAACACCTAAATTTGGCTTAACATTCAAAGGTATCATAAATTGAGCCAATTTGTTTGGCTTTAGGAATAATTTTTAAATAAATGTACCCTTCCTAGACTAAGTGGCAAAAAAAAAAGTAGAAATGTACTGTGAAGGCAAAATACATCAACTGCTAAAATATTTGCAATCTAATATTCCATATTCACAATACTCATGAGGATATTTTCCATTTCATTGGCTATATTCTAAGACTTCTGATTACCTTAGTATATGCAGAGTATATATCTCAATTTAAAAGGTATGGTGTTCAGAGAAGCGCCATTTGAAGGTAGCTATAATTTCAAGTTTATTAACCATAAAGTCCAGCATTGAGGATTACATACAATTTTATCAAAATTTAAAAATAATAGACTGTGTCAAAAAAAATCCTTAAAAATATGGTGATACTGGCTAAGAAATTGATTAAAGCATTGGAATATATACCAAAAATAATTATTCTGCTCTTTAATGCATAGTCAATATAGATAGCTTAAAATTTTTTCCTTACTACAAAAACATTATTTTGTTTTAATGCAAATATGTTATTGTTTACCCTTTAGGATATAACAGAAAATTATGACTCATAAAGGAAATTTTCAAACATTATATAATTTCAATTATCATAGTATTCATACATTTTCAAATTTTTACTACTTTGGACAATATATAGTGAGCTGTTATTGATTTCTAATTTAATTCCATTTTTGTCAAAAACATTCTTTGTATGACTTGAGTCCATTTACTCATTTATGGAGACTTGCTTTATGGCCCAGAATATGGTATACGCTGGAAAGTGTCTCCTGTCCACCTAAGATGAATTTTACTGTCTTTGAGAAGAGTGTTCCAGAAGTGTAAATGAGATCAAGCAGGTTGATATGTTGTTTAGATAATCTATACCCTGTTGCTTTTCTGCATTAGTTCTATCAATTACCAAGAGAGATATGTTGAAATATCTGATTATAATTGTGGATTTGTCTGTTACTTTATTGATCTAACAGGTTTTTACTCACATACTTAGAAGCTGTATTAAGAGCATAATTTAGGTTTGTTCTTTCCACTGGATGAACTGTATCCTTCATCATTATGATGATGTAACTTTCTTTATCCCTGATATAGTCTTTTTGGTGAAGTCACTTTGTTTTTAATATAGCCACTCCAGCTTTCTTTTGACTAGTGTTAGGATTTTATATATTTTTCCATCCTTTTACTTTTAACCTATTAGTGCTTTTATATTTTAAGTATTACCTGTAGGTAGCACGTATTTGGGTCTGACTTTTAAAAAAAAAATCCAACCTGACAACCTTCTTAAGTTAAGGTGTTAGACCAGTTACACTTAATGTGATCATTGATCCAATTAAGTTTGTTATCTTGCTATCTGTTTTCTGTCACAGTCGGGAATGAAAAGACATTTTGCTCTTCATTATTCCACGTTTCCGCTTTATATAGCATAGGAAACTACAAAAATCATTTTGAAAGTTCAATGTTGCTAGATTACAACAGTGAAATCAAGCTTTTCCTACGAAAAACAAACCCCCTTTGGCATTTATTTAGACTGTTTTAAGAAAATGTGTTAATTATTCATCCTTCAAGATAAGGCAAGTAATTCTCTGTGTACTTTTATCTGTTTCCATGCCGTCCTGAATCACGTTTTTCTCTCCAGATAACAGGAAGATTGTCTTGAAGAATCAAGTATATTTGATTCTGAAATCTCTCATGTAAACCACACTTCCTCTTCTAGTATAAAACCAACGATTCCTTTTCTTTCTTTCTTTCTTTTTTTTTTTTTTTTTGAGACGGAGTCTCTCCAACCATTTCTTTAGTTCAGGCTTTTCAAATTTATCCTAAGTCCCTTCAAATAGCACAAAGGGGAAGCCTATGCTCGGATCTGAGACGAAGAGGTCAAAGCAGCTACATTTTGACGTAATTTTACTTTAAATTCTTCTTTAAAAGTTCTGCTCATTTGCATTCTTTTGCATAGAGAGAAAAGGTAATTTACCCTGACGCACCGAAAACAGCAACGCTCCTCTCAGATGGGGATTCTCGCCCGTGGCCGCAACCTCTGCACCCCACGGTCTGGAACTCCCACAAATCCATTAGGCTCGGGTCCCTTAGGAGCCCCCAATGTATGCTGGGATCAACCTGAACAGACCATAGACCAAGACTTCTGAGGTTCTTTCTGCTCAGGACTGTATTTCCCAGAGGCCACCGCACCGGAATTAGCGGTTCCACTTCCTGTCTCCTGGGGTTGACGACCTAGCTGGGTAAGGTCTTCACGTCCTAGGAAGAAATCGGTGGCTGCGGGAGGTCTTCGTGGACTGGGACTCGAACCTGACCGACCCGGCAGTGCGGGTGGGCGAGAGCGAGGCGCTCAGAGGAGGAACCCGGGGCGCAGACGGAATCTGCCAGATCCTTAGGCGTGCGTGTGCGCGGGCATCAAAGGATGGGGATTGCGCGATCTTGAGTGACGGAGGGGACTGTGTGAGTGTGTGCGTGAGGCCCTGTGCACAGGACCGGGACGGCGTGTGGACGCAGTGCGTTTTGCTGGGGCTGTGTGAGTGTCACTGTGCCGGTGGTACTAGGCTCCTGCTGCTTCCTCCGTCTTTCCCCTTCAAAGCTGCAGAGGCTGCAGCAGAGGAATGAAAATGTCCCCAGTAGGGAGGTTAGATATTGAACCGAGAATGAAGCTTTGCACAAGAAGGCGCAGATCTGGACTCGGGGTGGGAATATGAGAGCTGGAAGTGCCTCTTGAGGGTCCCCCAGGAGGGCAGCTACATGTTGAGAACCCAGCGTCCCTCAGAGATCTGTCCCCAGGAACCAGCTTCGAACTCAGACCGATTCCTCCTCCTTTTATTTCCTTCTCATTTCGTACGAAGTGAGGGAAGTTGTGGCCATGGAGGGTGCTTTCAAACTTAGTCTGCGCTCCAAGAAAAGCCTGGAGTCTCACGCTTGCCGTATCCTTCTCCAGTCGTATTATTATCCAAAAGAAGGACCGAGAGGAGGATGAGAGCGTTATTGTTGCACACTTAAGTCAAGGGTGAGTTTGTGCTTTGTATTTGTTCAAGAAATGCGTTTTTGATTTTAGAATATAGAGGTTCCTGTAAATTTTTAGTGAATTTCAGGAGAATATGCAAATTGATTCTTGCCCCCTCCCATTGTGCCGCCTCCCAGCGAGCCGTTCCCCACCCCGCCCGCTCCCCACCTTGCCATTTAATATTCACAGAGCCATTTGGCAAATCGTTCACACCTTCCTGTACGCTCTCTTCTTCTAAGCTGGTATAAAAATAGTCCTCCAGAGGTTTATATTAAAGCTTTATTTTAGACTCTGCTTTGAAAAGAAGATTAGTTTGTGGAATCACACGCCAGGTTTCTGACTCTTTACAGGCCTCCTTTTCCAAGTAGGGAAGAATGGAGATGGTTGGGTGATTTCCATTCGTCTGTGAGGCTTTCAGGAATCGGAAAGTGATTGCACAGAAATTGGTATCAACCAGAGTCAGGATTTTTCGGGAGAGTCCATGAGATGATAATTGTAATACTTGCCAGATCTCTGTGAGATTCGGCAGTTCCGGTTGCATTTTGGGCTATTTGTGTGAACTGTGAGAGGCAGTACGCTGTTGCGGTTAAGAATAGGGGAGTGGATCCAGAGTATCTGGGTTGGAATGTTTGTTCTGTCCGTTTCTGGTCTTCTCAGGCTTGTAATGAACATTAGAATGAATTAATACTCTAAAACCTCTTAGAGCAGTGCTAGGCATATAATAATAAATGTTTAATGTTTTAGCTTTTGTTTTCGTGTGGTCATTTTAGGTCATTTCCCTTGACTTTCTATAGGACAGGAGCATTGGGAATATGTGATTCATTGTGATTGCTGCTTGCATAGTAAGAAAATGAGTGAGTTGCTCAAATGATCTAGGACAGAAGTTCTTTTTAAATTGACAGATAAAATTGTATGTATTTATCGTGTGCAACATGATGTTTTATAGTATATGTACATTGTGGAATGACTAAATCTAGCTAATTAGCAATGCATTACCTCACATAGTTATCATTTTTGTGGTGAGAACACTTAATATCCACTCTCTTAGCACTACAGAATAGTTATTAATAGTAGTTATTAATAGTAGATACGTTGTTGTGTAATAGATTTCTTGAGCTTATTTCTCTTATCTTCCTGAAATTTTATATCCTTTGACCAACATTTCCCCAGCCAACACCATCTTCCCTCCCTCACCCACATTACCCCCGACCTGTAAACACCATTCTCTTCTCTAATTCTATGATATCAAGTGTTTTCTTTTTTTGAGAGAGAGTGTCTTACTCTGTTGCCCAGGCTGGAGTGCAGTGGCGTGATCTCGGTTCACTGCAACCTCTGCCTCCCGGGTTCAAGTAATTCTCCTGCCCCAGCCTTCCGAGTAGCTGGGACTACAGGTGCATGCCACCACACCCAGCTTATTTTTGTATTTTTAGTAGAGACAGGGTTTTGCCATGTTGGCCAGGGTGGTCTCGAACTCTGGACCTTAGGTGATCCGCCTGCCTCGGCCTTCGCCTCCGCTTTCGAAAGTGCTGGGATTACAAGTGTGAGCCACCGCACCTGGCCTATATGAACATTTTTCAGATTCCACTGATGAGTGAGATCATCTGCCTTTCTGTGCTTGGCTTACTTAATATGAATTTCTCCAGGTTCATCCATGTTGTTGCGAATGACAGCATTTCCCTTTTTTTATGGCTAGTTTTCCATTGTGTATATATACCTGCATATATACCACATTTTCTTTATCCATTCATTGATAGACAGTTAGATTGATTCCATATCTTGGCTATTGTGAATAGTGCTGCAATAAACATGGGTGTGCAGGTGTCTCTTTGGTATACAGATTTCATTTCCTTTGGATAAATATCCAGTAGTAGATTGCTGGATCATATGGTGGTTCTATTTCTAATTTTTTGAGGAACCTCCATGCTGTTTTCCATAATGTCTGTGTCACTTTACATTCTCACCAACAGTGTGCAATGGTTCACATTTCTCTACATTCTCACCAACATTTGTTAACTTATGTCTTTTCAATAGCCACCCCAACACATATGAGGTGATATCTTATTGTAGGTTTAATTTTCATTTCCCTGATGATTAGTAATGTTGAGTATTTTTTCATATACTGTAGCCATTTATATGTCGTCTTTTGAGATGTGTTTATCAGGTCCTTTGCCCATTTTTTAATTGGGTTGTTTTCTTGCTGTTGAGTTCCTCACACGTTTTGGATATTAACCCCTTATTAGATACATGACTGCAAATATTTTCTCTCATTCTGTAGGTAGTCTCTTCACTTTGCTGTGCAGAAGCTTTTTTAGCTTGATGTAATTTCATTTGTCTATGTTTGCTTTTATTGCCTGTGCTTTTGAAGTCATTTCTAGAAAAAAAAATTATTGCCCAGATCAATGTCATGAAGCTTTCCCCGTACGTTTTTTTCTATTTGTTTCATAGTTTGGGATCTTACATTTAAATCTTTAATCCATTTAGAGTTGATTTTTGTATAATGGTTTGAGAAAAGGGTCTAATTTCATTCTTCTGTGTATGACTCCCCAGTTTTCACAACAGTATGTATTGAAGAGACTGTCTTTTCCTTATTGTATGTTCTTGGCACCTGTCTCAAAAATCAGTTGGTTGTAAACATATGGATTTATTCTGGGGCTCTCTATTCTGTTCCGTTTGTCTAGGTGTCTGTTTTTATGTCAGTATCATGCTGTTTTGGTTACTATAGCTTTGTAGTATATATTGAAGTCAGGTAGTTTGATGCCTCCAACTTTGTTCTTTTTGCTCCAGACTGCTTTGGCTATTTGGGTCTTTTGTGGTTCTATGCACATTTTAGGATTTTTTTTTTTCTATTTTTGTCAAGAATGTAGGACTGAAATTCTTAATCTGAGTTCTTGTAACTCCACGTATGGTCTTGGGGACCACAAAGCTCTTGAAATAATGTATTGAAGTACTATGGAAATTTATCAATGTGGGTTTTAGAGGGAGAAATAGTATATCATTTCATAAGACTATCAAAACTGTATGTGACCCATGAGGTTTGGATCCATTGATCTAGATAGAACATTGATTCTCAGCGGGGGTGATGTTTAAAAACTTTTGGTTGTCACACCATGGGGGAGGTGCTACTTAGATCTAGTGGATAGAGGTCAGGGATACTGCTGAACATTGTACCGTGCACAGGATAACCCTCCCTATAGCCCCAACAAAGGATTATACAGCACAATATGTCATTAGTGCCTAGGGTGAAAAACCTTAGTCTAGAATCAAAAGATTGTGATACCTGGAATGACACTGTAAATGATCTTATATAAATCAAGTGTCCTGTAATATGGAAATCACTAAGCAAATTATACTAGACTCAAGTGATAAAGTATTATGCAGCTAATAAAATGATGTCTATAAAGAATTATGAAAAGAAAAATATTTGATATACCATTAAGCAGTATTCATGCTATGAACAATGATACTCAAGAAAATGTTACATGTATATGAATCCCATATACTAAGATAGGGTTTTTGTAAGGCATTCTGTAGGAATTGTATCCAAAATGATATTTTAATGAGTTATTTGGTGAAGAAGGGAACCAAGCATGGTGATGTACATTCCACAGATTTTCTCATGTAGTTTCCAGATGCCACTTATCTGCATTGTGTTCATTCAGAGAAGAGTCTTGATAATGAAAATGTCTAATTATATTGGTGAGATACAGCTAAAGGATGTCAGAACTAGCTGATGTTATTTGTTATAGTCACATTAATCTTTTTGATCCTCATGACAGGCACAGTTTTTTGTTTTTTATGATTAAAAGTACTCACTCTCTGTTAACTCTGTTTTATTTTTATTTTTGAATTCGGATGTAGAAATATGACCATCATTAATGCATACAAGAAATTAGTTGAAGACTTGTAGACAATTTTTTTTAGAAATTGTACTAACATACATAGAAAAACATAGACATCTTAGTGTTGGTCAAGAATTGGGAAATAATGGAAACAAATTTATTACATAAAAACAAGAGCTCAGTAGAGTTTCCTTTTTTTGTCCCCACGTTGAAAGGAAAATGTCTAAATAAAAGATGTCTTTCATCTAATTTGGAGAACAATTTCCTCGCAAGAAAAAAAATGTGTATGTACATTTAAATATGTACATATATAGATACATACACATGTGTATATGTGTGTATATATGTGTGTGTGTGTGTGTGTGTGAATATAATTATATATTCTAAGTTAAATGCCTGGGCATAGTCACAATTATGACATACTCTTTAGCAAAAAGAAGAAAATTGGGGCTACAATACAGAGATAAGCACTGTTAGCATGCATATACCTGTCTAAATTTTTGTATTGATGTCTATTAGTCTTTTGCTTAATATTTCTATATACATATATTTTACAAATGTAATCGTATTGTTTATCCTGCTTTGTAACCTGATTTTTCTGTTAATCATATGTCTGGAACAATTAATGATTACTTTGTATTCTATTACATGGCTATTCTGAACTGTACTTACCCCAGCTGGCTTTTGGTGAACTCAGAATGCTGAACACTGCCCATGCAATTCTGTCTATATCCTTTCCAGTTCTCATGCCTTGCCCCACTGCACCCAATCCTGAGTTCACAAAGAGGTTCTGGATTGGATGATGCAAGCCCTTCTCAGCTCTGAAAGGTGGACTAGGGGAGGAGGATTGCTTACAGCAGGATCAGAGGCCCAGTCCTAGGCCAAGATTGGTATCCCAAGAGTGGAGGACTGGCTGGAAGCCACAACTTCAAGGCAGAAATGCCTGTGCTCGGCATTCATGCTTCCGCCGCAGGTTCCCTGGGATGTAGGCGAGAGCTTGGTTTCATCCACACTCCACCTGTTCACTGCCAGTTTATTTGTGAGAGTGTGTGTAGGGAAAAAGGGAGTGACGGGAGAAGGGTGGAAGTGTGCGTGTGAGCAGGAGTAGTTGAGAAATAGGAATGGAGGATAAAATATTTATTCGTTCTAGTGCTTTCGGACACAGCTTGACTTAGGGCCTTTTTGTTGTTGTTGTTTTCCAGGGGAGAAGCCCGAGGAAGATTGACCAATTTTGTAATTCTAGAAACATGGTCCATGTAAGTTGGTGTTTCTGTCTTCTTGAAATATGGTGACTTTCAGGTTAGGTTAGGTGACTGTTATTATTAAACCTGAACCTTCTTACGTAAGGATCCACGATTTTTTTTTTTTTTTTTTTTTTTTTTTGAGACGGAGTCTTGCTCTGTCACCCAGGCTGGAATGCAGTGGTGCGATCTTGGCTCATTGCAACTTCCGCCTCCCAGGTTCAAGCAATTCTCCTGCCTCAGACTCCCGAGTAGCTGGGACTACAGGCACCCACCAGCACGCCTGGCTAATTTTTTGTATTTTTGGTAGAGATGGGATTTCACCATATTAGCCAGGATGGTCTCGATCTCCTGACCTCATGATCCCCCTGCCTTGGCCTCCCACAGTGCTGGGATTACAGGCGTGAGCCACTGTGCCTGGCCAGGATCCACAATCTTACACCCCACTTTGTCCCATTACAGTGAAGTTTGGTGACCAAAAAATAAAAGTCAGTGCTCTTCCTATTCGTACCTCTGTTTTCCCACTGGCTTTGATGTTTTCTTTGAGCAGGTTATTCAGTCTGTGCTTAACTCAGTCCTTGGTCAGAAAGAATGTTGGAACAGTGGAGGAGTTGGTCCCCACAGGGAAACATGGTCTTGTGGGTTTGATAAGTTACAGATGATTGTCGCATTTGACCACACTCGGGAACACCTTGAAACTCCTCCACAGACTGGAGCTTTCTAGGTAGCTGAGGTAGAATTCCATAGTGAGTGGCCTCAGTCTGCAAGCGTGACAAGGTGTTCTGCTTTATGAGGCTTTTAGGAAAGTGATCAGTGAGGACAGTGGGCAGTAACAGAGATTATTCAGGGCATGAGTGGTAGGTGATTACAGATTCTCTGAATTTGGGAAAACCTTAGAGACTCTGACCATCTTAAATGTATAAATAGAAAAATATGACTAAATCTAATATGTCAGTTATTTTGAATTTTACGCAGCTTATAAAAATCATTTGTCATGACAAGAAAAAATACTTTTGCTATCATCTGATACCACAGTAAGCTTGAGGATTAACGGCATTCCTCAATTGTATGCTGCCACCTTTTTTTTTTTTTTTTTTTTTTTTTTGAGATAGGGTCTCACTCTGTAGCCCAGGCTGGAGTGCAGTAGTGCCATCACACTTCGCTGCAGCATTGAACTCCCAGGCTCAAGCAATACTCCCACCTCAGCTTCCCAAGTAGCTGGGACTATAGGCACATGCCACCACGACAGTTCTTTCTTTCTTTCTTTTTTTTTTTTTTCCAGGGAGTGCATCTCGTTATGTTGCCCAGGCTGTTTGCCAACTCCTGGGCTCAAGCAGTCCTTCCACCTTGGTCTCCCAAAGTGCTGGTATAACAGGCATGAGCCACCACACCAGGCCAGCAGCAGGATTCTTGAAGAATGTGTAGGCACTCTGCGATTTTCCATATTGCTCCTTTATTGCAGTTTAATCCTTCACTTCCTCTCCTTTCGTCTTGAAACAACTTTCTTCAATTTCACCATAATCCATGTGTTTGTGGTTTCAGGGATCAGTGACATTCAGGGATGTGGCCATTGACTTCTCTCAGGAGGAGTGGGAGTGCCTGCAGCCTGATCAGAGGACCTTGTACAGGGATGTGATGTTGGAGAACTACAGCCACCTGATATCACTGGGTAAGGTCATTGGTCCCAGTTATTTTTGTATCTGTTCTCTGGAATATCAGCTTTCTTCATCATGAGTTTCAGGGCTGTCTTTTAAGAGGTAGTTGGATTCCTTCTTCTTATTCCCGAAGGAATGGATTGAGATTTGTTGGGTTGAAAACAGGCACCTCCTTGGAGCCTCTGCATCTTGCCTACTGCACCAGGGCCTCCTCCATTATGCTGGTCATCTCTGTAATCCCCTCTCTCTCTTCATGACCATGGGGCTGAATTTGAAATCTTGTATATTCGTTGAATGATATTGTTCAAGAACCAGGTTTCATATTATGTTTGATCTCAGAATTACTGTAGATTTTCTTTGTTTGTTTTTGTTTTTCTGGCCCACCTGTAAGGAGAAGAGTGTGTTGAGTTTTTCTATTAAAAGAGCCTCTATGATTGCTTGAACCTGGGAGGTCAAGGCTGCAGAGAGCCGTGGTCATGCCACTGTACTTCAGCCTGGGCAACAGAGCAAGACACTGTCTCAAAAAAACAAAACAAAACAGAGCCTCAATGATTTACATATACTGATTGGGTTGACAGAACTTATTTAGCACTAAGTCAGTATATTCCATTTCCTTCGACAGACCTTCCGTTACTTGTTTTGTAGTTGAAAGTTTCAGGCCATGAAGTGTATGCTTTTCTGTTGGGTGAAAATTCTTAAAATGAGCTGTAAATGTCTAAGGATGCAAAATAAATAATGACAATAAACATAATAATTTTTAACTTTGTGCTACTACGTATGAGTGAGAGTTAGAAGTATTTTACATATATTACCTTATTTAATATTAGTATCAATCCTATAAAACAGGCATTATTATATTTCTGTTTTAGAGTTGGGAAAACTGAAGGACAGAGAGTTCAAGTGACTTACTTAATGTCAAAGTACTAGTGGGTGGCAGAGACAGGATTTCAACCAGGTAATCTGGCTTGAAGTTTCCTGCTGTTAACCACTAAATTATACCTCCTCTTGAGGGATAAGTTTCTATTATGAGTTTAAATGAAAGTGCTTTTTTTTTTTTTAAACATAGTTGATCCCTTACTCAATCCTCTCTTATCTGGAGTCTCTTCTCAATATTGTTTTGGCTTGTAATTTATTATAAGTTTAACTAGGTCTCAGGGTTTAAAAAAAATTTTTATATTAAAAAAATTCTACATGTGTTATTTCTTTTAAGCAGGAAGTTCCATTTCTAAGCCAGATGTGATTACATTACTAGAGCAAGAGAAAGAGCCCTGGATTGTTGTAAGTAAAGAAACAAGCAGATGGTATCCAGGTAAGTGAGAGTAAAGCAGGCAGGGGGAAGCCATCATTGTCCCGGACAGCCCATGTGCTCAGAGAGGAGTCACACCCCTGAGATGTGGTTTGGAAAACTTTCTTCAATAACCCAAGGTCCCCCACTGGACAAAAATGCCCAAGACCTGGGAAGGAAATAAGATCACTGTAGGAGCTGTCCCCAAGGAACTTCATCATTTACTAATCACCTAATTTCTGTTATTTTCTTCCTCTTTTAATGAAGTGAGCTTCCTCTTTCTTTCCCAGTGTAAACTTTAAACAGTTTTTAAAATTATTTTTTAAGAGGCAGCATCTTGCTATGTTGCCCCAGCTGATCTTGAACTCTTGGCCTCAAGTAGTCTTCCTGCCTCAACCTCCTAAGTAGCTGAAATTACAGGCATGAGCCAATGCTTCTGGCCCCCAGTGTAAACTTTTAACACGTATTTTGGATCCAGCTACTTTCCAACTCTGCTTTTGCATTTAGATTTCTACATGTGTTTTCACTAAGAAATGTATTCATGTTCAGTAAATATGTATAGAGTGCGCATTCCTAGAAGGCATATGCTTGGCTCTGGTCAATACTGTAATGTACAGGTAATGAACAAGACTGAGAAAGTCACTGCTGTCATGGACTTTACCAGCAGTTGGTGAGACATGCCTCAAACAAGTAAGCAAATGAATAGATAAGGAATACCAAATAATCATGCTATAGAGACAAGGAAATAGGAGTGATGGGGTGAGAATGGCAGCACTTGGGTGCTTAGGGTACCTGTCTGGAAGTGGGCTTGCTTGCATAGAGATGTGAAGTAAGTGTTCAAGTACTCTAGTCAGACTGAGCAGGAAACACAAAGGTGGAGTAAGTAATGGAACAGCGGGAAGAAAGGTCTGAGAGTTACGTCGGAGTCGTATCATACAGGGTTTTGACTGTCGTTGTGAGGAATGTGGGAAGTTCTTCAAGAGTTATTTATTCATTTTTAATTGATACCCAATATTTGTACATATTTATGGGATACATGTTATGTTTTGTTCCATGCATAGAAGGTGTAATGAACAAGTGTCAGGGTATTTGAGGTATCCATCAGATCCACCAGAGGAGGGTTTATCATTTCTTTCTGATAGGAACATTTCAAGTCTTCTAGCTATTTTGAAATATACAATACATTGTTGTTAATTAGAGTCACTCTACTCTGCTTATGAACATTAGAAGTCATTCCTCATATTTAACTGTATGTTTGTAACATTAACCAACTCCTCTTCATCCCCCACCCCTCACCCACACACCCTTCCCAGCCTCTGGTTTCTATCATTCTATTCTTTACCTCTGTGAGATCTTTTTTTAGCCTCCAGATATGAATGAGAACATATGATATTTGTCTTTCTTTTTTTTGAGTTGGAGTCTCATTCTTGTCGCCCAGGCTGGAGTGCAGTGGTGCGATCTTGGCCCACTGCAACCTCCACCTCCTGGGTTCAAGCAATTCTCCTGCCTCAGCCTCTAGAGTAACTGGGATTACAGGTGCCTGCCACCACGCCTGGCTAATTTTTGTATTTTTAATAGAGACAGGGTTTCACCACATTGGCCAGGCTGGTCTCAAATTCCTGACCTCAGGTGATTCACCCACCTCGGCTTCCCAAAGTGCTGGGATTACAGGTGTGAGCCACTGCGCCCAGTCTGATATTTGTCTTTCTGACCTCCGATTCCCTCCATGTTGCTGCAAATGACATGATTTCATTTTTTAAATGCCTGAATAGTATTCCATGTGTATATATCACATTTTCTTTATCTGTTTGTCTGTTGGGGGACACTTAGGTTGATTCCATACCTTTGGTATTTTGAATAATGCTACAGTAATCATACAAGTGCAGGTATCATTTTGATATACTGATTTTATCTTCCTTTGGATTAATACCCAGTAGTGGGATTGTTGGATCATATGGTAGTTCTATTTTCAGGTTTTTGAGAAATCTGCATGCTGTTTTCCATAGTGATTGTACTAATTTATATCCCACCAACAGTATATAAGAGTTCCCTTTTTCCCTCATCCTCTCAGGTATGTTTAAACCCAATGTTTCTTTGTTAATTTTCTCTCTAGATGATCTAATTCTGAGAGTGGCACAGTGACGTCCCCAGTGATTATTATACTGTAGTATCTCTCTCCCTTTTGCTCTAATAATATTTGCCTTATATATCTGGGTGTTCTGGTGTTGGTGTTATATGTTTAGAATTGTTATATTCTCTTGCTGAATTGATCCCTTTATCATTATATGATGACCTTCTTTGTCTCTTTTTGCTGTTTTTTACTTAAAATCTGTTTTTTTCTGATATAAACGTAGCTATTTCTACTCACTTTTGGTTTCCATTTGTATGGAATATCTTTTCCTGTTCTTTTACTTTCAATCCATATGTGTCTTTACCAGTGAGAAGAGTTTCTTGTAGGCAGCTTATAGTTGGATCATGTTTTTTCATCCATTCAGCCCGTCTGTATCTTTTAAATGAAGTTTAATCCATTGACGTTCAGTGTGATTACTGATATGTGAGGGCTGATTCTTATCATTTTATTAATTGATTTCTAGTTGTTTTGTTTATCCTTTGTTCCTTTCTCTTTTATTTTTTATCATTGTGGTTTGGTTGTTTTCTTTAGGGGTAACATTTGAGTCCTTTGTCCTTATTTGTATGTTTGCTGTGTCAGTAGGTTTTATACTTTTGTGTGTTTTCACAATGGTAGATATTGTCCTTTCACTTCTAGGTGTAGGACTCTTGAACATATCTTGTAGGGTTGGTCCAGTGGTGATGAATTCTGTCACCTTTTGCTGTCTGGGAAAGACTATTTCTTTTTCATTTTTGTAGAATACTTTGCTGAGGATAGTGTCCTTGACTGGTGATTTTTTTCTTTCAACACTGAATGTATAATCACATTCTCTCTCATTTCTCTCTGTTGAGAAATCTGCTGTTAGGCTGATGAGAGTTTCCTTGTAAGTGACTAGATGCTTTTCTCTTGCTGTTTTTAGTATTCTCTTTTGTCTTTGACTTTTATATTTTGACCATAATATGCCATGGAGAAGACCTTTTTGTATTGTATCTATTTGGGTATCTCTGAGCTTCCTGTATCAAGATGTCTGCATCTCTTACTAGAGTTGGAAAGTTTCCTGCTATTATTTCATTAAATAGATTTTCTATCCTTTATGTTTTCTCTTTGTCTCTAGGACCTCAAAAATTCAAATATTTTGTTGTTTTATGATGTCCCATATGTTACGGTGGCTTTATTCATTCATTCAGATGTTCTGAGGAAAACATTTATCCTAAGGCTTAAAAGATGAGTTAGAGGGGTGGAACCAAGATGGCCGAATAGGAACAGCTCCGGTGTACAGCTCCCAGCATGAGCGATGCAGAAGATGGGTGATTTCTGCATTTCCATCTGAGGTACCGGGTTCATCTCACTAGGGAGTGCCAGACAGTGCATGCAGGACAGTGGGTGCAGCGCACTGTGTGCAAGCCAAAGCAGGGCGAGGCATTGCCTCACTCGGGAAGTGCAAGGGGTCAGGGAGTTCCCTTTCCTAGTCAAAGAAAGGGGTGACAGATGGCACCTGGAAAATCGGGTCACTCCCACTCTAATATTGTGCTTTTCCAATGGGCTTAAAAAACGGCACACCAGGAGATTATATCCCGCACATGGCTCGGAGGGTCCTATGCCCACAGAGTCTCACTGATTGCTAGCACAACTGTCTTGAGATCAAACTGCAAGGTGGCAGCAAGGCTGGAGGAGGGGCGCCTGCCATTGCCCAGGATTAGGTAAACAAAGCAGCCGGGGAGCTCAAACTGGGTGGAGCCCACCACAGCTCAAGGAGGACTGCCTGCCTCTGTAGGCTCCACCTCTGGGGGCAGGGCAAAAAGACAGCAGTAACCTCTGCAGACTTAAATGTCCCTGTCTGACAGCTTTGAAGAGAGGAGTGGTTCTCCCAGCACGCAGCTGGAGATCTGAGAACAGGCAGACTGCCTCCTCAAGTGTTTCCCTGACCCCCGAGCAGCCTAACTGGGAGGCAACCCCCAGTAGGGGCAGACTGACACCTCACACGGCCGGGTACTCCTCTGAGACAAAACTTCCAGAGGAACGATCAGGCAGCAGCATTTGCGGGTCACCAATATCCACTGTTCTACAGCCACCACTGTTCTGCAGCCACTGCTGCTGATACCCAGGCAAACAGGGTCTGGAGTGGACCTCTAGCAAACTCCAACAGACCTGCAGCTGAGGGTCCTGTCTGTTAGAAGGAAAACTAACAAACAGAAAGGACATCCACACCAAAAACCCATCTGTACGTCACCATCATCAAAGACCAAAAGTAGATAAAACCACAAAGATGGGGAAAAAACAGAGCAGAAAAACTGGAAACTCTAAAAAGCAGAGTGCCTCTCCTCCTCCAAAGGAATGCAGCTCCTCACCAGCAATGGAACAAAGCTGGACAGAGAATGACTTTGACAAGTTGAGAGAAGAAGTCTTCAGACAATCAAACTACTCCGAGCTACAGGAGGAAATTCAAACCAATGGCAAAAAAGTTAAAAACTATGAAAAAAAATTAGACGAATGGATAACTAGAATAACCAATGCAGAGAAGTCCTTAAAGGAGCTGATGGAGCTGAAAGCCAAGGCTCGAGAACTACATGAAGAATGCAGAAGCCTCAGGAGCTGATGCGATCAACTGGAAGAAAGGGTATCAGTGATGGAAGACAAAATGAATGAAATGAAGTGAGAAGAGAAGTTTAGAGAAAAAAGAATAAAAAGAAATGAACAAAGCCTCCAAGAAATATGGGACTATGTGAAAAGACCAAATCTACGTCTCATTGGTGTACCTGAAAGTGACGGAGAGAATGGAACCAAGTTGGAAAACACTCTGCAGGATATTATCCAGGAGAACTTCCCCAATCCAGCAAGGCAGGCCAACATTCAGATTCAGGAAATACAGAGAATGCCACAAAGATACTCCTCGAGAAGAGCAACTCCAAGACACATAATTGTCAGATTCACCAAAGTTGAAATGAAGGAAAAAACGTTAAGGGCAGCCAGAGAGTAAGGTCGGGTTACCCACAAAGGGAAGCCCATCAAACTAACAGCGGATCTCTTGGCAGAAACTCTACAAGCCAGAAGAGAGTGGGGGCCAATATTCAACATTCTTGAAAGAATTTTCAACCCAGAATTTCATTCCAGCCAAACTAAGTTTCATAAGTGAAGGAGAAATAAAATCCTTTATAGACAAGCAAATGTTGAGGGATTTTGTCACCACCAGGCCTGCCCTAAAAGAGCTCCTGAAGGAAGCACTAAACATGGAAAGGAACAACCGGTGCCAGCCACTGCAAAAACATGCCAAAATGTAAAGACCATCAAGGCTAGGAAGAAACTGCATCAAGTAATGAGCAAAATAACCAGCTAACATCATAATTACAGGACCAAATTCACACATAACAATATTAACTTTAAATGTAAATGGGCTAAATTCTCCAATTAAAAGACACAGACTGGCAAATTGGATAAAGAGTCAAGACCCATCAGTGTGCTGTATTCAGGAAACCCACCTCACATGCAGAGACACACATAGGCTCAAAATAAAGGGATGGAGGAAGATCTACCAAGAAAATGGAAAACAAAAAAAGGCAGGGGTTGCAATCCTAGTCTCTGATAAAACAGACTTTAAACCAACAAAGATCAAAAGAGACAAAGAAGGCCATTACATAATGGTAAAGGGATCAATTCAACAAGAAGCGCTAACTATCCTAAATATATATGCACCCAATACAGGAGCACCCAGATTCATAAAGCAAGTCCTGAGTGACCTACAAAGAGACTTAGACTGCCACACAATAATAATGGGAGACTTTAACACCCCACTGTCAACATCAGACAGATCAACGAGACAGAAAGTTAACAAGGATACCCAGAAATTGAACTCAGCTCTGCACCAAGCAGACCTAATAGATATCTACAGAACTCTCCACCCCAAATCAACAGAATATACATTCTTTTCAGCACCACACCACACCTATTCCAAAATTGACCACATAGTTGGAAGTAAAGCACTCCTCAGCAAATGTAAAAGAACAGAAATTATAACAAACTGTCTCTCAGACCACAGGGCAATCAAACCAGAACTCAGGATTAAGAAACTCACTCAAAACCACTCAACTACATGGAAACTGAACAACCTGCTCCTGAGTGACTACTGGGTACATAACGAAATGAAGGCAGAAATAAAGATGTTCTTTGAAACCAACAAGAACAAAGACACAACATACCAGAATCTCTGGGACACATTCAAAGCAGTATGTAGAGGGAAATTTATGGTACTAAATGCTCACAAGAGAAAGCAGGAAAGATCCAAAATTGACACCCTAACATCACAATTAACTAGAAAAGCAAGAGCAAGCACATTCAAAAGCTAGCAGAAGGCAAGAAATAACTAAAATCAGAGCAGAACTGAAGGAAATAGAGACACAAAAAACCCTTCAAAAAATTAATGAATCCAGGAGCTGGTCTTTTGAAAAGATCAACAAAATTGAAAGACCATTAGCAAGACTAATAAAGAAGAAAAGAGAGAAGAATCAAATAGATGCAATAAAAAATGATAAAGGGGATATCACCACCAATCCCACAGAAATACAAACTACCATCAGAGAATACTACAAACACCTCTACACAAATAAACTAGAAAATCTAGAAGAAATGGATAAATTCCTCGACACATACACCCTCCCAAGACTAAACCAGGAAGAAGTTGAATCTCTGAATAGACCAATAACAGGCTCTGAAATTGTGGCAATAATCAATAGCTTACCAACCAAAAAAGATCCAGGACCAGATGGATTCACAGCCGAATTCTACCAGAGGTAAAAGGAGGAGCTGGTACCATTCCTTCTGAAACTATTCCAATCAATAGAAAAAGAGGGAATCCTCCCTAACTCATTTTTTGAGGCCAGCATCATCCTGATACCAAAGCTGGGCAGAGACACAACGAAAAAAGAGAATTTTAGACGAATATCCTTCATGAACATTGATGCAAAAATCCTCAATAAAATACTGGCAAACCGAATCCAGCAGCACATCAAAAAGCTTTTCCACCATGATCAAGTGGGCTTCATCCCTGGGATGCAAGGCTGGTTCAACATATGCAAATCAATAAATGTAATCCAGCATATAAACAGAACCAAAGACAAAAACCACATGATTATCTCAATAGATGCAGAAAAGGCCTTTGACAAAATTCAACAAAATTCATGCTAAAAACTCTCAATAAATGAGGTATTGATGGGATGTATCTCAAAATAATAAGAGCTATCTATGACAAACCCACAGCCAATATCATACTGAATGGGCAAAAACTGGAAGCATTCCCTTTGAAAACTGGCACAAGACAGGGATGCCCTCTCTCACCACTCCTGTTCAACATAGTGTTGGAAGTTCTGGCCAGGGCAATTAGGCAGGAGAAGGAAATAAAGGGTATTCAATTAGGAAAAGAGGAAGTCAAATTGTCCCTGTTTGCAGATGACATGATTGTATATCTAGAAAACCCCATTGTCTCAGCCCAAAATCTCCTTAAGCTGATAAGCAACTTCAGCAAAGTTTCAGGATACAAAATCAATGTACAAAAATCACAAGCATTCTTATACACCAATAACAGACCAACAGAGAGCCAAATTATGAGTGAACTCCCATTCACAATTGCTTCAGAGAATAAAATACCTGGGAATCCAACTTACAAGGGATGTGAAGGACCTCTTCAAGGAGAACTACAAACCACTGCTCAAGGAAATAAAAGAGGATACAAACAAATGGAAGAACATTCCATGCTCATGGGTAGGAAGAATCAATATCATGAAAATGGCCATACTGCCCAAGGTAATTTATAGATTCAATGCCATCCCCATCAAGCTACCAATGACTTTCTTCACAGAATTGGAAAAAACTACTTTAAAGTTCATATGGAACCAAAAAAGAGCCCGCATCACCAAGTCAATCCTAAGCCAAAAGAACAAAGCCGGAGGCATCACACTACCTGACTTCAAACTATACTACAAGGCTACAGTAACCAAAACAGCATGGTACTGTTACCAAAACAGAGATATAGATCAATGGAACAGAGCAGAGCCCTCAGAAATAATGCTGCCTATCTACAACTATCTGATCTTTGACAAACCTGACAAAAACAAGCAATGGGGAAAGGATTCCCTATTTAATAAATGGTGCTGGGAAAACTGGCTAGCCATATGTAGAAAGCTGAAACTGGATCCCTTCCTTACACCTTATACAAAAATTAATTCAAGATGGATTAAAGACTTACATGTTAGACCTAAAACCATAAAAACCCTAGAAGAAAACCTGGGCAATACCATTCAGGACATAGGCATGGGCAAGGACTTTATGTCTAAAACACCAAAAGCAATGGCAACAAAAGCCAAAATTGACAAATGGGATCTAATTAAACTAAAGAGCTTCTGCACAGCAAAAGAAACTACCATCAGAGTGAACAGGCAACCTACAAAATGGGAGAAAATTTTCACAACCTACTCATCTGACAAAGGGCTAATATCCAGAATCTACAATGAACTCAAACAAATTTACAAGAAAAAAACAACCCCATCAAAAAGTGGGCGAAGGATGTGAACAGACGCTTCTCAAAAGAAGACATTTATGCAGCCAAAAAACACATGAAAAAATGCTCATCATCACTGGCCATCAGAGAAATGCAAATCAAAACCACAATGAGATACCATCTCACACCAGTTAGAATGGCGATCATTAAAAAGTCAGGAAACAACAGGTGCTGGAGAGGATGTGGAGAAATAGGAACACTTTTACACTGTTGGTGGGACTGTAAACTAGTTCAACCATTGTGGAAGGCAGTGTGGCGATTCCTCAGGGATCTAGAACTAGAAATACCATTTGACCCAGCCATCCCATTACTGTGTATATACCTAAAGGATTATAAATCATGCTGCTATAAAGACACATGCACACGTATGTTTATTGCGGCACTATTCACAATAGCAAAGTCTTGGAACCAACCCAAATGTCCAACAATGATAGACTGGATTAAGAAAATGTGGCACATATACACCATGGAATACTATGCAGCCATAAAAAATGATGAGTTCATGTCCTTTGTAGGGACATGGATGAAACTGGAAACCATCATTCTCAGCAAACTATCACAAGGACAAAAAACCAAACACCACATGTTCTGACTCATAGGTGGGAATTGAACAATGAGAACATATGGACACAGGAAGGGGAACATCACACTCCGGGGAATGTTGTGGGGTGGGAGGAGGTGGGGAGGGATAGCATTAGGAGATATACCTAATGCTAAATGACGAGTTAATGGGTGCAGCACACCAACATGGCACATGTATACATATGTAACAAACCTGCACATTGTGCACATGTACCCTAAAATTTAAAGTATAATAATAATAAAATTAAAAAAATATATATATATAAACAGAAAAAAAAAAAAGAGGAGTTGGATGTTTGTTACAAAGAGCAAAGCCAGACGATTCTTGGAAGATGAAGCAGTCTAAGCAAGCAAGAAGATAAGAGAAAGGTTATATCATGTTCTGGTTGCTAAAAGGAGGGAGTGGTTAGAGATCAGCCACAAAGGAGGACAGTGCCCTGATAGGAAGTTTTGTTCTCTGTGTTAAGGTTTTTGGATTTTGTGCTAAGACTAAAGATAAACCATTCAAAACCAGTTTTAAGTATGATCTGTAAACTTTGATCTGAATCAGAATCATCTGGTAGAGATATTAAAAATACAGCTTTGGCTGGGTGTGATGGCTCCCACTGGTGATCACAGCATGTTGGGAGATCAAGGCAGGAGGATTGCTTGATGCCAGGAGTTCAAGACCAGCTTGGGTAACATGGTGGGACACCATCTCTACAAAGTAAAAATAAAAATAAAGTAAAAATTAGCCAGACTTTGGACTGCAGGAAGACTAAAGAAAAAGAAATTGTCCAGACTTAGTGGCATGTGCCTGTAGCTGTAGCCACTTGGGAGGCTTAGGCAGGAGGATTGCTTGAGCCTGGGAGTTTGAGGCTGCAGT
This sequence comes from Homo sapiens, assembly GCF_000001405.40. Lineage (NCBI taxonomy): Eukaryota > Metazoa > Chordata > Mammalia > Primates > Hominidae > Homo > Homo sapiens. The sequence continues at coordinate 312,437 of NW_009646206.1, read as the reverse complement.
GAGCTGTGATCATGCCATTGCACTATAGCCTATGCAACAGAGAGAGACCCTGTCTCTTAAAAAAAAAAAAAAAAAATAGAGGCCAGGCACAATGGCTCACACCTGTAATCCCAGCACTTTGGGAGGCCAGGGTGGGTGGATCACCTGATGTTAGGCATTCCAGACCAGCCTGGCCAACATTGTGAAACCTCGTCTCTACTAAAAATACCAAAATTAGCCAGGCACGGTGGCAGATGTTTGTAATCCCAGCTACTCTGGAGGCTGAGGCTGAGGCCAGAGAATCACTTGAACCCAGGAGGTAGAGGGTGCAGTGAGCTGAGATTGTGCCATTGCACTGCAGCCTGGGCGACAAGAGTGAAACTTCGTCTTAAAAAAAAAAAAAAAGCTTTCTTCACTAAAAATTCTGATTCTGTACATCTGAGTTGCTTGAATATCAATATATTTAATCTTACCAAATGGTTTTGATTCACACCTAAATTTGACAAAGTTAACCTGTTCCCTTATGCACACCACCATCTTACATAAATTCATTATTGGCACCCTTTTCCTTTTTCAGATCCCTTCCCTGAAAGTATTATATTTTATACTTAGGCCATTTGTTTAATGGATTTTGTATGCATGTATGTTATAGGAAAATAAAATAGGTTTGCCTTCTTCATTTCTTTCAGATTTGGAGTCAAAATATGGACCTGAGAAAATATCTCCAGAAAATGATATTTTTGAAATAAATTTACCCAAACATGTTATAAAGCAAATAAGTAAAACACTTGGCCTCGAGGCCTTTTATTTTAGAAATGACTCAGAATATAGAAGTAGATTTGAGGGACGACAGGGACATCAAGAAGGATATATCAACCAGAAGATCATCAGCTATGAAGAAATGCCTGCTTATACTCATGCTTCTCCTATTCATAATACACATAAACCATATGAATGTAAGGAATGTGGGAAATACTTTAGTTGTGGTTCAAATCTTATTCAGCATCAGAGTATTCATACTGGAGAGAAACCCTATAAATGCAAAGAATGTGGGAAAGCCTTTCAACTTCACATACAACTTACTCGACATCAGAAATTTCATACTGGTGAGAAAACTTTTGAATGTAAGGAATGTGGAAAAGCCTTTAATCTTCCCACCCAGCTTAATCGCCATAAGAACATTCACACAGTTAAGAAACTGTTTGAATGTAAGGAATGTGGGAAGTCTTTTAATCGTAGCTCAAACCTTACTCAGCATCAAAGTATTCATGCTGGTGTAAAACCATATCAATGTAAGGAGTGTGGGAAAGCCTTTAATCGTGGTTCAAATCTTATTCAGCATCAAAAAATTCATTCCAATGAGAAACCCTTTGTATGTAGGGAATGTGAGATGGCCTTTCGATATCATTACCAACTCATTGAACATTGCCGAATTCATACTGGCGAGAAACCCTTTGAATGTAAAGAATGCAGAAAGGCCTTTACTCTTCTGACAAAGCTTGTTCGACATCAGAAGATTCATATGGGTGAGAAGCCCTTTGAATGCAGGGAATGCGGGAAGGCCTTTAGTCTCCTCAATCAGCTTAATCGCCATAAGAATATTCACACAGGTGAAAAACCATTTGAATGTAAAGAATGTGGGAAGTCCTTTAATCGTAGTTCAAACCTTATTCAACACCAGAGTATTCATGCTGATGTAAAACCATATGAATGTAAGGAGTGTGGGAAAGGCTTTAATCGTGGTGCAAATCTTATTCAGCATCAAAAAATTCATTCCAATGAGAAACCCTTTGTATGTAGGGAATGTGAGATGGCCTTTCGATATCATTACCAACTTATTCAACATTGCCAAATTCATACTGGTGGGAAACCCTTTGAATGTAAAGAATGTGGAAAGGCCTTTAGTCTTCTGACACAGCTTGCTCGACATAAGAACATTCATACTGGTGAGAAACCATTTGAATGTAAAGACTGTGGGAAGGCCTTCAATCGTGGCTCGAACCTTGTTCAACATCAGAGTATTCACACTGGTGAGAAGCCCTATGAATGTAAGGAGTGTGGGAAGGCTTTTAGACTTCACCTACAACTTTCTCAACATGAGAAAACTCATACAGGTGAGAAACCCTTTGAATGTAAGGAATGTGGGAAATTCTTTCGTCGTGGTTCAAATCTTAATCAACATCGAAGTATTCATACCGGAAAGAAACCCTTTGAATGTAAGGAATGTGGGAAAGCCTTTCGACTTCATATGCACCTTATTCGACATCAGAAATTTCATACTGGTGAGAAGCCCTTTGAATGTAAGGAATGTGGCAAGGCCTTCAGTCTTCACACCCAGCTTAATCACCATAAGAACATTCACACAGGTGAGAAGCCATTTAAATGTAAAGAATGTGGGAAGTCCTTTAATCGTGTCTCAAACCTTGTTCAACATCAGAGTATTCATGCTGGTGTAAAACCATATGAATGTAAGGAGTGTGGGAAAGGCTTTAGTCGTGTTTCAAACCTTATTCAGCATCAGAAAACTCATTCCAGTGCGAAACCCTTTGTATGTAAGGAGTGTAGGAAGACCTTTAGATATCATTACCAGCTTACTGAACATTACCGAATTCATACTGGTGAGAAACCCTTTGAATGTAAAGAATGCGGAAAGGCCTTTGGTCTTCTGACACAGCTTGCTCAACATCAGATCATTCATACTGGTGAGAAGCCATTTAAATGTAAGGAGTGTGGGAAGGCCTTTAATCGTGGCTCAAACCTTGTTCAACCTCAGAGTATTCATACTGGTGAGAAACCCTATGAATGTAAGGAGTGTGGGAAGGCTTTTAGACTTCACCTACAACTTTCTCTGCATCAAAAACTTGTACAGGTGAGAAACCCTTTGAATGTAAGAAATGTGGGACAGCCTTCAGACATCAGTAGCAACTTACTGAACATCAGAAAATTCATACTTGGGTGAAAACCTTTGAATGTAAGGAATGTGGGAAGGCCTTTCAATATCATTACCAATTTCATGGACATTATAGATTTCATATTCGTGAGAACCCTTATGAATGTCAAGGATGTGGGAAATGCTTTACCAGTGGTAGAAACCTTAGAGTACATCAGAGAATTCATACTGGTGAGAAACCATATCAATGTGAAGAATGTGGGAAAGCCTTTAGTCATAGTTCAAACCTGTTAAACATGTTAAAATTCATACTGATGAGAAACCCTATGAATGTAAGGAATGTGAAAAGGCCTTTAGCAGTAATTATGATCTTACTGTACATCTGAGAATCCGTACTGCTGAGAAACCCTGTGAGTGTAAAGAATGTGGAAAACTTTTGGATTTAGCTTAGTCTTTACTGCACATCAAAGAATTCATACTGGTATGAACCGTATGAATGTAAAGAATGTGGAAAGACCTTTACTTGTAGCTCGAGCCTTGTTCAACATGTTAAAATTCATACTGGTGAGCAACCCTGTGAATGTAAAGGATGTGGGAAGACCTTTAGACTTAGTTCAGTCCTTTCTGCACATCACAGAATTCATACTGGCATGAAACCCTATGAATGTAAAGAATGTGAGCAAACCCTTACTGTGAATGATCTGCTTACGCAACATCAGAAAATTCATTATAGTTAGAAGTTTTATGAATATAAGGAGTGTAGACAAGCCTTCACTGTGTATGAAAAATTTACTCAACACCAGAGAATTCATATTGATGAGAAATCCTGTGAACATAAAAGAATGTGTGAAGAACTTTCATCGTGGCCTGGGATTTGCTCAACATCAGAGTATTCATACTGCTGAGAACTCCTTTGAGTGTAAAGAATGTGGGATATTTTATAGCCACACTAAATGCCTTAGAGTTCAGAGAAGATAATTTTGGTGAGAAAGTTACTGATGTGAGGAATGTAGAGTAGCTGCCATGTTCACAGTTTACTGCCCGTGAAATATTTTACTGGATACAGGCGTACCTTGCTTAATTGTGCATTGCAGTTACTGCATTTTATACACACTGAAGGTTTGCAGCAACCTTGCAGTGAATAAGTCTATCAGCACCATTTTCCAAACAGCATATGCACATTTCATGTCTTTGTGTCACACTTTGCTAGTTTTCATAATATTTCAAACTTTTTCATTGTTAAATCTGTTATGGTGATCTGTGACCAGTGTTTTTTGATTACTAGTGTAATTGTTACTAGTGTAATTGTTTGGGGATACCACAAATCCTGCCCATAAAAGATGGTGAACCTAGTTGATAATTGTTGTGGGTTTTGAAAGAATAGTAAAATATATACACATATCCCCCCCACCTAGATTCAAAATTGTTAACAATTTGCCACATTTATTTTTTGTATATTTGTTGTACCATTGAGAATAAGTTTTAGACCATTGAGAATAAGTTTTAGATATCATGACACTTTACTCCTTGTTACATCAGCATGTGTGTTACCCAAACATAAAGACAATATCATATAACCATAGTACCATAATTACCCTTAAGGAAAATATTCATAATTCTGTAATATCATTCCATCTTCAGATTTCTTCCTTGGCCTGCAAACCATCTTTTACAGCTATTCATTTTCTCTTTTTTTTTTTTTTTTTTTGAGATGGAGTCTCGCTCTGTCGCCCAGACTGGAGTGCAGTGGTGCGATCTGGGCTCACTGCAAGCTCTGCCTCCTGGGTTCACGCCATTCTCCCGCCTCAGCCTCCTGAGTAGCTGGGACTAGAGGCACCCGCCACCATGCCCAGCTAATTTTTTGTATTTTTAGTAGAGACAGGGTTTCACTCTGTTAGCCAGGATGGTCTCGATCTCCTGACCTCGTGATCCACCCGCCTTGGCCTCCCAAAGTGCTGGGATTACAGGCATGAGCCAGCATGCCTGGCCTACAGCTATTCATTTTCTAAGGAGAGTCCATTGCAGATTCTGCATTGCATTTGGTTATCTCTCTTTAGTGTATTGTAGCATGGAAACCCCATGAAAGTATGCTCTCAAATTATGGTGGGTATCAGAATCCCCTGTGGAACTTAGTAAACCTACAGAAGTGTAGCCCTAGTTTATAAGCCTGGGCCTCTGTTTTTTATTATTTCTCCAGGTTTTGTGTCTGTGATACCAACCAGAGTTAGAGAGCCACTGGTCTAGAACATTTCTCATTTTAAAAAAATGACATTGAATTTTGAGTAGCCCAGAAATGTTGTTGGCTATGTGTTTAGATTTCTTTCTTTATAGTGTCATTTAGCCTTGTTCTTGGTTGTATTTTCTTTACAAGGGAAAGTAAGTCCAGAGGCTTTCTTAGGTCTAGATTAAACGTTTTGGGGAAGAATACTTTGTAGGTTATTTCTATGTCATATTGTACTGTCAGAAAACATTTAAGTACAGGTCCTTGCATTAGTGAAACTAAGGATGATCATTTGGGTAAGCTGGTAACCGCCGTAAGTCCATTGTAAAGATTTAGTTTGTAGTGGGTAAGTAATCTATGGAGAGACGTTGTCATCTCTGAAAAGTTATAGTCACGTGTACTTAAGCCCTGGATTGAATACAAAATGAAAATTGAAATAGACTATTGAGAAATGAATGCCATTAAAGCGTCAACATAATTCAACTTGTGTGATATGGCTGACACTGTACTCAGTACAAAACTGGCACCCTTTGGATTGTATAGGGAGCCAAGATTGTCCGGAACCTCTTTTTTGTTCAGCATTTATCACCAGCACCTATACCATGGCTGGTACATGAGCTGTTGATAAAAATTTGAAAAAATATTAACCCTTTAAATCAAGCTGTAAAACATGATACCATTAAGCCGGGAGCAGTGGCCTCATGCCTGTAATCCCAGCACTTTGGGAGGCCAAGGTGGGCAGATCACCTGAGGTCAGGAGTTTGAGACCAACTTGGCCAACATGGCAAAACTCCATCTCTCCTAAAAATAAAAAAATTAGCTGGACATGGTGGTGCATTCCTGTAATCCCAGCTACTTGGGAGGCTGAGGCAGGAGAATCACTCGAAATTGGAAGGTGGAGGTGGCAGTGAGCCAAGATCGTGCCACTGCACTCCAGCCTGGGCGACAAAGTGAGACTTCATCTCAAAAAAACCCCAAAACAAAACATGATACCGATGTGGCATCATGAATTAGATTAAATTTTTTTTAAGATTAAGAATAATCCTTTGTGATTTTATTCCATTGTGTTGAAAAATCTATAAAGTGATAATTTATATTGATAGCTTTCTTCTTTTTATGAATATACCCTGGTCAGATGATTATTCTTTCAATAGACTACTTAATTCTATCTTTTACCATTTAATTGCATCTATAATCATAAGTAAAGTTATAATTTTCCAAGTATTTTTCAGGTATTGATATTGCAATGATGTTATACAACTTATAAAACAAGATTATATAAAACTTGGCTTTCAAATCTTATGTTCCTATTTTTTATTTCCAGTTTCATCTTTTTTCTATCCATTCTCTTGAACTTTCTTCTTTGAAATCAGCAGAGTCCCTGGGTATTAACCTAGCACAACTCCTTTCTGGGTCATTGCACATCCCGGTAGTATCATTAAGAGTTGTCAGAAAGATCCCTGGCAGCCTTTCGGTGAAACTCTATCATCATGCAATCATGGCAGTACTATGTTGGAAGTCAGAGTCCCTTTGCAAACATAATAAAACACTTTAATATATTTGTTAAAGTTACAAACCAAGTATGTACAAATTTAAAAATCACGGCCAGGCACGGTGGCTCACGCCTGTAATCCCCAACTTAAAATGGTTTGACTTATAATTTTCAGCTTTATAATAGTACAAAAGTGATATGCTGCTATAGTTTGGATATTTATCCCCTCCAAATCTCATATTGAAGTTTGATCCCAATGTTGGAGGTGGGGCCTAATGGGAGGTGTGTGGGTCATGGGAGAAGATCCCTCATGAATAAATTAATGTCCTCTCTGGATTGGGGGGTGAATTATCACTCTGTTAGTTCCTATGAGAGCTGGTTGTACAAAAGAGCCTGGCACCTCCTTCCTCACCCTCTTGCTTCCTCTCTTGCCATGTGATGTCTGCATACACTGCCCCCTTTCATCTGCCATGAGTGGAAGCAGCCTGAGGCCCTTACCAGAAGCAGATGTTGCACCATGATTCTTGTAAATCCTACAGAACACTGAGCCAAATAAACCTCTTTCTTTATTAATAACCCAACCTCAGACATTCCTTTATAGCAACACAAAACTAAGACATACTCAGTCAGAGTATGCTCCTTGACTTAAAATGGGGCTATATCTAGATAAACCCATTGTTAAATTGAAAATATTGTAGACCATAAATGCACATATGGTGTATGATGTTTTCAATTTATGATGGGTTTATTTGGACATAACTCCCCGTAAGTTGAGAAGCACCTGTAGTAATTATTATTATTTATGCTCAAATTGACATAATGTGGCCAGTAGGAATCCATTTACATTTTTTTTTTACTACTTATTTTTTTCTTTTGATGTTTTAAAGGAATATTGTTTTCAGGCCGTAAGAGGATGTTTAAGACTGACCCTGTTTGTTGGTTCATGTCCCCCATGCCTCTTGTCCTGAGTCATGGAATCAACTCATGATTTAATACCCTCTTATCTTAGGGAGTCCTGGTTCCTTTTAGAGGAAAAAAGAATTAGAGACCAAAAAATCTGGCTGCTGTGAGTGCACATGGCAGTTACAGGTATGGAAAAAAAGATGCTGCTTTTGTTAGAATTCTTTTAATAGTTTCAGAGTTGAAAATGTCATCCTAAGGTCAGAAGTTCCCTCTGAATTTTCTCAACTTACATTTCTATGATCTGCTCTTGTTTGCATTTGGTATTTTATTGAATTATGTTTTATGTATGGTGATAGCTGAGAAGTTTATCTCCTTTTAAGGCCTGGCTGAAATGATACATTAATCTGCCTCCCATTTTTGGAGATATTGCTCTGATTTAAATTTGTCATGGTGTTTCTGAGCAGCGTTGTAAAGAAACTTGTTTTAGAATATTCAGTCATGGATGTTATCTTGAATGTTCATAGACTCCCCAGAAAAGAAGAAAAAGTAGACACAAGATTTCTGTCATCCTTTTACAGGGTATTGTGATCATCCAGCTTGGGGTATGAGGGATAACGGACCTGTGTGTCTTAATTTCCAGAATACCATTCCATTTCAATGAGTCTTCTGCACAAGTTGTGGTCTCAGGGATTCACTGTCTTCATTTGTAATTGATCAAAATGAAACCATCTCCAGGATTCCTCAGTGGGTCAGGATCTGTTATTTATTAGGCCCGCATATCCATTCTACCCTGCTTTCATGATTATAGAACCAGTAATTTTTATTGATAGTTGGCTGTGACTATCTAGAATAAGGACTGCAGTTATTTCTCCAAGGTGTTGTCATGTGACATAACTTATGGCAAGTAGGATGTAAGTGAATATTTTGGCAATTCTGGAAACCTCTTAAAACAAACTAGCTTAATATATTAATATTTGAGAAATCTGGGTGAAGGGTAACCAGAATTATTTACTATTCTTCCAAGTTCTGTATAAGTCTGAGTGCTCATTCCATTCTGATGCCAGAATGGTAAAATTCATGATTGGTTTAGAGCAAGGCCACAGTATCAGGCTTACATCCATATTATATGACAGAGAAATTAACTTTTATTATATTTTATCCACTTTAATTTGGGGCAGTTTTACTATTTTACTCACAACCAAATTTAATCTTAAACGCTACAACTAGATTGTCACATGTAAAAAGTAATAACCATCATTATATCTTTTATGTTCTGTAATTCCAAAGCACGGATCTGTAGAGAACAGAGTGTCTATCCCATGCATGTTGTCATGTACTTATCCCACACCCTATTGAAATCACAGTACCCATAAGGGAGACATTTTTTTTCTTCAAGAATATGTATTTCTGCCACATCTATGATTCTCCAGAATGAGATGACAGAAAATGCTAAACTATTGTTAAATGACTATATGTAGTTCCACTTCTGGATGGTAGATGGGGGGGCTCTGCAAACTCATTTTCTAATAAAACTGGCAAAAAAAAATGTATAAAAACCTTGCCATTTGAGGTCTGAAAGTGTCCAAACAGTATATAGGAAGTGAAATATCAAGAAATTCTACTAAAACTTGGTAAGAACCAAGAACTTGGTAAGAGAATTTGTGGCATTTAAGACACAACTCCCTTTTACTCTTCACAGCTCAATTTGATAGAAGCTTCTCTGTGGGTGGATGCTGCCAAGATGATGGGGCTGCAGCTGTCAATCAAGGTTTGTCATATATCAACAGGAGGGGCATGCCTCCAGGGTTTCTTATCCCCACCAGCTCTTGGTTAAAGTGGCTAAATTCCTGGTGAACGCAACTAGGAGGTTTGGGGCTCCTTTGCTTCCCCCAGCCCCACCCAGAGTTTGGAAACTCTACCCAGGCAGAGTGAACTCATTTGCACCCAGATTGCCCTTGCCTCCACTTGCTTCTAAGGCAGAGGTTTCATAACATAAAAAACAAGATGGCTACAACCCAGCCCATTACCCAGAATGGTGGTTCAGAGATTTTGTCCAGAGGGAGTGGCAGTCCATAAGAATAGAGCTCTGAAGCTCTCTCCAAAGGAATGGACTTTATCTGAAACAGTGTCAAACAAATAGCTCCCCTAAAGTAAACACAACAACATAAACCATAGGCCAGGTAGTTAATCAGATAATTCCATGGGAAGAGACAGCTAAGGAGCCCTCCAAAGGTCAAAAGAAACCTTAAAAACTGGCCTCAAAAATTAGCCCTGCCTGACTTAAATTATATTAAACTGCTTAATAATTTAGGCTCCAAGGAAATGTTGAAAACAATGGAGTGACCAGATAGACGGCAGCGGAGCTTAGTGGGCTGGAAATAATACCAAGGGGGCAGTTATCTTAACAGAGAGATAGGGAAAGATAGTCAAAAAGACTCCTGTTTAAAACCATTGTCACAGCAGGGTAACTGCATATGTTTAAGGCTGAGGAACAACACAAAATACTTCACACTGCAAGGGGAAAGGGAAATCGATTTTACTAAAATAGCTTAGCCAAAACACAAAATACATAGCCAAGCAAACAACAACAAGAACAAGCTCTGGAGAGGGGACAGGCAAATCACTACAGTATGTTTCCTAATATGTCTACTTATTAGGAAAATAATAAAAAGTAAATTAAGACATGCAAACAAATGGGAAAGTTGGACCTATACACAGGAGAACAGCAAGCAGGCCAGGTGCAGTGGGTCACACCTGTAATCCCAGCACTTTTGGAGACCAAGGTTGGCAGATCACTTGAGCTCAGGAGTTTTGAGACCAGCCTGGACTACATGATGAAATCCCATCTCTACTAAAAATACAAAAATTAGGCAGGCATGGTAGCACATGCCTATAACTAGGCTAAGACACGAGAATCGCTTGAATTCAGGAGGGAGAGGTTGCAGTGAGCCAAGATCACACCACTACACTCCAGCCTGGGCAACAGAGCAAGACTCTTAAAAAAAAACAAAACAAAACAACAACAACAACAAAAAAAAACGGCAACAGGTTGGCCTATGACAGGGAACAGATGTCATATTTAATAGACAAAAACTTCGATGTAGCCATTATATATTCACAGCAGTAAAGGAAAATATAAAGATAACGTCTCATCAAATAAAGAAAATCAATAAGGAGAAATGACAAAATGAACCAAATGTAAGTTCTGGAGTTGAAGACTACAGTAACCAAAATAAAAAATTCATTAGAAGGGCTAAACAAATTTGATCAGCAAGTAAATAGAAAACTTTCAAACAGATCAATGGAAATTATGCAACCTCAATTCCATCTTCCCACTAGAAAAAAGAATAAGAAAATAAAATGAAATAGAATGAGAAAATAGAACAAAGAAAATATGAACAGAGCCTTGAAGAACAAGAAAATATGAACAGAGCACTTTTAAGTGCATGAACATACATGTAATGAGAATACCAGAAGGAAAGGAGAAAGAGAAATGAGCACAAAAATATTCAAAGAAATAATGGCAAAATACATCCACAATTTGTTGAATAAACATTAATCAATACCCACAAGCATCTCAACAAACTGTAATCAGAATGAATGCGAAGATATCCATGAACAGACCTATCATAGTAGAAATGCTAAAAGTGAAAGAAAATGTTGAAAAATATAAGAGAAAAATGATGTGTCGCTTACAATGGAACACCAATCGATTGACAGCTGACTTCTTATCCAAAGCAATGGAGGGGATGAAGGTAGTGGGATGATATATTCAAAGTACTCAAACGACAAAAGCTCTGTCAAGCAGTAACACACTGTCTTTCAAAAATGAAGGTGAAATAAAGCCCTTCCCAGACCTACCACATAAGAAATTGTAAAGGTTATTCAAACAAAGCAAGTAAATCTACATGGAAATTCAAAACCACATTTTTAAAAAGAACAAAATTAATATAATTAAAATTACAAAAAGCAGCACAAATGCACATTTCTTTTTACTTCTCTTAATAAATTTAAAAGGCAGTTGTATAATACAGTATGTACATAATTATATTGTTGGGCCTATAACATGGAAATGTAATATATTTGACAATAACAGCATAAAGGAAGTAAATGACAGCAGAGTTGTATTGGAGTAAGGAAATGATACATGATAGTAACTAGAATTCATAGGAACAAAAAAAGAAACAGAAATAGGTGGCCAGGGGTCGCAAGCTGGTGGAGGACCTGCCCATGGAGGAGCCCAGGGAGTCAGTGCTTCTTCCCTCCCTCCCCCACTCCCCTCCCCACTCCCCCCCACCTCCCCAAGAATGTTCCACTATGAGTCTTGGGAGGATTGTCTTCTGGATGAAGATGAAGATGAATTTCAGGGACTGAGAGAAGAAGATGAAGAGATTGATCAATTCAATGATGATATTTTTGGGTCAGGTGCAGTTGATGATGATTGGCAGGAAGCACATGAGTGCCTGGCTGAATTGGAAGAAAAGCTACCAGTGGCAGTTAATGAACAAACAGGCAATGGAGAAAGGGAAGAAATGGACTTGTTGGGTGACCATGAGGAAAATCTGGCAGAAAGGCTCAGTAAGATGGTGATTGAAAATGAACTAGAAGATCCAGCTATCATGAGGGCAGTGCAGACCAGGCCAGTTTTATAACCCCAACCAGGAAATCTGAATTCCAGTATCTGGGATGGATCCAAAGTTATGAGGCAAATCTGAGGACCACTGCTCACTTAGGAAATGTCTACAGTGTCTGTATTAGAATATGCCTTGCCTCAGAGGCCCCCCAGGGTCCAGAAAATGATTGGGACCTTTCTGAACATGCATTACCAAGGTGGTCAACTTCACCTGTCATTGGCAGTCCTCCTGTTAGAGCTGTCCCCATAGGCACCCCACCTAAGCAGATGGCCGTACCCAGCTTTACCCAACAGAGCCTGTGCAGTCCTATTCCATAGACTTTCCTCCGCCTGAAACCAGCAACTGAAAACGAAAGCCAATTTGGAAGATTCTGCGTTCAAAGCCTGTCCATGTTCGGCCCCCAATGCCACCGTGTTATCCTGGTCCCTATGATGAGAGGATGCCTCCAAATCAGCTCTACAGTGTCCTGAACTCTTCCCTCCTGGGTCACCCTTTTCCTCCTAGTGTTCCTCCTGTTCTCAGCCCCTTTCAGAGAGCACAGCTTCTTGGAGGAGCACAGCTACAGCCTGGACAGATGTCTCCCAGCCAGTTTGCATGGGTCCCTGGATTTGTTGGTAGTCTGCATGCTGCTATGAATCCCAAGTTGCTACAAGGGCAAGTTGGGCAGATGCTTCCCCCAGCACCAGGCTTCCATGCCTTCTTTAGTGCTCCACCCTCCGCTACACCACCTCCACAGCAGCGCCCTCCTGGCCCAGGACCTCACTTGCAAAACTTAAGATCTCAAGTCCCAGTGTTTAGACTGGACGCAACTCCCCTCCATCCACAGCACCATTGACTCTTGCATCAGAGACAGCAACAGAATAGAAATCAGCATCAGAATCTCAGTGGTGCAGGAGATAGAGGAAGTCACTGGAGCAGTCATCAAGATCATCTCCGAAAGGATCCATATGCCAATCTCATGTTGCTGTGGGAAAAGGATTGGGCCTCTAAAATTCAGATGATGCAACTGCAAAGCAATGGTCCCCACCTGGATGATTTTTATTACCAGAATTACTTTGAAAAACTGGAGAAACCATCAGCTGCTGAAGAAATACGAGGTGATGGCCCTAAAAAGGAGCATAACAAGCTTATTACCCCTCAAGTGGCCAAACTGGAGCGCACCTATAAGCCAGTACAATTTGTGGGCTCTTTGGGAAAGCTTACTGTTTCTAGTGTGAATAATCCCTGAAAAATGATTGATGCTGTTGTGACATCTTGGAGTGAGGATGATGAGATAAAAGAAAAACAAATTCGAGACAAGAGGAGAAAAACCCGTCATAATTAAGAAAACCTACAGTTTACTCCTTGATGTGGAGGACTATGAAAGACATTATCTCCTAAGTCTAAGACAGCGACCTGCTCTAATGGATGAGCGAAAGTACGGAATTTGTAGCATGTATGACAACTTAAGAGGGAAACAGCCTGGACAAGAGAGGCCTAGTGATGACCGCTTTGTACAGATCATGTGTATCCAAAAAGGGAAGACAGTGGTTGCCCGTATTCTTCCTTTCCTCTCCACAGAGCAAGCAGCTGACATTTTCATGACAACAGCCAGGGACCTCCCTTTCCTTATCAAGAAAGATGCACAAGATGAGGTGCTGCCATGCTTACTGAGTCCCTTCTCTCTCCTCCTCTATCATCTTCCAACAGTGACTATCACCAGCCTTTTGCAACAGCTAATGAACCTACCTCAAAGTGCAGCTACACCAGCTCCCTCCAATCCTCACTTCACTGCTGTGCTCCAGAACAAATTCTGACTGGATTCCACTGAATCCCTAGATCAATTTGAGAAATGACTTCTAAACATTGGGTCTTCTCATCTGTAATTATGGAAGATGTTTCAATTTATTAAGGCCTTCCCTAGCTTCTCTCAACAAAATTGTGTAATTTTTAGGTAGTAGTCTTGCATGTGTTTTGTTAAATATATTCCTAAGTATTTTATGTTCTTTATCAATGAAAATTTTTTTGATTTCATTTTCAATTGTTTGCTATGATAGAAAAATTCAATATTTTTGGTATATTGTCCTTGAAACTACCACTAAAAATCCTTTCCGCAAAGAAAGGTTGACTCAGATGACTTCAATGGCAAATTGCCCCAAGATTTGTCAAAAAACCAAAAAGAATATCTAGGGAAAATAAACAGCTAACATAGAACTTTATGATAAATTATTGACTGCTTTTTCACTAAAGTCAGACTCAAGGTAAGGATGTCTGCTCTGATAATTTTTTTTTTTAAGACAGCGTCTTGCTCTGTTGCCCAGGCTGGAGTGCAGTGGCACGATCTTGGCTCACTGTAACCTCCACCTCCAGGGTTCAAGTGATTCTCCTGCCTCAGCCTCCCGAGTAGCTGGGATCACAGGTGCACCACCACACCCAGCTAATTTTTGTATTTTTAGTAGAGATGGGGTTTCGCCATGTTGGCCAGGTTTGTCTCGAACTCCTGACCTCAGGTGATCCAACTGCCTCAGACTCCCAAAGTGTTGGGATAACAGGCGTGAGCCACTGCGCCCAGCCTTGCTTTGAACATTTCCATTCAACACTCTACAGAATGCCCTAGCCTGTGCAGTATGGCAAATAAAGGAAATATAAATTAAAAGGAACTGTCTTGACAGATGTCCTGATTGCGTTTATAGAAAATTCTAAGTAATTTATAAAAAATAAACCCTGCTAGGCCAGGCGCGGTGGCTCACGCCTGTAATCTCAGCACTTTGGGAGGCTGAGGCGGGTGGGTCACGAGGTCAGGAGATCGAGATCATCCTGGCTAACACAGTGAAACCCCGTCTCCACTAAAAATACAAAAAATTAGCCAGGCGTGGTGGCACGTGCCTGTAGTCCCAGCTACTCGGGAGGCTGAGGCAGGAGAATGGCGTGAACCCGGGAGGCGGAGCTTGCAGTGAGCCGAGATTGCGCCACTGCACTCCAGCCTGGGCGACAGACCAAGACTCCGTCTCAAAAAAAAAAAACAAAAAACCCTGCTAAAGCTAAGTGAATTTAGCAAATCATAAAATGTAATATCAAGATACAAAAATGTAAATACTTTAAGGACAAATTGTTTCTAGGTGTTAAAGAACAGATCATTACAACTCTAAAATCTTATCAATAAAATAAAAAGAAACTATAATACTGCCTTGACTATAGATGAAAAAGTTCTAATTAAAATATCACCAAATGGACTCTAGCAGTATGACAAAAATTGTAGCATATTACAAGAAATGTTTAAAATTTAATAAAGTCATAAGTACAAATCAATACATCAATAAATTTAAGGAGAAAAACATAAAATTAAAATAGATAACAAAATGGCCTTGGAAAAAATTCAGCAGTTTTTAAATTAACAATCACTACAAAAGTAGGCATCCTCCCTCTACCCCTACATATATTGAAGGAAATTTAAAGTCAGCAGAGAATTTATCCCCAAATGAAGAGTGAATATTATAGTAAATGATTAAATGTAGGTTCTTGAGGAAACATAGGACCAAAGAAAAAAATGTTGGGAAATATTCCATTAAATTTGGAAACAAAAGATACCTACTACCATAATATTCAACTGTGTTCTGAAGATTCTAGCTATTGCAATAAGAAAAATAAATATAAATACTGGAAAATAAAATTTTATTTGTGTAATCTGCAAAGATTACATAACTGATAACCTATAAATCTTAAAATGTCTCATAAAGATAGAATGCATGGTCAGACTATATGCATGTGGTGGAAAATACTGCATCAACATAGCAAAGTATCCAGAATGACATTCAAGTCAATTAGAGGGAAGAAAAAAACAAGACAAAAATAATGGAGAAAGCCAAGAATATGAAAGTCAAAGTAAAGGAATGATGATAGGCCAAGAAATACATTTGAAAAATGGCTTAAGTCAAAATTTAGGAATACATACAAAAACATACCTAAACTGAAGCTATAGCACTCAATTTACCAGTTCTCAGGAGTCTAAGAGAACAATTTGGAAATATCTAGTAGGGTATACAGAACCCATGGTTGATTTAGTATTATCTAACATAACTGAAAGAGTGTATGATGTATGAGCAATTGTACTTCCATGTATATACAGCTACTGAAATTCCAATTCACATAAACCAATGATCACAGACAAGGATATTTATTGAAGTATATTTGAAATAGTGAAAACCTGTTAAAACATAAATACCAATGAAAGTTTAAATTCATTATAGTACGTTCAAATAAAAAATTGAGCCATCCTCATTAGTATAGTAGTGAGTATATAAAAACTAAACTGGGCCAGCAATTTATTGCAGAGGAATATGTGAGCAGCAGAGCAATATACAATTCACTTCCTTTCCCAGCATAGCTAAGCATCTGCCATTAGATCTGAATATTCTATCTTTAGGGTCACTCTTTTTTGGTTATGGCATTTCCAGTGTGGGCTCACATCCAAAATATTAGATATTCTGAATGAGACTTCCTTAGTAAAGTTTATCATGCACTAGATAAAATTAAGCAAATTTTCTTTACTGAAAGACTCAAATCTTTTGATTGATAGCCTGATAATAAGCACTTTTTTAAAAAAGGGATTTAGTATTCAAAACTTCACAAGGCTGTGTGCCCACAAACCAATTCTCAAGTTGCCATTAAGTACTACTGTTCCCAGAGATGTTCTTTTAGATATGTTGTGTTAAGGCACTGGTACTTTGGAGGAACAATCCACTGATACATTAACAATATTTTGCATTAATATACGTCTCAAAATACTCTGCTTTTTGTTACATCCAATTATTGTTATTTGTAAAAATAATTTGCAAATGTTGAGCAATGATATAATTAGATAGTAAATGACTTGTACAATGATATATTATGGCTGTCTTATTTGCATAAAATGGACCTGGAGTTGCAAATCATAATGGATCCATGAGATCACAGACATTTTGGTTGACAATGGACATTAGTCCAAGTTGAGGAAAGTGGTAGTATGGTAGTCTTAAAGAAATGAGTTACAATTATTTTTAAGGAAGAATTGAATTTCAACTGTATATATTCACGCAAACCCCTACATGCCATTAAATCTATATATTTTGGTGCAGATGCTTTTGTATTCTTACCGGGAAGGCTTTTCACAAAACTGCTTGATGACTGCCACCTGGTTGGAAGTATTGTCAGATGCCATAAATTGTAAGATACACCTTGATTTCAAATATGTGAAAAATTGTGCTCAGTGTTAAGCATTGAGGAAATTATCATATCCAATCTAAGCCACAATTTGGCCATTTAAAGCTAAGAAAAACTGAGAACATGGATCTTGAAGATACTTGGACTGGATCAGCTCTTCCTTTCCCATCATTAATTTGGAAAACTAGAACAGATCTATCCCTGGACAGTCCAAGTAAACAAATTATTTTGCTTAATTGCTTTACTAGGTTTTTGAATGAATGTGCTGATGGTTTAGAATTTCTGCTTTCTTCGTAATGACTCACCTACATTTTTGCCTTTTAAGAACTATCCTCATCTGTTGTATTATCAGGATTATAATATCAGTGTAGAAAGAGCTAGTGAAATTTTGATATTACTTCCTCCTTGAAATTTTCAATAAAACAAAAAATATCTCCTCCATCTGTACTTACATCCAATTCTCATTCACAATGCTGTAATTATCTTTTTCCTTTGATTAGCTATACTAAAATCAAGTATTAATATTTTTTCACAAAGCCTTAATAAGTCTATTTTATTTTCAAATTCATTAACTCCTTTTAATGATCCTCCCTTCTTTCTTATATTGACTTATTTTTCCCTTAGTTTCTTGAGTTTAATGCTTCTTCATTCTTTTAACAGTTTTATAAGTGATTACTATGTTAAAGAGACAGTATTAAGTCACTGGGAGTAGAGTGGTGAGCAGGAGAAACAAAGTGCTGGCCCTCAATATTTGTTTCCTGAATATATTAACAGGTTACTGATTTTTCACTGAGCACAGGTTTGGCCACATTCACAAATTCTGATCTTACCATTCATTTCTAAATTGTCCTTTATGGTTTCATTTTCTTTTTGATCTAGTGTCATTATATTATTGGAGATTTTAAATTTCCGAAATGCCAAAGTACTACTCTACAGATCGTTTACTAAATTAAAAGAAATATTTAGCTCTACAACAGAGAAACCTGGTGATTACCATATGAAGCAAGTATTTCAGTTACCTATCGCTGTGTGGCAAACTACTCCAAAACTTAGTGGCTTAAAACAGGCCATATTTTAAACGTAAATCTGCAATTTGGGCAGGCTCATGGGGGAAAGCTTTTCTCTGCTCCACTTAGCACCAGCTAGGATAGCCTGAAGGCTAAGGGTTAGAATCATCTGAAGGCTCATACCCTCATACACTTGGTGCTGGATCCCGGCTGTTACCTCAATTACAGCTGTAATCAGGACAGCTTTACTTAGCTTTTCTATGTGATTACTTGGCATCTTCATAGCATGGTGGCTGGGCTTCATCCCAAGTGGGTCAGGCAGAAGCTGTATTGCCTTTTATGACTTAGTCGTGGAAATCACAGTGTTATTCCTGCCATAAACACAGGCCCACCTGGCCAGATTCAAAAGGAAGGACCATGAGCTCTACCTCTTGGGGAGTGTTGGTATCACATTGTAAGATGAACATGCAGAATGGGATATATTGGTGTGGCCATCTTTGGAATGTATGTTCTGCTACACCAAGTGAATGAACTAAGGATACCATAGTGGTATAATGACATTGTATGCCACCTAATGGGTTACAAATTGAAATACAAAATTTCTCCCATTAAGTATTCTTGCCAAAATATTTAATCTGTCCCTAATTGGGTCTCTAATCCCAAATTCCAGTTAATGGGAAATACTGGGGATAAAAAAGCACATTTAAAAATACTTTGGGAAGGCCGGGTGCGGTGGCTCATGCCTGTAATCCCAGCACTTTGGGAGGCTGAGGCGGGCAGATCACCAGGTCAGGAGATCGAGACCGTCCTGGCTAACATGGTGAAACCCCGTCTCTACTAAAAATACAAAAAATTAGCCGGGCATGGTTGAAGGCGCCTGTAGTCCCAGCTACTGGGGAGGCTGAGGCAGAATTGCCTGAACCCGGGAGGCGGAGCTTGCAGTGAGCCAAGATCGCACCACTGCACTCCAGCCTGGGCGACAGAGACTCCATCTCAAAAAAAAAAAAAAAAAAAAAAAAAAAAAGTCAATGTTGCAATAAAGTTGTGGGGGGAAGGGCCATTCTTACTTTAAAAGAGACGAACAATGCACAAATGTAATTCATGAATTTGGTTCCTGAATTTAAAAATAACCTATGAAAAGCATTGTTTACACAAATGAAAAGAATGAACACAACTGAGAATATGAACACAGACTGAATATTACAGATTATGGAATTATTGCTAATCTCCTTAGGTGTGAAGTTACTGGGGGTCAAATCTTTTGGCTTCCCTGGGTTACACTGGAAGAAGAATTATCTTGGGCTACACATAAAATGTGCTAACAATGGCGGATGAGCTTAAAAAAAATCACAAAAAAAATCTCATGTTTTAAGACAGCTTACAAATTTCTGTTGGACTGCATTCAAAGCTGCCCTGGGGCACAGACAGGTTGGACAATTGTTATATAGCAATTAAGTAGGAGGCAGCCTTTATTCTTAGATGTGATGTGTTATAGTATCTGCAATTTATACTCAAATACTACAGCAAAATATGTAAATATTATGTATAAGCAAACCAAATGTGACAACATATTAACAATTGCTGAATCTAGATAGAACATAACTGTTCATTATTCTTTTAAGTTTTCCAAATGGATAGTGGCTGTTTTTAATTTATCATTGTGGGCAGAAAAAGCGACTGACATACCTGCTTTTTGGGTTATAAAAAGAAAAAAGCATTACAGCTATCCCTGAGTCTTCAAAACTTTACTCTCATAATCTTCACACCCATCAAATCTAGAGATTTCTTTCTCACATTAATTTTCAGAGATAGGTTCTGACTTTATAAATGGAAGTTTAATCTATTTTACTGGATATTATCTCCAGTTAATTATTCCAATCTAAATAAGGAGTGAAAGGTAATGGACAGTTTTTACAAATTTCTTACACCCACAGGGCCTTCCTCTCACATGAATGTACTAAATGTATCCCCAATGAAAAAAATAAAGCAATATTTATTGATAAAATGCTGTGTGCCAAATACTCTTTTAAAGGTTTTATCTTTTATTAGCATTTCATCCTCACAAAAATACTATTAGGTGGTACTGTTATTACCATTTTAAAAACCAAGGCACAGGGGCATGTTTTGCCAAACACCACATAGGCAGAGGTGGAATTATGAGAATTATATTATTTATATATATCATAAAGATAGGCCAAGGCTGGTCTTTCCCATGTTCATTACATTAACAGAATCATTTTCCGTTACAGTGCTATATAAAGTGTGGTCCATGTGTTGACACTGGCCCACAAATTGTTTGCTTCTGGTCTCTGCAAAAGTTATAGATACCAAGAGCAAGTATTTAGAAATGTTTGCAGCAATCTGACAGAGTTAACTCAGTTAAATACCATAATAAAAAACTGGGGCTTTTATTTTGTATGTCTGTTTTTTTCTTTTCATTTTTCTGGTAATCTATTTATTTATTTATTTAAGAGACAGAGTCTTGCTCTGTTGCCCAAGCTAGAGTGCAGTGGTGCGATCTCAGCTCACTGCAACCTCTGCCACTTAGGTTCATGCAATTTTCCTGCCTCAGCCTCCTGAGTAGCTGGGATTACAGGCACCCCCCACAATGCCTAGCTAATTTGTGTATTTTAGTAGAGAAGGGGTTTCACCATGTTGGCCAGGCTGGTCTTGAACTCCTGACCTCAGGTGATCTGCTCACCTGGGCCTCCCATAGTGCTGGGATTACAGGTGTGAGCCACTGTGCCTGGCCCGCATTTTATTTATTTATTTAGAGACAGGATCTCACTCTGTCACCAAGCTGGAGTGCAGTGGCACAATCATGGCTCACTAAAGCCATGAGGCAGGGTCTCACTATGTTGCCCAGGCTGGTTTCGAACTCCTGTCTTTCCACAGTGCTGGGATTACAGGTGTGAGCCACTTCACCTGGCCCATTATTATTGCATTTTAGAGAAGCACTGTTCAACAACAGTTTGTAGGGGAAAAGGCCCTTGATGGTTTGGGATGCAGTGCATCAGTATCAATCTTCTAAAGTCTAACAGGGACTGAGTGATGCTATAGTCTTTCGACTCTTTAACATACGAAATAATTTCTGATAAATTGTGAGCATGAAGTAAAAGGGATTCCCACATGTTCCGTAACAAACAGAAAATTTCTTAAATTACAAATTCTCTGCTAAAGGGCATTTTCTAAAGGCCATCGTATTCTCTTTACATTATGCATAGGACTTCCTCACTAATATGATTTCTCTGATGTAAAGTAAGTTGATCACTACGAATAAAGGCTTTTCCACATTCTTTACATTGATAGGGTTTTTCACCAGTATGAATTCTGTGATGTCGAGTAAGTTCTGAATTAACACTGAAGGCTTTCCCACATTCTTTACATTTATAGGGTTTCTCACCCGTGTGAACTATGTGATGTCGAGTAAGTTCTGCTTGAAGACGAAAGGCATTCCCACATTCTTTACAGCTATAAGGTTTCTCACCAGTATGAAGTCTAAAATGTTGAGTAAGATGATACCGACGACTAAAGGTCTTTCCACATTCCTTACATTCATATGGAAGCTCACCAGTGTGAATTCTTTGATGTAATGTAAGTCGATAACTGCAAATAAAAGCATTCCCACATTCATTACATATGTAGGGCTTCTCACCAGTATGGCCTCTGTGATGTTGAGTAAGATGATAGTGCCGACTAAACGTCTTCCCACATTCCGTACATTCGTAGGGTTTCTCACCAGTATGAATTCTGTGATGTTGCGTGAGATGAGTGCTACGAATAAAGGCCTTCCCACATTCTGTACATTTATAGGGTTTTTCACCAGTATGAATTCTGTGATGCTGAGTAAGTTCTGTTTGAAATCGAAAGGCTTTCCCACATTCATTACATATGTAGGGTTTTTCACCAGTATGAATTTTAAAATGTTGAGTAAGATTATAGCGACGACTAAAAATCTTCCCACATTCTTTACATATGTAGGTGCTCTCACTGGTGTGAATTCGCTGGTGTGAAATAAATTGATTGCTATGAATAAAAGCCTTCCCACATTCCTTACATTCATAGGGTTTCTCACATGTATGAATTCTGTGATGTCGGGTAAGTTCTCCTTGAAGACGAAAGGCTTTTCCACATTCGTTACATATGTAGGGTTTCTCACCAGTATGAATTCTGTAGTGTTGAGTGAGATGATAGCGACTACTGAAGGTTTTTCCACATTCCTTACATTCATAGGGAATCTCACCGGTGTGAGTTCTCAGATGTAAAGTAAGTTGATAACCACAAATAAAGGCCTTCCCACATTCCTTACATTCATAGGGTTTCTCACCAGTATGAGTTCTATGATGCCGAGTAAGTTCCGTTTGAAGACGAAAGGCTTTTCCACATTCTCTACATTCATAGGGTTTCTCACCAGTATGAATTCTACGATGTCGAGCAAGTTCTGCATGAAAACTAAAGGACTTACCACATTCTTTACATTCGTAGGGTTTTTCACCAGTATGAATTTTCTGATGTTGAACAAGGTATGAGCCATGACTAAAGGCCTTCCCACATTCATTACATTTATAGGGTTTGACACCAGTATGAATTTTCTGATGTTGACTAATATGTCGTTGTACCCTAAAGGTCTTGCCACAAACCTTACATTCATAAGGCCTCTCACCAGTATGAATTCTTTGATGTTCAGTTAGTTGATAATGAAGTCTAAAGGCCTTCCCACATTCTTTACATTCATAAGGTCTCTCTCCAGCATGAATTGTCTGATGTACTCTAAGGTCTCTAACACGACTAAAGGCTTTCCCACATTCCTTACACTCGTAGGGTTTCACACCAGAATGTATTCTCTGATGTTCAGTAAGGTGATAATGAAGTCTAAAGGCCTTCCCACATTCTTTACATTCATAGGGTCTCTCCCCAGCATGGATTGTGTGATGTACTCTAAGGTCTCCCACTCGACAAAAGGCCTTTCCACATTCCATACATTTATAGGGTCTCTCACCAGTGTGAATTCTCAGATGTTGAATAAGGTATGACTGTTGTCTAAAGGCCTTTCTACATTCCTTACATTCATATGATTTCTCTCTAGCATGAATTTTTGGATGTAGAGGATGAGATATTTGTTTTTGGATTAGCATTTGACTAACGCATCCCATCTGATGTCTCTCTTGTCTCTCAAATTCATGTTTACACTGCAAACCATTTCTGAAAATGGTGTCCTCATGGATGGTGTTTTTACTTTTTTCCCCTGTCTGCAATTGAGATAAATAGATTTTGCAAACATTCTTTTCTGAAAGCAAATTCTTGGTAATATACTTGTATTCCAAATCTGCAAAAAAAAAAAAAAAAAAAAGCAAAGAGTAAACAAATGCTATAATGCTATTTTTCTGTGTTGGGGCAGGGATGGGGGTTGTACCTCATAGTAGAAATAAAAGATAAACAGAAATAACATACATTAGAAATAAATGGTTTAGAGCAGGATTCAACAAACTTCTTCTTTAAAAGACCAGATAGTGAAGGTGTTAGGCCTTGGGAGGCATATGGTCTCTGTCACAATTACTTAGCTCTGTTATTACAGCACAAAAGTAGCCACAGATGATAATAAGTGTGGCTGTGTTATAATAACACTTGACTTATGGACACTGAAATTTAAATTTCAAAAAGTGTTTACATGAAACAAAATCTTGATTTTTTCAACCATTAAAAAAATGGAAAAAACAGTTGTAACTTAAGAGCCATGCAAAAACAGGCAGTGAGCTATTTGGCTCATGGGCTATAGTTTGCTGGTTCCTGGCTTAGAGAACTCTAAATTATTGTAGTGCAATTTAAAAGAAGGCAAAATACCTCAGAAAATGATGTGACTTTTAAGAATTGTAAAATAGGCCGGGTGCGGTGGCTCGTGCCTGTAATCCCAGCACTTTGGGAGGCTGAGGCAGGTGGATCATGAAGTCAGGAGATCGAGACCATCCCGGCTAACATGGTGAAACCCCGTCTCTACTAAAAATACAAAAAATTAGCCAGGCGTGGTGGCGGGTGCCTGTAGTCCCAGCTACTCGGGAGGCTGAGGCAGGAGAATGGCGTGAACCCAGGAGGTGGAGCTTGCAGTGAGCCAAGATTGTGCCACTGCACTCCAGGCTGGGTGACAAAGCGAGACTCTGTCTCAAAAAAAAAAAAAAAGAATGGTAAAATAGGTGAATAGGATAATAGGGTAAATCAGTGATCCGCTTATTTAGGATGGATTTAGGGAAATTTCTTACATATACTGTTCTTCAGGCACCAAACCAGACAAAATCAAAATCTATAGGAGCAAGTCCTGGATATGTGCATTTAAAATCTTTTTCATCAAATGGCTTTGATGGAGATCATTTTGAAAATCTGTACCTAATTCTTTTCCCTTTAGAATAGAGTTTCTCGTTCCCCCTAGAATAAAACCCAAACATATTACCATTGATAAAAACCCCTTTCTTATTTGGAAGACCTCTGCAAACCACCTCTGTAAATATTACAAACAAGTCACTGAGAGGGCAGCTAAGTATAATAACTTAATTTCCCCAAATTACAACATAGTTATGAATATATCTCCCTGATTCCAATCTCATCCTAGTACAGCAATTAAATATGCTCTTTCCTGGATCACTTCCCTTCTGAAAGGGAACAAAGATACATCCAAAATTGCTCAATCAAAAGTATAAATGGAAAAGTCATTTTTGTATTTCATCATTTTCCAATTACCTATTGTTACCTTGAACATTAGGCATCTCCAAAACTGTTTACATTTGCCCTGTGTGTGTGGCTACTGTTCCTTCTCTTTGTCTCTGTCCCAACTCAAGTACTGAGATATTTTATTTGGTGAGCATCAGTTGTTTTATCATTACTCATTCACAGATCCTCAAACTCATTGCTAGTCAAGAATTACACTGCAGGTCCTGGCTAGTAGAGTAAGGCAAGGTGAAGAACACAGGCTTTAGAAAGGAGAAAAATAAACGCCTTTATTCTCAGATGTAGTAGGTTGAATTGTGGCCCCCAGAAAAGACATGTTCCTAACTCCCAGTGCCTGTGAATGTGACCTAATATGGAAAAAGGGTGGGCCCTAAATCCAATAACAGGTGTACTTATAAGAGCGAGGCATAGGGAGATCAAGAGAGGGTGCCATGAAGATGGAGGCAGAGACTGCAGTGATGCGTCTGCAAGCCAAGGAATGCCAAGAATGGCCAGTAACTACTATTCTTTTCATAAATTGTTGGATTCAAATGGCTAAAACTTAGTCTAGAATTTTTGCATTTGTGTACATGAAAGATACTGACTTATAGATTTCTTTTCTTATAATGCCTTTGTCTGGTTTTGGTATCAGGGTAATGCTGGACTTGAAGAGTGAGTTTGGAAGTATTCCCTTATCTTAAAGTTTCTGGAAGAGTTTGTGTACAATAGGTATACAAATGTAAAAATCTAAAACCATAAAATTTCTAGAAAAGCTGGGGGCAGTGGCTCACGCCTGTAATCCCAGCACTTTGAAAAGCTAAGGTGGGCAGATCATGAGGTCAGGAGTTTGAGACCAGCCTGGCCAATATGGTGAAACCCTGTCTCTACTAAAAATACAAAAATTAGCTGGGTGTGGTGGCGTGTACCTGTAGTCCTAGCTACTCGGGAGGCTGAGGCAGAAGAATTGCTTGAACCCGGGAGGTGGAGGTTGCAGTGAGCCGAGATTGTGCCACTGCACTCCAGCCTGGGTGACAGAGCGAGACTCTGTCAAAAAAAAAAAAAATTAGAAGAAAACAGAAAATTTTTGTACTTTTTATATTGGGCAAAGATTTCTTAAATATGACTGAAAGGACAATCCATAAGAGAAAAATGTGATAAATTAACTTAATCAAATTAAGAGCTTATGCTATTCAGAAGACACTGTTAAGAGTTTACAGATCATACATTTGATAAAGGACTTACATCCAGAATATATAAGGGACTCTCAAAACCCAATAATTAGCAAACAACCAATGCAATTAGAAAATGGGCAGAAGGCCAGGTATAGTGGCTCACGCCTGTAAGCCCAGCACTTTGGGAGGCTGAGGCAGGTGGATCTGAGGTCAGGAGTTCGAGACCAGCCTGGCCAATGTGGTGAAACCCCATCTCTACTAAAAATACAAAAATTAGCTGGGCATGGTGGCACATGCCTGTGGTCCCAGCTACTCAGGAGGCTAAGGCAGGAGAATTGCTTGTACCCAGGAGGCGGAGGTTGCAGTGAGCCGAGGTCGCACCACTGCATTCCAGCCTGGGCAACAGAGCAAGACTCTGTTTCAAAAAAAAGAAAGAAAGAAGCAAAGAGAATGAGCAGAAGACTGTAATAGATGCTTCACCAAAGAAGATATATGGATGATAAATTAAGAATAAAAAGTTGCTCAGGATTATTAGGCATTAGGAAAATGAAAATTAAAACCACAGTGAGATACCATTACTCACCTATTAGCAAAGCTAAAATTTAAAAGACTGACCATACCAAAGTGCTAACAAGAATGTCGAAGAACTGGAATTTTCATAAACTTCTGCTGGGAAAGTAAAAAGATACAACCACTTTCTTCTTCTTTTTTTTTTTTTTTCAGACATTATCTTGGTCTGTCACCCAGGCTGGAGTGCAGTGGCACAATCTCGGCTCACTGCAACCTCTGCCTCCAGGGTTCAAGTGATTCTCCTGCCTCAGCCTCCCAAGTAGCTGGGATTACAGATGCCTGTCACTATGCCTGGCTAATTTTTGTATTTTTAGTAAAGATGAAGTTTCACCTTGTTGGCCAGGCTGGTCTTGAACTCCTGACCTCCAGTGATCCACCTGTCTCGGCCTCCCAAAGTGCTGGGATTACAGGCATAAGCCACTGCTACTGGCTGATACAACCACTTTCAAACACAGTGTGGCAGTTTCTTAAAAAATAGACATATATTTATCATATGATCTACCCATTCTACCCCAGACAGTTACCCAAGATAAATGAAAGCATAAGTCTATACCAAGAATTTTACATGAAAGTTTCCAGTAGCTTTATCTGTAATAGCCAAACACTGGAAATAACTCAATGTCCATCCTTATACATAAATGGATAAGTAAATTGTGGTACATCCATACAATGGAATACTACTCAACAATGAAAAGAAATGAAGTACTGATACATATAGCAACATGGATGAATCTCAAAATAATTTTGCTGAGTGAATGAAGCTAAATTTTAAAAATCACCATATTTTTAAAAAAGGAAGAAAAAAATCACCATATAATTCCATTATACAAAATTCTAGAAAATGAAAACTAAGTTATAGTGACAGAGAGATGATCAGTGCTTACCTGGGCAGTGGGTAGAGAGGGACATGAGGGAGGGATTTCTTTTGGAGGTGATGGATATGTTTATTATTTTGATTTTGAAATGGTTTCACAATATACAGGGCAACTTAGCAAATTTTATACTTTAAATGTGTGCAGTTTATTGTATGCTAATTATATGTCAATAAAACTGTTTTAAAATGTTATAAAAATTGACACTTAAAATGAGTACATTTTATACTATATAAATTATACCTCAATAAATATGATTAAGAAAATACACTTGTCCTATGACCCAGAAATTCCACTTCCATATATTCCCAAGAAAAATGAAAACCCAAGAGAAATGAAAACATCTGAACACAAAAACAATTGTACAAGAATGTTCACATCAGGTGGCATAATTTACTTTGGGAATAAACACAGATGGTTCTTCATCTCAGAACCTTTGCACTTGCAGCTTTTTCTGCTTGTAATGTTCTTCCTCAATACTCACATGGCCTGAGACCTTACTTTATGTCTCTGGTTCAAATATCATCACCTCAAAATGGCCTTTTCCTGATCTTATCTAAATTAGCCCTACTAACTCCCCAACACTCTAGCTCCTTACTCTACTTAACTTTCTTCACAACACATATGAAAACTTGATTATTATCTGTTTACGTATTGACAACATGTTTCCCTTACTATAATATCAACATCTCTGTGACAAGAGTGTCTATCAGTAGTGCCTAAACTCTAGCACAGTGCCTGGCTTAGGTTAGGTAAATGGGAAATATTTGATGAATAAAACTTGGACAATGGAGAAATGAATATAAATCAAAATGTTAAAGGAGGCCTGGAAACACACGTAAAATGGTCATCAATGGGGAAGAAAGAAAGCAGCCCCACTTT
This sequence comes from Homo sapiens, assembly GCF_000001405.40. Lineage (NCBI taxonomy): Eukaryota > Metazoa > Chordata > Mammalia > Primates > Hominidae > Homo > Homo sapiens. The sequence goes on along the minus strand of NW_009646206.1, from coordinate 283,941 downwards.
GAAAGAGGAGAGAAATACGAGAGAAGAGAAACAAGGAGTATGGCAAATTGGGTAAAGTTCCTTTGGTAGCTAATGTAGAGAGAATCTGAATGCTTCCCAGGTATCAGTCCTTTTTCCACAGGCCTCAGGCCTTTGAAGGGAGCTTTCCAAACAACTCAGTGCTGTGCCTCCTCCCTGACATCATGGGTCATAACTTGTGATAGCACCCTCCCGCCTAATTTGCTGTCACTCACCTGTGAACCAATTCCTTGTCCCTTCCCTCATTACTATCCAGGGCTCTTTCTCTTGCTCCAATAAAGTAATCACATCTGGCTTAGGAATGGTATATCCTGCTCATGAGAAAAGAAATGACACATGTTATAGAAAAAAACAAAAACAACCATAACCTTGAAATGACAATTCAGACTTGGTTACATTTGTAAGAAACTGCAGGTGAAAATGGTACTAGACAATGCCATGACAGTAAAGAAGAAAAAGGCCATCTAAGAATATTCACGTTAACATGGACTCACAATTACAGGACTAAAGAGACAAGGTGAGAGAGCGAAAAGGTCTGCTTTGCTGTTAACGGCAGTATAGAAAGGGGACCAGTGAGCACACCCTCTGGAGCCCTATGGCCTGGGTTCAAATCTTCTGCCACCTACCAGCTGTGTGACCTTCAAAGTTACCCTGCACATATTCACTTTTATCAAATGCAAAATGGGGCTGATATTACCGACTTCTTAGGGCTGTGGTGAGAATTAAATGAATTAATATATGCAAAGGCATATAATATGCCCAGTATATAGTATTATTTTGTTGTTGGTACTATTTTCCTAGGAGAAATATACTAAGTTTCCTAAAATATTTCCAGGTTCTTCCTCAGATATTCCTTCAACAGAAAATGTCAATTCACAGACTTTAACTTTCAACCGCAAAGCAGGTTAAGGAGAATATGTCTCCTTTAGGATGGGGTGTGTTGGCTTGAGTTTTAAATGACTATTGTTAACTCAATCCACCACTGTATAATCCATGGAGGTTCTTTTGATAATCAAGGAAAACTAGAATTCTGAGACTAGCTGTTGTCTTGTAGGAAGGTCAGATATTAACACAGAACAGCTATAGGAATTCTGAGTATATGCATTATATGAAATCTGATGTCACACAACTCAAACCTGGAAATTATTTAGAAAAGCAAGCAATGACAGGAAAAGTCAGAGGGAGGAGTGAATGTCACTGAGGGTCAGAAAGGTGAAGTTGCTTAACACAGGTGCCCATTTCCACCCCAACACTGCTGAAACTATGACTTTAGAAATAGGGGTGTCAGTCAGCCTCTTAAAACAGAGTTCTAAAGTTTGACAGTGGAGAAAGCTGATACTCCAGAAAACAGATTGTAAACGATTTCGAAAGATACCTTACCCAGTGAGACCAGGTTGCTGTAGTTCTCCAACATCACATCCTTGTACAAGTCCCTCTGCACAGCGTCCAGGCACTCCCACTCCTCTTGGGAGAGGTCTATGGACACATCCCTAAATGCCAAAGATACCTGAAATGACAAGCCTATGTATTAAAAAAAAATTAAATGTATTTTCAAGATGGAAAACTGCTTTGCAGGAAAGAAGCAACATAGTAAGCAAATAAACTGGGGCTCAAGCCTGCAATGTGTGTAAAAGAATAAAGAAATTAATATTTCTGAAATAAAGTGTTCATACGCTTTTAAAGAATATTGTTGATGCAAATTAAGTGAAATAGCATAAATAAGCACATTGCCCATTATGTGCCTGCAGTTAAAGTTCTGAATAAATGCAAGTTCCATCATCCTCTCTTCCCTTCAAAAAATTTTTGGAAAAAGAATTTTTTCACCAAAAAGTACTCTAAAATCTCTCTTAGAAAACAGGATTTGACTGACATTACGTGATTTCGTTAAAACTCTGGTTCATCATGATGCAAAATAACCTCATAAGAAAAGTCTTCAGTTAGTATATTTATTGGCTAGCTAATAATATCATCCATCTTAAAGATACAGCAGACTAATTCTTCTTTTATTCTTAGGCATTTAGGTTGGCCAAAATGTTTAAGGTCTTCCCCAGTTCTGTTTCCACCCATCATTAGGGATCAGAGCCTATTTCCAGCCATCATTAGGGATTGGAGGATCTTCCTACCTGCTACCCCTGCCATACCTCAGGAATACTTGCTTTGTTCCTAAGCCAGAGGATGCTGACGTATCCACAATGACACTGATGTCACTGGAGACCAGCACAACCTCCTCAACCACAAAATTGACTTTTGTTTTCTTATTCATCCCTTGGAAATTCCCTGGCTAGATGCCTGAAACTACCATATGCAGGCCCCAATCATACTCCAGCCTAGTCCTCTAAGCCTCTCAATGCATGGGATCTGACCTCTGCCTCTGAGGCTGACATGGAAGACAATGTTTGAGCACAGATAAGAGAAAACAGGAGCAAATGAGGAAGACACTAGGCTATTTGGCACTATCCTTCACTGTAACTAGGGAGTAACTAGGGAGCAGGTTCCACAACAGGGTTGTCTTAGGAAGGAAGTCTCAAGATAACGAGACTTCAATGATCACATGAATTTAAAAACACAGTATTTCAAGGAAGAAAAACACAAACTTACATTGGCCATGGTTTTAGAACCACAAGAACTTGTCAGTTCTCCTTGAGTTTCCTCCATGGAGAAGCACAGAATCCAGAGAAACCGGGGCTGGGGGGAAGAACAAGTGACTCTGAGACCAGATGTGTGTCAAAACTCCTAAAATGACTTAAGTTAATAAGATCCTGTTATGCCATCATTTCTACTTCCAACCCCACCATTCTGCGCATATAAACTGGGGAAGATATCTCAATATCAAGGCTGGGGTGGTGTAAATTCATGCCCACGGTTGCCAGGTGATGACAACAAAAGTAGCTATTTTTAGGATCTTCTGCATGATGGGTCCTTTATCATATTAACATTTAACCATGCAATGCATTTATCTCCATCCAACAGATGAGGTAATGAGGGCTTAAAATAATGTAACTTGCCCAAATTCACAGTTAGTAAGAGGCAGAGCTGTGTTCTGAATCCACATTTCTCTAATTATAAAGCAAACTATCTTTTTTTTTTTTTTGGAGACAGGGTCTTGCTCTCAACTCTGGCTTTTGCCTCTGAAGCCCAGAATGTTTTCAAATGAAACTTAAGCATGAGCAATTCACTAAAAATAGCAGCATATCATCCACCGAACTTATTAAATTTCAATACAATGAAGCAGATCCTAATTAAGGAAATACCAGTTGACAATTATTAGAATGGCAGACTTAAAAGATTAATAATATGCCAGATGAGCAACATCACAGGGAAATGAATACTGTGTAAATGCTACAGATTTGTAGGACCTTAAAACATGGCATGTAGAAGGATGTGAGAGACTTTTACCATCCAAACCTAATTTTGGGACTCTACCCAAAGCAAATGATGTGTATTAAGATGCATGCAGGTTAGGCCGGGCGCGGTGGCTCACACCTGTAATCCTAGCACTTTGAGAGACCAAGGCGGGCAGATCATTTGAGGTCAGGAGTTCGAAACCAGCCTGGCCAACATGGTGAAACCATCTCTACTAAAAATACAAAAAAAATTAGCTAGGCATGGTGGCACATGCCTGTAATCCCAGCTGCTTAGGAGCCTAAGGCAGGAGAATCGCTTGAACCCGGGAGGCAGAGGTTGCAGTGAGCTGAAATCGCGCCACTGCACTCCAACCTGGGCGACAGAGCAAGACTCTGTCTCAAAAAAAAAAAAAAAAAAAAAAAAAAAGATGCATGCAGGTTAGGGGTGCAAAAGGCTTACTGGAAAAAGCAAAAATAAAAAAGATGCATGCAGGGAGGTAGAATTCAGCATTCTGAGTCCAGCAATAGCTGACTGGTTAGATAAGTTACAGATCATCTATGAAACAGAATATTAAGTAGATATTAAATACTATACTAAATTGGAGAAAATATTTAAAGGATTTGGGAAATATCCAAGATATGTTCTAAATTAAAAAATAAGGTTAAAACCCAGAATGTACAATATAATTACATTTGTGAAAACATACACACACACACACATACATAAAGAAAGAACGAAGGACAGGCAGAAACTGAGAGAGAGAAAAAAGTTTAAAAATGTATATATCTATATGTCAGCACTGCCAAGCTGCATGACATTACTTGATATATTTTTAAAGTATAATCTGTAACTTTAAAAATTAATTTAGGCTGGGCACGGTGGCTCACGCCTGTAATCCTAGCACGCTGGGAGGCCGAGGTGGCTGGATCACCTGAGGTTAGGAGTGCGAGACCAGCCTGGCGAACATGGCAAAACCCCATCTCCACTAAAAAATACAAAAATTAGCTGGGTGTGGTGGCACATGCCTGTAATCCCAGCTACTTGGGAGGCTGAGGAAGGAGAATCACTTGAACCCAGGAGGTGGAGGTTGCAGTGAGCCGAGACTGTGCCACTGTAGTCCAGCCTGTGCGACGGGAGTGAGACTCATCTCAAAAAAATAAAATAAAAATTTAAAATATACACACCGGCATACATATGTACTTATTTTTCATTTTGATAAGAGAAAGCCTTTCCTTTGTTGAACGATCTTCTCTTCAACTTGAAGGAAAAGCTTAAGATAATCTAAAAACAGCTGATATATATATATATTAATATAGTTATATATATAATATATATTTATATATTAATATAGTTATATATATATTTATATATTATATATAAATACATATAAATATATTTATATATTTATATATATATATTTTTTTGAGATAGAGTCTCACTCTGTCACCCAGGCTGGAGTGTAATGACACAATCTCAGCTCACTGTAGACTCCGCCTCCTAGGTTCAAGTGATTCTCCTGCCTCAGGCTCCCGAGTCGCTGGGATTACAGGCGCCCACCACTGCGCCCGGCTAATTTTGGTATTTTTAGTAGAGACAGGGTTTCGCCATGTTGGCCAGGCTGGTTTCGAACTCCTGACCTCAGGTGATCTGCCCTCTTCAGCCTCCCAAAGTGCTGGTATTGCAGGCATGAGCCACTGTGCCTGGCCAACAGCTGTTATATTTTTACTGAATGTCTTTTTTCCCTTTAGCTCATAACATTGGAAGCAATTCTTTTGATTTTTCACATATGTCCATGTATGCTAATATATTGCAATGTCTTATACATATGAATGCTGGTCACAGTGAAGTGGCTTTTCATGTACTCCTGACAAACGTATTGACAGTTTGTGCTCTGAAATTTTCCTTTCAGCCACAATATCCTCCAAACTGCTGCTGAATAATCTTGTCCCATTAGCCTCACTTTGAATCTAACAATAAAAACTTTGTTTTTGAATCTAACAATAAAAACCCATTAGCCTCACTTTGAATCATTACAATAAAAACTTAAGGTATGAAATTGTGCTGTTCAATACAAATATGGTTATTTAAATCAAATTTTAAGCTGGGCACGGTGGCTCACGCCTGTAATCCCAGCACTTTGGGAGGCCGAGGCAGGCAGATCACGAGGTCAGTAGATCAAGATCATCCTGGCTAACAACGTGAAACCCCGTCTCTACTAAAAATACAAAAAAAATTAGCCAGGCGTGGTGGCAGGCGCCTGTAGTCCCAGCTACTCGGGAGGCTGAGGTAGGAGAATGGTGTGAACCTGGGAGGCAGAGCTTGCAGTGAGCCGAGATTGCACCACTGCACTCCAGCCTGGGCGACAGAGCGAGACTCTGTCTCAAAAAAAAAAAAAAAAAAAAGTTAAATCAAATTTTAAATAAAATTAAAAGTTCAGGCCGGGCACGGCGGCTCACGCCTGCAATCCCAGGACTTTGGGAGGCCAAGGTGGGCGGATCTTTTGAGGTCAGGAGTTTGAGACCAGCCTGGCCAATATAGTGAACCCCTGTCTCTACTAAAAATACAAAAATTAGCTGGGCATGGTGGCTGATGCCTGTGGTCCCAGCTAATCAGGAAGCTGAGGCAGGAAAATCGCTTCCACCCGGGAGGCAGAGGCTGCTGTGAGCTGAGATCTCGCCACTGTACTCCAGCCTGGGCGACAGAGTGAGACTCTATCTCGACAAAAAAAAAAAAAAAAGTTAGTTTCCCAGTCACACTAGCCATATTTCAGGTGCTTATTAGCCACATGTGGTGAGCAGCTACCACACTGGAAAACATAGAACAAATCCATCATCATGGAAAGTTCTATTGGACAGCACTGGACATCTCCTTCCTATGAACTCCCAAGGCCTGTGACCTGAATTTCTTTACTGTTTTTTATTATCTTCTACCTTATACTTATTCAGTCTATTCTGATTTTAGACTCTCTGCTGTACAGTAACACCTATGTGTTTTCAGTTCTTGTATTCCTCTGATTACTAACACAAGATTCAGTATACTGTGAGCCCTTATGTCTGATATTTGACTAAAATTCCAATTTTTGGCATTTTTTTCTTGCAAGTGGCTATTAAAGCATATTAAGACATATACATAAGACATTTATCATATAACAACTTATAATAATCAAATATTAAAAATACTAATAGCTATAGTAGGCAGCAGGTTAAATAAACTATGGTCAGTTATGATGGCACACTAAGGCCTTACTAATACTAACTATATTGGTCCATATTTATTTTTGGAGGAAGACATCAATGATGAGTTACTGACTGATACAGGCAAATTAAAGGAGCATATGCCATTATGGGCAGGGTTATAACGTTGTCATTAATAACACAAACTCTGTTGTCAGATTTTCAGAATGTGAATCTTAGTCTGACAGCTACATACTTTTCAGTTAGTTTGTTGGTAAATTAGGGATAAAAACAGCACCTATCTCATAGGGTTGTCACGAAGATTGAGATAATACATACATCCCACTTAATGATACATAATTACGTAATAAAAGTTAGCCAGTATTATTAAAATAGAGGATATTATGTCCTTTGTTCCACTGCTATTAAATAAAATCATTTTATATTATTTCATTTTTTCTAGTAAAGTTTGAGTCTCATGCCCATTTTTTAATAATGATATTTTAAGTATTTCAGAGCTGAGCCTTGAAGATGCAATTATTTTTAATTAACAACATTCGTAAAACAGACTCCCAGAAAGATAATCAAGAAATCTCTTCTTGGTAGAGCGCGGTGGCTCACACTTGTAATCCCAGCACTTTGGGAGGCTGAGGTGGGTGGATCACCTGAGGTCAGGAGTTCAAGACCAGCCTGACCAACATGGTGAAACCCCGTCTCTACTAAAAATACAAAAATTAGCCAGGTGTGGTAGTGGGTACCTGTAATCCCAGCTACTCTGGAGGCTGGGCAGAAGAATTACTTGAACCTGGGAGGCAGAGGTTGCAATGAGCTGAGATTGAGCCACAGCACTCCAGCCAGGGCAACAGAGTGAGACTTCATTTAAAAAAAAAAAAAAGAAATATCCTCTTTTGTTCTTGCAACTACCAAAGGGGGGACATCATTCTTCAACATAAAACTAGCTAAAATAATCTAATTAAGGCAGGGGTCCCCAACCCCCAGGTCACTGACTGACACTGGACCACGGCCTGTTAGGAACTGTGCCACACAGCAGAAGGTGAGCAGCAGGCCAGCAAGGGAAGCTTCATCTGTATTTACAGCTACTCCCCATTGCTAGCATTAACCGCTTGATCTCTGCCTCCTGTCAGATCAGCTGCAGCATTAGATTTTCATAGGAGTGCGAACCCTATTATGAACTGACCATGTGAGGGATCTAGGCTGCGTGCTCCTTATGAGAATCTAATGCCTGATGATCTGTCATTGCCTCCCATCACCCCAAGATGAGACCATCTAGTTGCAGGAAAACAAGCTCAGGTCTCCCACTGATTCCACATTAGGGTGAGTTGTATAATTATTTAATTACGTGTTATAATGTAATAATAATGGGAATAAAATGCACAATAAATGTAATGTGCTTGAATCATCCTGAAACCATCTCCCTCTCCCTGTCTGTGAAAAAACGGTCCTCCATGAAACCAGTCCTGGTGCCAAAAAGGTTGGGAACTGCTGTAATAAGGCATTCAATAGATAATTTTAATATGAGGTTCAATCTTGTTCTCCTGTTCTATATGGAAAGATTTACATGAATATTTGTAGCTGTTACTATCTTATTCTGTTTTCTTTTTCTTTTTCTTTTTTTTTTTTTTTTTTGAGACAGAGTCTCACTCTGTCGCCCAGCCTGGAGGGCAGTGGTGCTATCTCGGCTCACTGCAACCTCCTGGGTTCAAGCAATTCTCTGCCTCAGCCTCCCAAGCAGCTGGGATTACAAGCGCATGCCACCACAGCCGGCTAATTTTCGTATTTTTAGTAGAGATGGGGTTCCACCATCTTGTCCAGGCTGGTCTTGAACTCCTGACCTCGTGATCCACCTGCCTGGGCCTCCCAAAGTGCTGGGATTACAGGCTTGAGCCACCATGCCCACCCTTATTCTGTTTTCTACTGTTATAAATCTGTCCTAGAAAATGTTATTTGCATAATGGAACCCTGAAAAAAACCTAACCAAGATAAGAGTATTGCTATGTCCTGTAAAAGCAACCTTAAAAATCTAAAAAAAGAGTATAATCCTGAAGAACTATCTTACTTGATAAATTATGTCATATTAATTATCCTTGATTGGTTTATATAACCCTAAAAGGTGTAAATTTCTCAAAGGTTAATCAAACTTAGCAGGATTCATTGGTGTTTTCCTCTTCTCCCTATGTGCACAGAGTTATAAGAAAGCTATGGTTAGGGAGAATTAGTTTTTCTAACTAGAAGCTGGAAAGTCTTGTGTCCTTTGAATAATCAGTTAGTGCAATTTCTATTCTGCAGGAAGAAAAGTGCAGGTGCTGTGCGCACACACATACACACACACATACATACAAGTGTGCTGAAAAATCTTGCTGAAATAGGTCGGGCATGGTGGCTCACACCTGTAATCCCAGCACTTTGGGAGGCCGAGGTGGGTGGATCACCTGAGGTCAGGAGTTTGAGACCAGCTTGGCCAACATGGCGAAACCCCATCTCTATTAAAAATACAAAAAATTAGCTGGGCGTGGTAGCAGGCGCCTGTAATCCCAGCTACTCGGGAGGCTGAGGCAGGAGAATTTCTTGAACCTGGGAGATGGAGGTTGCAGTAAGCCAAGATCACATCACTGCACTCCAGCCTGGGCAACAGAACGAGACTCTGTCAAAAAAAAAAAAAAATCTTGCTAAAATATAGCTCCCCAAAGTGTTAATAGTGATGCTGGGGCTATTTTAACTTTCTTCTTTATAAGTGCCTTATGTAATATAATGAGTAACTAAATAATTTATAAAAGGTGAATATTAATTCTATAACCAGAAGTATACAATAGATCTATATCCAATTATAAAATAAAATGTTTTAACACATCAGAAGCAAATTGGTTTGACATGTATGCAAACAATAGGAAAACAGCATGACCATTATAAATAAATGCCTGCCAGTTCTTGAACATTCTTCTTCAATTCAACAAGACCTTTTCACTGTTAAGATTCTTCTCTTAATACACAAGCCAGGTGAACAGTGTCTGCAGACTGAATAAGAAAATTTGAACAAAGCAGACAGAAGAGTGTTTGGTTCTCCTCTACTTCTCCAGCAAATAATCAGTTGAAATGTTAATTTAGATATAATGCTTGTTAAATGTCTTTAAATCCTAATATTAGTGAGATTCATATAAAATTTAAAATTTGCGGCTGGGTGCGGTGGTTCATGCCTGTAATCCCAGCACTTTGGGAGGCCAAGGCAAGTGAATCACCTGAGGTCAGGAGTTCCAGACCAGCGTGGCCAACGTGGTGAAACCCTGTCTCGACTAAAAATACAAAAATTAGCCAGGCATGGTGGCAGGCGCCTGTAATCCCAGCTACCTGGGAGGCTGAGGCAGGAGAATCACTTGAACCCAGGAGGCAGAGGCTGCAGTAAGCCGAGTTCATGCCATTGCACTCCAGCCTGGGTGACACAGCGAGACTCCTTCTCAAAAAAAGAAAAAAAAATTGCGTATTATTCTTCATCACTATGACTATTACTTTACTCATATGTACTTTTTATTCTTATGACTAACTCTGTATAAAAATAAATCTCAACTCATGGATTCCTTGGAAAAAAATCCCTGCTCATGTTCACACAGATTTCTATGCTTGGACTTCCAATCACATTCCCACTTCTAAAAGCCTTAAAAGCAGGCGACCATTATCACTTGCTTACTGACACTAGTCAGGTCATCTCTAATCCTGTCATATTTTAAAACTGAGGTCTTTGGAGAAGATTGGAGAAGATGGATGATGTGATTCTACCTAAACATTAATCTCAATAAAACAAAGTTTTAACTTTAGACTCCAGGATATGCATTTCTCTACCATTATAGAAAGTGAGTGCAGAGGAATGATTTGAAAAATGAGAAAGTCATTTGGAGGCCCGTGAAGAGGAGGGTCCACCTGCATGGTCCATTGTTCACTGGAAAGGAAGGCCTGGGATAGGTCACTGGACAATTCAGGAAAAGCAAAGCAATGTTTCCATTTCCTAAAAACAAAAACATTTTATGCATTTATTTAAAGATTTACTTAAAGATATAGACCAGAGAGTTGCAATTTATGTGACAAATAATTTAGTCTTTTTAGATTGAATCAAATGAACTTCTTCAAAGGGAAAAATGCAAATGAAAGCTACAGAAAGTACCTGGGGATGTGATTTTTGTGACTGTGAGCAATGAGGTGACAGGCTCTGTGGTAGATTGTGGCTGTGCTTGACATAGCAGTGTGGTACCACGCCGTATGACTGGGTGCAGGCAAGGCTGTGTGAGGATTAGAATGTGTGATTTCCATTTTATGAATAAAAAGGAAATATAAACTTACCTGGACCTGAACTTTTAGACCTGCTACAACAATTGTTCCCTCCTTTTCAGGATCCCTGTTTTGATGAATAGCAGAATGGGGGAAGAAAAATAATCATGAGACAGCAGGCCTTTCTTAAGAGCACAGACCGACCTAGAATATCCCCTCCAGCGCCACATCTGTGCTGACCTCACGCACATAACAGCTGTGTGAGAGTGAGGCTGGGATCTGTCTCTGAACTCACACCAGGTTTCTAGATCAAAGGTATGGGAATGCAGTGGTTCTGAAACATGCAGCTGCCCACACAGCGGCTCCAACTGCGCAGTCTTCCAACCTGTCGTCCCAGGAGTCTGTTTTAGGGACACTTCTAATTCAAAAGTCCAATCGCCAACCCAGGTCTGTACCTTCTTGCTGGGAACCTTCATCCCAGAGCTCGATATTTGACTTCCCTCTTGGGGACACTGCTGTGTGCAAACACCGAGGCCGTGAGGAGGGTAGAGGGTCAGTGACACACACCAGAGAGCCAGGCACCTGTCTCAGCCTCACACCCGCACCCACACCCGCCCAACCCGGTCCTGACAGGCGCCCCGTCGCGCGCACACACACACATACACCGTCTGCCACATTTTGTCACACAATTTCCCTTCTCCGCTCCCCAAGCACGCACAGGCCTGAGGCTCCCTGCGGGCACGACACGCCAGGTCTGGGCCCTGGAGCGCCTCACTTTGGGCGGCAGTTCTATCCCCAGTCCTACTCGTAAGAGTCCCGTTCCGCCTCACCTAGCTCGGACTTCTCGCCCGCAAGTGAATAATAACGGTTAAGGTGACTGAACCGTTAAGAACGCAATGTAAAGGGCCCTTGGGGTCCAGGCAACACTGCCCAAGGGGCTTCTGGGAAATGTAGTCCACAGCCGGAAACTGATCCTTTTGGGCGGAGGCGCAGGCGCGCGCGCATCCGGCGGGTTCGACTCACTTACCAGGAACCCACGCAGGAAGCTGAGGAGGAGAACAGACGCCTCTGGGCCACTGGCCGGGCCACTTGAGCGTGGGACCGCCGAGTGTGACCCTGAGGCCGAGTGCGTGCGGGACTGGGCGATAGCTCCGCCAGGCAGGATTTTGTTTGTTTCACCTCTTGAGGTAGTCCCGGCGTGTAGTACATAATAGGCGCTTAATATGTGTATTGTAAAGAATGAGTGCCTGGCCATTTGTATTTGCCTTGTGAGCGCGTGTGTGTGGCACTGTGAGGGTTGCGGGACCGACGGAACCTCTCTGGCTCTGGCGGGTTGTGTTTCCGCGTGTGTGTAATTTGAGTGTGAGTCAGTGTGTAGTGAGTGAAGGGATCTGACTGGAGAAAACCACAGTAAATACCCGGGGCTGTGATTTTTGTGACTTTGGTCAATGGGACGACAGGCTCTGTGGTAGACTGGCTGTGCTTGACGTAACAATGTGGTACTATGCCGTGTGGTTGCCGGCAAGGCTATGTGAAGATGAGAATGTGTGATTTGGAAAATCTGGATGTGGAACATCACGGGTGCCAGTGGAATTGTGACTCTGTGTGTGTATAAAAGTTTGCAACCATAGGCCTATATGTCTGTGGGATAAAGAGAATATGTTGCGTCTTCTTGGAGTATCAGCTTTATTTAAACATTTGCATCAGAGAGTTGCGATTTATGTGCCAAAGATTTTTGTCTTTTTATATTGAATTAAATGAATTTTTTACAAAGAGAAAAATGAAAATAATAGTAACTTTCAAAAAATATTAAGAATTTCCTTCCACTCTTATATTCTGGCAATGGATCTTTGGCAATGGGTCTTTGGCAGATCAATTTGAAAAGCTTGGACTGAGGAAATTATACTTGGAAAGCACATTAGGCAGTCAGCCCTTGGTTCCTAAATACCATGCTCCACTGAAAGGAGCAAGGCTCCATGGAGAAATGGCAGATTCCAGAGCTGGGGAAGGGAAAGTTCAGAATGAACTTGGAACATCTTGTGCTTGAAAGTAAGGCAGTGCTCAAAGAATGGTGGGGACGTGTTCAAAGGACATGGAAACCAGATTGAAGGGACTTCCACTGACCAAACTTGACATGGTTTGAGCATCAAAATAAATAATGCTAGTTATAGATTAAAACCCATTAAATAACAGAGGGAATCATAATTCCAAACTGATATAAATTAGTACGTGAAAAAAAATTGAAAGTTTGATGAGGGACTGGATGTTTACATTGTTGCAAAGAACCCCTGCCCCCCCCCAAATCCCTTAAAAATGTGTCAATATAAGGCTGGGCACGGTGGCTTATGCCTATAATCCCAGCACTTTGGGAGGCCGAGGTGGGCGGATCGTGAGGTCAGGAGTTTGAGACCAGCCTGACCAACGTGGTGAAACCCTGTCTCTACTAAAAAAATACAAAAATTAGCTGGGTGTGGTGGTGCGTGGTGGGTCCTGTAATCCCAGCCACTCAGGAGGCTGAGGCAGGAGAATTGCTTGAACCCAGGAGGCGAAGGTTGCAGTGAGCCTAGATCGCGCCACTGCACTCCAGCCTGGGTGACAGAGTGAGACTCCATCTTTAAAAAAAAAAAAAAAAAGTGTCCATATGAAAAAATGCTCAACATTACTAATCATCAGAGAAATGCAAATTAAAACCACACTGAGATACCACCTCACAGTGTTAGAATAGCTGTAATCAAAGAGACAAAAGACGACAAGGGTTGGTGAGGGTATGGATATAAGGGAACACTTGTACACTATTTGTGGAAATGTAAATTAGTACAAACATAGAAAATATCCGGAGTTTTCTCAAATTAAAAATATAACCACTATATGACCCAGTCATCCCACTATATATATCTGTATATATCTGTATATATCCGTATCAGTCCATTCTTGCATTGCTATAAAGAAAACCCGAGACTCGGTAACTTATAAGAAAAGATGTTGAATTGGCTCACAGTTCTGCAGGCTGTACGGGAAGCATAGTGGCATCTGCTTTTGAGCAGGCCTCAGGAAGTTTCCAATCATGGTGGAAGGCAAAATGGGAGCAGGCACATCACATGGTGAAAGCAGGAGCAAGAGAGTGAGGAGGGAGATGGTACACACGTTTAAATGTCCAGATCTCATAAGAACTCACTATTATGAGGATGGAAACAAAGGGCTGCTAAGCCATTCATGAGGAATCTGCGCCCATGATCCAATCACCTCCCACCAGTCCCCACTTCTTATATTGGGGATTACATTTCAGTATGAGATTTGGGTTGGGATACACATCTAAACAATGTCATTCTGCCTCTGGCCCCTCTCAAATCTCCTGGCCTTCTCACATTTCAAAATACAATCTTGCCTTCCCAGCAGTCCCCCAGAGTCTTAACTAATTCCAGCATTAACTCAAAAGTCCAAAGTCTGAAGTCTCATCTGAGACAAGGCAAGTTCTTTCCTCCTATGAGCCTGTAAGATCAAAAACAAGTTAGTTACTTCCAAGATAAAATGGGGGTACAAGCATTAGATAGACATTCCTGTTCCAAAAGGGAGAAATTGGCTAAAAGAAAGAGGCTACAGGCCCTATGCAAGATCAGAACCCAGTAGGGCAATCATTACATCTTAAAGCTCCAGAATAATCTTTGATTCCATGTCCCATGTCCAGGGCACACCAATTTAAGAGGTGGGCTTCCAGCCTTGGGTATTTCTTCCCCTGTGGCTTTGCCGGGTTCAGGCTCAGAGGCTGCTCTGATCTACCATTCTGGGATCTGGAAGATGGTGGCCCTCTTCTCATAGCTCCACTAGTCAGTGCCCCAGTGTGTACTCTGTGTGAGGGTTCCAACCCCACATTTCCTTTTTGCACTGCTCTAGTAGAGGTTTTCTGTCAAGGCTTAGCCCCTGCAGCAGGCTTCTGCCTGGACACCTTGGCTTTTCCACATATCCTCTGAAATCTAGATGGAGGCTCCCAAGCCTTATTCACACTCTGTGCACCTGCAGGCTTAAGACCATGTGGAAACCACCAAGACTTATGGCTTGCAACCTTTGGAGCTGCAGTCTGAGCTGTACCTGGGCCCTTTTAAGTCACAGCTGGAGTTGGAGAAGCCAGGATGCAGGGAGACATGTCCTGAGGCTGCACAGGTCAATTCTGGCCCATGAAACCATTCTGTCCTCCTAGGCCTCGGGGCTTGTGATGGGAGGGGCTGCCTCTTAGATCTCTGAAATGCCTTAGAGGCCTGTTTCCCATTTCTTGGCTATCTGCACTTGCCTCATTTTTAGTTAGGCAAATTTCTCTAGCAAATGGTTGCTCAGAAACTTTCTTGAATTCTTCTGAAAATGAACTTTTCTTTTCTACCACATGGCCAGTGCAAAGTTTCCAAACTTTTACACTCTGCTTACCTTTTACATATAAGTTCCAGCTTTAAGTCATTTCTTTGCTCCCACATCTTAGCATAGGTGGTTACAAGCAGCCAGGCCATATCTTGAATGCTTTGTTATTTAGGCATTTCTTCTGCCAGATACCCTAGGTCATCACTCTCAAGTTCAAACTTCCGTAGATCCCTAGGGTGTGGACACAATGCAGCCAAGCTCTTTGCTAAGGCATAGCAAAAGGGACCTTTTCTCCAGTTCCCAATAAGTTCCTAATTTCTATCTGAGACCTTGGCAGCCTGGACTTCATTGTCCGTTATCACTATCAGCATTTTAGTCACAACCATTTAACCAGTCTCTAAGAAGCTCCAAACTTTCCTTCATCTTCCTATCTTCTGAGCACTCAACTCTCTTCCAACCTTTGCCTGTTATCCAATTCCAAAGCTGCTTCCACATTTTCAGGCATCTTTACAGCAATGCCCAACTTCTCGGTACCAATTTTCTGTTAGTCCATTCTCGAATTGCTATAAAGAAATACCTGAGACTAGGCAATTTCTAAGTAAAGAGGTTTAATTGGCTCACAGTTCTGCAGGCTGTACAGGAAGTATAATGGCACCTGCTTCTGGGGAGGCCTCAGGAAGTTTCCAGTCATAGTGGAAGGCAGAGGGGGAGTAGGCATGTCATATGTCAAAAGCGGGAGCAAGAGAGTGAGGGGGAGGTGCTATACACTTTTAAACAACCAGATCTCATGAGAACTCACTATTGGGAGGATGGTACTAAGAGGGATGGTGCTAAATCATTCATGAGGACTCCACCCTCATGATCCAATCACCTCCCACCAGGCCCCACCTCCAACATTGGGGATTACATTTCAATATGAGATTTGGGCAGGGACACACATTTAAACTATATCAATATCCAAAGGAAATAAAATCAATATGTTTAAGAGATATCTATGCTCCCATGTTTAATGCAGCGCTATTCACAATAGTCAAGATGTGGAAGCAATCTAAGTGTTCATCAAAGGATGAGTGGAGAAAGGAAATGGCATATATATAATGGAATAGTATTCAGACTTTAAAAAGGAGGAAATCATGTTGTTTGCAACAAGGATGAACCTGGAGAACATTATGTTAAGTGAAGTAAGCCAGGCATAGAAAGACAAATACTGTGTAATCTCACTTATATGTGGAATCTAAAAAAGTTGAACTCATAGAAGTAGAGCGTAGAATTGTGGTTACCAGGGCCTGTCAGGGGTGGTGTTGGTTGGAGAGATGTTGGTCAAAGGATATACAGTTTCAATTAGGAGGAATTTTTAAAAAGTGTGTGTCGAACTTTGAGTCAGTTCTGAGTGAGACTAGAATGTCCATAAGAAACTGGATGTGATGGAGGCTCAATAATTTAGCAGAATTATGACAAAGAGACAGGGGTGATAAGGTGAATTATATGCCAACAAACTTCTCTCTTGCACCAAGCACTACCTAGGATATTCAGAGCCCATATGGGATGTGGTTTGAATTCTACGAGTTTCATGTACAAGTGTGTATTTTATATATATATATATATATATATATATGTATATGTATATATGTGTGTGTGTGTGTGTGTGTGTATATATATATATACACACACACCAAGGTATGTATGTACAGTATTTAAACAAGTCACATGTGACCTAGAGGTTTTGCTATTATTCATACAACATGAACTGCTCAAGAAGAAAGTGGATTAGCAAACAGCTCCATCTCTTCCTTTGTGAGGGATACAGGAGGATGCATAACAAGGACAAGGCACAGAGAAGGCCATGCCCTGCGAGGAGACAGTATAAGACTGTCCACAGCAAAGTCTCAATGCCTCGAAAGTGAGGCAAAAGTGCACTTTGGAATAATGAATCAGTTCTGACACTCTGCCACCCCTTGGCCTCCTTTAGCCCTGATGTAGGAAAACACAGGGCCAGGATGACTGCCAGATGGATTAAGCATTGTTTTGCCAGTGGTACTCTTATACCCCTTGCTGAGCATGCACCTCCGAAGGGTGCATGGGGGTGGGAGCATACTGGATGCTGGTGTAAGGGAAGTCCCAGTGAACAGTGTTCTGTATTGGGCCAGTAATAGCCTCTACTCCAGATGCCATCTTCTCATGAGTCATTCCAGGTGGTTTCTCCTCTAAGAGCCTCTGCTCAATATGTTTCTCCCCTTGTTCAGAATATGCCATGATTCCAGGGGTCCCAGGAGAAGTAAGACTTTTTATTTCTTCCGGATTCCATCTTGGAAAGTTGTATGTTTCTAGGAATTTATCTATTTCTCCTATATCCGGGTTCACAATCCCTGGGCCATGGACCAGTACCAGTCCATGGCCTGTTAGGAACTGGGCTGCACAGCAGGAGGAGAGCGAACATTACTGCCTGAGCTCCACTTCCTGTCAGATCAGTGGCAGCATTAGATTCTCAGGAGCATGAACCCTATAGTGAACTCTGCATGCAAGGGATCTAGGTTGCCCGCTCCTTATGAGAATCTGATGATCTGAGGTGGAACAGTTTCATCCTGAAACCATCCTCCCCTGTCCCCTTATCACCCTGGTCTGTGGAAAAATTGTCTTCCATGAAACCAGTCCCTGGTGCCAAAAAGGTTGGGGGCCACTGTACTATATTTTCTAATTTGTTGATGTATACTTGTTTATAATAGTCACTTATGATCATTTTTATTTCTTTGTCATTCAAGGTAATGTCTCCTATTTCATTTCTGATTTTCTTTGAGTCTTCTCTATTTTTTTTCTTAGTCTACGTAAGGGATTGTTGATTTTGCTTATCTTTAACAAAAACACAACTGTTAGTTTTGCTGATTTTTCTTTATGGTTTTTCTGCTCTCTATTTTATTTCTTTTTTTTTGAGATGGAGTCTTGCTCTATCGCTGAGGCTGGAGTGCATGGCGAGATTGGCTCACTGCAACCTCCACCTCCTGGGTTCAAGCAGTTCTTCCTCAGCCTCCTGAGTAGCTGGGATTACAGTCGCCCACCACCACAACCAGCTAATTTTTGTATTTTTAGTAAAGACAGGGTTTCACCATGTTGGCCGGGCTGGTCTTGAACTCCTGACCTCAAGTGATCTGCCCACCTCGGCCTCCCAAACTGTCGGGATTACAGGAGTGAGCCACTGTGCCCAGCCTATTCCATTTATTTCCATTCTAATCTTTATTATTTTTTTTCTTTCTGCTAGCTTTGCTTTTAGTTTTTTTTTCTACTTCCTCGAGTTGTAAACTTAGGTTGTTTGAGATATTTCTTCTTTTTAAATGTAGACATTTATCCCTATAAACATTTCTCTTAGGACTGCTTTTGCTGCATCCCATAAATTTTGGTATGTTGTATTCTTGTTTTCATTTGTCTCAAGGTATTTTTTAAATTCCTTTTTGATTTCCTCTTTCACCCAACTGGTGTTCAAAAGTGTGTTGTTTAGTTACTATGTGTTTGTGGATTTTCCTTATTTATTGCTGTTATTATTTCTAGTTTGATTCCACATGGTCTGAGGAGATAATTGGTATGATTTCAATCTTCTTAAATTCTTAAGACTTGTTTTGTGACCCAACATGTGATCTGTCCTGGAGGATATTCCAAGTGTGTTTGAAAAGAATTTGTTGCATGGGCTAATTCTTCTTCTGCTGGGTGGAAAGTTATAGATATGTTTGTGGGGTCCATTAGGCTAGAGTGCACAAGTCGGGTTTTTAAAAATTGATTTTCTGCTTGAGTGCTCTATTCATTATTGAAATTGAGGCATTAAAGTTTCCTCCTATGATAGCATTGCTGTCAATTTCTCCCTTTAGCTCTGTCAATATTTGTTTTATGTATTTCAGTGCTCTGATGTTGGGTGCGTATATATTTACAATCTTTATGTCTTCCTGTTGAATAGACCCTTTTATTATTATATAATGACCTTTTCTGTCTCTAATAACAGTTTCAACATAAAGTCTATTTTGTCTGATATAATTATAGCCACCCTGCTCTCTTTGGTTACCAGTTGCATAGAATAATTTCTTCCATCCCTTCACTTTTAGCCTATGTGTCTTTAAAATTTTTTTAAATATTTTTATATTGATAATGTTTATACATATTCATGGGGAACATGTGATATTTTCTTTTTAAAAAAATGTAAATAGAAACGGGGGTCTCATTTTGTTGCCCAGGCTGGTCTCAAACTCCTGGGCTCAAGTGATCCTCCCCGCTCAGCCTCCCAAAGTGTTGGGATTACAGGCATGAGCCACTGCATCCAGCCAGATGTGACATTTTCTTACATTCATAGACTGTGGGATGCTCAAGTCAGGGTATTTGGGGTATCCATCACCTCGAGTATTTATCATTTATGTGTATTGGGAACATTTCAAGTCCTCTCTTCTAGCTATTTTGAAATATACATTGTTAATTGTGATCTCTCTACTCTGCTATTGAACATTAGAGCTTATTCCTTCTAACTGTGTGTTGTGTACCCAGTCTTTCTTCATCCCCTCACAAACACTCCTCCTAGCATCTAGTATTATTGTTCTACTGTATACCTCCATGAGTGACTTTTTTTTTACATCTCCCAAATGTGAGTGAGAATATGTGATATGTGTCTTTCTGTGCCTGGCTTATTTCACTTAATGACCTCCAGTTCCCTCTACATTGCTGCAAATAACATTATTTCATTCTTTTTTATGGTCAAATAGTATTCCATTATGTATACATATCACATTTTATTTATTTATTTATTTATGAGACAGAGTCTCCCTCTGTTACCCAGGCTGGAGTACAGTGGTGGCTCATTACAACCTCTGCCCCCCAGGTTCAAGTGATTCTCCTGCCTCAGCCTCCTGAGTAGCTGGGATTACAGGCACCTGCCACTGCGCCCGGCTAAGTTTTGTATTTTTAGTAGAGATGGGGTTTCAACATATTGGTCAGGCTGGTCTTGAACTCCCGACCTTGTGATCCACCCACCTTGGCCTCCCAAAGTGCTGGGATTACAGGTGTGAGCAGCTGTGCCCGGCTATCACATTTCATTTATTCATTCATCTATTGATGGACGCAGGGTGATTCCATATTTTGCTATTGTGAATAGGGCTGCAATAAACATGGGATTTAAGGTATCCCTTTAATATACTGATTTTTTTTCCTTTGAGTAGATACCCAGTAGTGGTATTGCTGGATCATATGGTAGTTTTTAGTTTTTTGAAAAATTTCCACATTCTTTTCCACAGGAGATGTACTAATTTAAATCTCCACCAAGAGTGTGTAAGAGTGGTGAAACCCTGTCTCTACTAAAATTACAAAAATTAGCCAGGCGTGGTGGTGTGCACCTGTAGTCCCAGCTACTGGAGAGGCTGATACAGGAGAATTGCTTGAAATGGGAGACAGAGGTTGCAGTGAGCTGAGATCATGCCACTGCACTCCAGCATGGGCCACAGAGTGAGACTCCGCCTCAAAAAAAAAAAAAAAAAATTCCCTGTTCTCTACATCCTCAACAGCATCTATTATTTTTTATCTTTTTAGTAATGGTCATTCTAACTGGGCTAAGATGATATCTCATTCTGGTTTTGATTTGCATTTTCCTGATGATTATTAATGTTGGGCTTTTTTTTTTTTCTATTCCCGTTGGCCATTTTTATGTCTTCTTTTGAGAAATGTCTATTCATGTACTTTGCCTGCTTTTTAATAGGATTTTTTTTGGTTGGGTTGTTTTGTTTTGTTTTACTGTTGTGTAAGTTCCTTTTTTATTCTGGATATCAGTCCCTTGTCAGATTAATAGTTTGCAAAAATTTTCTCCCATTCAACAGGTTACCTCTTTACTCTGTTGTTTCCTTTGTGATGCACAAGCTTTTTACCATAATATAGTCCCATTTGTGTATTTTTGTTTTTGTTACCTATGCTTTTGAGTTCTAAGCCATAAAATTTTTGCCTAGACCAATGTCCTGAAGTATTTCCCTTGTTTTCTCTTCATAGTTTTATAGTTTGGGTCTGCCATTTAAGTTTTTAATCCATTTAATCCATTTTCAGTTGATTTTTGTATATGGTAGATTGGGGTCCAATTTCATTCTTCTGCATATGCATATCCAATATTCCTAGCACCATGTATTCAGGAGGGTATCCTTTCCCCTGTACATGTTCTTGGTGCCCTTGTTGAAAATCAGTTGGTTATAAATGCACAGATTCATTTCTGGGTTCTCTATTCTGTTCCACTGGTCTGTGTGTCTGGTTTTATACCAACACCATACTGTTTTGGTTATCATAGCCTTGTAATATATTTTGAAGTCAGGTAGTGTGATGCCTTCAGCTTTGTTGTTTTTGTTCAGGATTGCTTTCCTATTGGTTTTTTGGCTACATCAGATCTAAGAGTTTTTTGTGGATTCTTTAGTTTTTCCTAGAAATAAGAGCATATCATTGGTAAAGAGGGACAGTTTGATTTTCTCCTTTCCAATTTGGATGTCTTTTATTTATTTATCTTGCCTGATTAATCTGGCTAGGACTTCCAGTACTGTGCTGAATAGGAGTGGTGAAAGTGGGCATGTTTGTCTTGTTCCAATTCTTAGAGGAAAGCCTTTTGGCTTTTCCTCATTCAGTATATTAGCTGTGGGTTTGTCATATATGGCCCTTACTTTGTTGAGGTTTGTTCCTTCTATGCCTAGTTTGATGAGAGTTTTTATCTTGAAAGGATGTTTATTTTCATCAAGTGCTTTGAAATCTATTGAGGTGATCATATGGCTTTTTTCCTTCATTCTGTTATGTGATGTATCACATTTATTGATTTGAATATGTTGAACTATCCTTGCATTCCTGGGATAAATCCCATTTGGTCATGGTGTATTACCTTTCTGATGTGCTGTTGGATTTGGCTAGTATTTTGTTGAGAATTTTTGCATCTATGTTCATCAGGGATATTGGCTTCTAGTTTTTTGTAGTTGTTGCATCCTTGTCTGGTTTTGGTCTCAAGGTAATGCTGGCCTCTTAGAATGAGCTAGGGAGAATCCCTTCTCTTCAATTTTTGGGAATAGTTTGAGAATTGGTGTTAGTTCTTCGAAAGTTTGGTAGAATTTGCAGTGAAGCACCAAGTCCTGGACTTTTTCTTTGTTGGGAGACTTTTAATTACTGATTCAATATATTTGAATCATTATTGGTCTTACACATTATTGGTCTGTTCAGGTTTTGTATTTCTCCCTGATTTAATCTGAGTAAATTATATGTATCCAGGAATTTATCCATTTCCCCTAGGTTTTCCAGTTTGTTAGTGTATAGTTATTCACTGTAGTCTCTGATGATCTTTGGTATTTCTGTGGTATCAGTTATAATACACTTCTGGTTTTGTTTATTTGGTTCTTTTATTTTTTCTTGGTTAGTCTAGCTAGTGGTTTATTAATTCTATTTATCTTTTCCAAGAACCAACTTTTCATTTTGTTAATCCTTTGTATTTTTTTGAGTCTCTATTTTGTTTAGTAATTTTCTGATCTTTATTATGTCTTTCTTTGTACTAATTTGGGTGTGGTTTGTTCTTGCTCTGTAGTTCCTTAAGGTGCATGATTCGATAGTTTAAAATTTTCTACTTTTTTGATGTAGGCATTTATTGCTATAAACTTTCTTCTTAGCACTGCTTTTCCTGTATCCCGCACATTTTGGTATGTTGTGTTTCTATTTTCATTTGTTTCAAGAAATTTACTTCCTCCTTTATTTCTTCCTTGACCCAGTGGTCATTGAGGAGCTTAATTTCCATGTACTTATACAGTTTCCAAAGTTCTGCTTCTTACTGATTTTTAGGGATTTTTTTCTATTGTGATCTCAGAAGATACTTGATATGATTTCAATTTTTAAAAATGAAACTGTTCTTCCTGCCCCTTATGTTGGTTATTCTAGGTGTTTTTTTGCTCCACTGTGTTGCTGCAGCTTCTTAACTGGATTCCAGAGCTCTCCTAGAGCTATTTTTATTCATGGATAGCTAATTGTCCACTTTTGTGGGAGGAAGGGAGCAAGAATCCCCTACTTTGATATCATGTGATATTACTACCCTTTCTTTGTTTCTTATGACAACATTTTTGAAGAAAAAAGTTGTTACTTTATATAATGTCTCTCAATTTTGTAGTTTGATGTATTCCCATAATGAGATTCAGGTCATGGATTTTTAGTGGAATACTGGAATTACTGCATAATTTATGTGTGGCAAAGGCCATAGTGCAAATTAAATGACATGATCTTTGAATAAGATCAAGACTCCTTTTGAAAGGCTGTTTGATCAGGGAACCTGCATTGCTCTACCACCTTATTTCATGGCTATGAGCATCAAATTTTAGGGAGTTGATTCTGACCTATAACAAATTTAGTGCCTTAGCTATGCACTGATACCTCCAGTTTAACCACTACTTATTTGGTATTCCAAGAACTACCCATTTGTCTTTTTTACAGTTTTGAAATTTTCTTACAAAAGCAATACAACACTGGAACTTTTGGGCCCATGAAGTCCAAGAGGACTTTATTAACATTAAAACCTAGGGGTTTGCTGCAACTTGGCCTGGTTTTCTAGACTGTACAAAACACCACCTATCTTACGATTTATATTGAGGGACAAGTCTTGTGTTTCTGCATGGGCCAGATCCTTTGAGTGGAGATATTTACAACCAAGTTAAAACTGTTTGTATAAGAATGTGTGGCTGGGCGCGATGGCTAATGCCTGTAATCCCAGCACTTCAGGAGGCTGAGGCAGGTGGATCACCTGAGATTGGGAGTTGGAGACAGGCCTGACCAACATGGAGAAACCCTCTCTCTACTAAAAATACAAAATTAGTTGGGCGTGGTGGCGCCTGCCTGTAATCCCAGCTACTCGGGAGGTTGAGGCAGGAGAATCACTTGAACCCAGGAGGCGGAGGTTGTGGTGAGCTGAGATCGTGCCATTGCACTCCAGCCTGGGCAACAAGAGTGAAACTCCGTCTTTAAAAAAAAAAAAAAAAAAAGAATGTGTGCCACCAGCCAGGTGCAGTGGCTTATGCCTGTAATCCCAGCACTTTGGGAGGGCAAGGTGGTCGGATCATGAGGTCAGGTGAAACCCCGTCTCTACTAAAAATACAAAAATTAGCTGGGTGTGGTGGCACACGCCTGTTATCCCAGCTACTTAGGAGGCTGAGGCAGGAGAAGTGCTTGAACCTGGGAGGCGGAAGTTGCAGTGAACCGAGATTGCGCCACTGCACTCCAGCCTGGGCCACAGAGTGAGACTCTGTTTCAAAAACAAACAAACAAACAAAAAAACTATTTTAAAAAATGATTAATATTGCCAAACCAAAGGTCATGAAGCTATCCTTCTACGTAATTATTTGAAACTTTTTTTACCTTTTACATTCACAATTAGATTGTAGGGGTCCAAATGAGGCAGGAGAATAGAGTCTGGAGACAGGGAACCTAAGGCCAACCCCTGCTGACTTCTTGGAATTGGACTAAGAGGAAAACCTCACCTCTCCGTGACCAAATAACGAGGCCAAAGGCCCTCCTTCTCTGAACCTCCCCTCCCCTGTGTCACAATGGGAATGCCTGTGATTGGTTCATTCTGAATCCCTCATTTGCAGGGTGCCTCTGATTGGTCCTGGGCAGAATTCTTCATTCCTATAGAGTATGACCTGTTAGAGGCTTCTAAAGGACGTTTAGGCGTGCTACTATGCTCTTTTAGTTTAATAAAATCCCCAAGGAACATTATAATCTGGACTTTTGAGCCACTTGTTTGAGCCCTCTCTAACTCTGTGGAGTGTACTTTCACTTCAATAAATCTCTGCTTTTGTTGCTTTTTCTTTGTCTGTGCATTTTGTTCAGTTCTTTGTTCAACATGCCAATAACCTGAACAACCCAATTAAAAACTCTTCATCTGGTAACACAGATTTATTTTATCTACATAGAGTTGACAAGGCAACATTTAATAAAAGATCACTCATACTCCAGTGTACCACAGGATTAACTTTGTCAGAAATCAAGTGAGTATATTATTTTCTTTTTGGACTCCATATTTTGTTCCATTGATTTGTCCATTGGTAAGGCCATACCACACTACATTAGTTACAACAGCTTTACCATCAGTCTGGATATTTGGTATTGTAAGTCTTCCAGCTTTGCTTTTTTCTTCAAATATTCTCTTGGCTATTTCTGAGCCTTTCATTTACTTATATATTTCAGAATCAGTTTGTCAGTTTCCAGCAGGACAAAACTGCTGGGATTCTGATTGGCGCTGCGTTGTTTATAGATCAATTTGTGGAGAATTAATATTTTTACTCGTAATCTTCCAATACATTAACATGTTGTATCCCAACATTTATTTGTCTTCTTTGATTTCTGTCAATATTCTGTAATTTTAACTATTTATATCTCATATTTTAAATTTATTCTTGGCACTTAAGAATTTATTTGATAAATGTTATAATTTAAAATTTAATTTCCTATTTATTTATTGCTGATATATGTATTTGATTTTTTTTCAGAGACAGTGGGTCTTGCTGTGTTGCCCAGGCTGGACTTGAACTCCCGGGCTCAAGCAATTCTCCTGCCTCAGCCTCCTGAGTAGCTGGGACTGTGGATGCATGTCACCATGCCTGGCTTATATTTAATATTTTATATTGACCTTTGTTTAGCCACATTGCTAAATTCACTATTTAATTTTAATAGGTTTTGTGTAGACTTAGATTTTCCATATATGCAATCATGACATTTGTGAATAATGAAGAGTTTCATTTCTTTTCCAGTCCCACGCCTTAATTTTTTTTCTTACCTTATTGTGCTAGGTGGAACTTCAAGTACATTTATGTATGTAACTATTAATTTTATTGAGGTATCAATAAAACTACAATAAATTAGGTACAATTTGATAAGTTTTGACATACACACTTGAAAAACCATTACCACAGTAAAAACAAACAAGCAAAAAAACTAAACATGTCTATCACCTCCTACTTTTTTCTCTATAATCCGTCTCACCTGCCCCAAGCCCCATATACCATTGGTATGCTTTGTTACTTAGATTAGTTTGGATTTTCTAAAACTTTATGTAAATAGAATAATACATTATGTATTATTTGTTGTCTGGATTCTGTCACTCAGCATAATTATTTTGAATTTCACGTTTTTGCATACATCAGTAGTTCATTTTCATATTACTGAGTGGTGTTATATTGCATACAAATATTACAATTTGTTTATCCATTCACTTGCTGATGGATATTTGGGTTGTTTCCAGTTTTAGCTATTTCAAATAAAAATAATGAGAACATTTATTTACAAGTCTTCATATGGATGTATGCCTTATTTTTTCTTAAGTAAATACCTAGAAGTGGCTAAATCATCTGATAGGTGTATTTTTAGCATAAGAAATTGTCAAACTGTTTTCCGAAGTGGCTTACCATTTCACATTCCCACCAGCAGTGTGTAAGAGTTCCATTTCTTGACCAGGCACAGTGGCTCACGCCTGTAATCCCAACAACTTAGGGAGGCCAAGGCAGGCAGATCATTTGAGGTCAGGAGTTCGAGACCAGCCTAGCCAATATAGTGAAACCCTGTCTCTACTAGAAATACAAAATTTAGCCGGGTGTGGTGGCAGATGCCTGTGGTCCCAGCTACTCGGGAGGCTGAGGCAGGAGAATCACTTGAACCTGGGAGGCAGAGGCTGCAGTGAGCCAAGATCTCACCACTGCACTCCAGCCTGGGTGACAGAGCAAGACTCCATCTCAAAAAAAAAAAAAAAAAAAAAAAAAAAAAAAGTTCAGTTTCTCAGTCATGCTAGCCATATTTCAGGTACTTATTAGCCACATGTGGCGAGCAGCTACCATACTGGAGAACACAGAACATATCCATCATTGTGCAAAGTTCTACTGGACAGCACTGGACATCTCCTTCCTATGAACTCCCAAGGCCTGTGACCTGAATTTCTTTACTGTCTTTTACCTGTAGGAAATGAGGGAGATGCACAGGGCTTTATCCCGTGATTAAGGACTCCATCTCAGGTTCATTTTCCATCCCTTTCCCCACATTTTGGAAGTCATCTGGTTTGAATATTTTGGTTCTCTCAAGCTGCAACCCAGGCCATGCACCTCGTCTGCTCATCTGTCAGATTAAGAGGGACCCAGAGGATCCTATTCAAGGCCCACATTCTCCAAAGGAGTTAAACTTCTAAGAAGAAATTAAATGGATTCGATCTTATCTATTTATTGAAGAAACCAATCCTGGGTAAAGAAAAAAGGGAATGAGGTTTTGGGACAGAGGTGCTGGGGGTGCGAGAGAAGCCCCAGCCCCTGAGTGGTGTGGTGGAGGGAAGGGAAGGGTCACTTGTAAAACTCATGCTCCTGCTCGTCCTTCTTGATGACAGTCTTGTATGCTTTCTCGAAGTCCTTGGCCAGGACAATGTAGCGGTTTTCACGGACAGCCAACATTCCACTCTGTTGAAGGATGAGAGTTAAAATCTACTTCCTGTGGCAGGGCACAGTGGCTCACACCTGTAATCCCGACACTTTGGGAGGCTGAGGTATACAGATCACTTGAGCCCAAGAGTTCGAGACCAGCCTGGGCAACATGGTGAAACCCTGTCTCTACAAAAAATACAAAAATTAGCCAGACTGGTGGTGGGCGCCTGTAATCCCAGCTACTTGGGAGGCTGAGGTGGGAGGATCACTGCAGTGAGTCATGATTGCCCCACTGCACTCCAGCCTGGGCGACAGAGTGAGTCCCTGTCTCAAAGCAAAACACAAAAACACTACCCCTGTACTATCCACCCCTAGTGATGGTAGAGGAAGAGAGAGATGGCGCCCACGACCCAGGGCAGCCATGAGGGGACAGGACTGCAGCAGAGTGGTTCAGAGAAGAAGGGTCCTCACACACCCGCTGCCTGGATCCAGAGAGAAACCACCACTTACCTCCTGACAGATGGAGTTAATATCAGCTCCTGAAATCTTATCTGGCCGGGCCACATCTGCAGCGAGTTAAGGAAACTATTCCCTGTGTGATGGGGTAAATGCCTGGGGCTGGAAGTCATCTTTGGCCATCTCTGTCACCTCCCCTCCTCCCTGGACCTTGGTCCCACCTGCACAGTCTGGGCTGTGGTGCTGGCAGAAGTTGAGCTGAAGATCTAATCCCCGTTCCCAACTAGGGCCCCTCCCTGACTTCTGGAGCAGGATACAGTCTTCCAAGTCAACCTCCTCAGAGAGGTTCATCTTGCTAGTGATAGTGGAGAAAATCAATCTCTTCTGGCGGCGGTCAGGAAGTGGAAATTCAATTTTACGGTCCAGCCGTCCTGGCCGTAGCAGGGCCGGATCCAGGGTGTCTGCTCTGTTTGTGGCCATGATTACCTGACATTGGGGGGCAGGCCAGCTCAGATCTCTGCACTCCTACCTCCTTCCTGTCACGATAACCACCCCTTAGGTGCCAGCCCCCAACTTTCCCCAGTTCCTACACCACACCTCCCCTTGTCCATCCCAAACCCCAAACCTTGACATTGACATTCTGATCAAATCCATCCATCTGATTCAGCAGCTCCAGCAGGATCCTCTGAACCTCCCTGTCGGCTGAGAGTGCACAGCACAGTCAGTCCCAGGCATCCCATGCGACAAGCCTGTCCAAGACCCCGGGCCTTGTTTCAGCATCACTTACCCCCTGTCTGAGCATCGAATCTCTTGGTGGCGATGGCATCAATCTCGTCTATGAAGATGATGGCAGGTGCATTCTCCTTGGCCAGGCGGAACACATCCCGGACCATGCGGGGGCCCTCACCCAGATACTTCTGTACAAACTCCGAGCCCACGACCCGGATGAATGCAGCTGATGACAGGATGACAACAGTTAGGCGGGAATGAGCCTCCTGAGGGGCCCATTCTGCTTTAACAGAAACTGCGAATTCCTTGAAGACATCCTTTTCCTTGGATACCCATACCTAGTAGTTGTGTCATTCCCTCATGCCCAAGGGTGAGCCCCACATCCAGCCCTGAGGAATAGCCATCTACTTGTACCCCACAGTGACCCAGTGGCCTAAATCATGAATCATCCTTACAAATGTGTCACTTTTTTTTTTTTTTTGGAGACAGAGTCTTGCTCTGTCGCCCAGGCTGGAGTGCAGTAGCACAATCTCGGCTCACCACAACTTCTGCCTTCAGGGTTCAAGTGATTCTCCTGCTTCAGCCTCCCGAGTAGCTGGAATTACAGGCGTGCACTGCCATGCCAAGCTAATTTTTGTATTTTTAGTAGAGACGAGGTTTCACCATGTTGGCCAAGCTGGTCTTGAACTCTTGACCTCAAGTGATCTGCCCGCCTTAGCCTCCCAAAGTTCTGGGATTACAGGCATGAGCCACCATGTCCAGCCAGATGTGTCATTTTTTTGGCCCAACATTTAAAAATCAGGATATGAAATACTAAAATAAGAAAGAAAAAAACCAGTCTACATTTCTGGAGCACTTGCAAAATCAGCAAGAAAACAGGCATGCTGCCCATACACTAAGACATCATACTGCCTCGCCAAGAGCTCTGAGTTCCTGTTTGCTATAAGGACCAGCTTTTTAATTTCCTGAAAAAGATCAGGGACCACGGGCATGTTCTGATATAACTGACAATTGGCAATGGGGTTGAAGACAGATTTGTTCTGGGCCCTCCCTTTGGACTTGGAGTACAGTGGTATCATCATAGCTTACTGCAGCCTCAATCTCCTGGGCTCAAGCAATCCTCCCTCTTCAGCCTCCCGAGTAGCTAGGACTATAGGCATGTCCCCACACCTAGCTTTTTAAAATTTTTGAGGAGATGGGGTCTTGCTATATTGCTCAGGCTGGTCTCAAACTCCTGGCCTCAAGCGATCCTCCTGGCTTAGCCTTCCAAAGTGCTGGGATTATAGACATGAGCCACCCCATGCTTGACCCTGGCCTTGTTTCTTAAAGTTACACTTGTTTCTTAAGGATCAGATGCTTTGTGTTGTATGAAGCATACCCCCAGGACTCTCCTTCCAGCCACCAGAGAAGGGAGACATGCAGTCCATAGATAGACTGAGTGGTTTTATGTCATAAGCTAGGAACTGTTCAAGGCTTCAGCCCTGCCCTGTTCACTCCCTAAGATCCAGACTTTACACCTGGCTCAAGGGGTCCCTCTTTCTTGATACTTGCATCAGCTGGGGGCTCATTCAGCATCCTAACCTCAAGATTTCTGACTTTTTCTGCTCTAAACAGAAAACACACCTTGACCACCTGACTTTGGCCATTTACTTGGCTGTTCTGCAAATGTCCAACCA
Source organism: Homo sapiens (assembly GCF_000001405.40). Lineage (NCBI taxonomy): Eukaryota > Metazoa > Chordata > Mammalia > Primates > Hominidae > Homo > Homo sapiens. The sequence goes on along the minus strand of NW_009646206.1, from coordinate 253,509 downwards.
GTTCCACATGAAACCCCCATCCCTGGAATTGCCTTATCTGACCGAGCCTGTCCGTCAGCCTTTCCTACTCAATCACTACAGTCCCCTTCCTACCCCAACCTTCCCTGTCCTCCCAATCTCTCAGCTCCCCCTGGGCTCTACTACTCCTTCCACCTATCCTGGAATGGGCTCCTGCTTCAGTTACTCACTCTTAGTAAGCTGTGCTGTCACCGGAACAAATAGATGAATTCCCCCCGAAAAACAAGAGGAAAAAAAGGCTCACACCTGTGATCCCAACACTTTGGGGAGCTGAGGCAGGAGGATGGCTTGAGCCCAGGAGTTCAAGACCAGCCTGGGCAACATAGCAAGACCCTGTCTCTACTGAAAATGAAGATACAAAAATTAGTTGGGCATGGTGGCACACGCCTGTAGTCCCACCTACTTAGGAGAGACAGGTGGGGAGGATTGCTTGAGCCCAGGAGATTAAGGTTGCAGTGGGCTATGATCACACCACTGCACTCCAGCCTGGGTGACAGAACAAGACCCTATCTCTCTTTTTTTTTTTGGAAACAGAATCTCGCACTATTGGCCGGGCTGGAGTGCAATGGTGCGATCTTCGCTCACTGCAACCTTGGCCTCCTGGGTTCAAGCAATTCTCCTGCCTCAGCCTCCCGAGTAGCTGGGATTACAGGCGCCCACCACCATGCCTGGCTAATTTTTTTGTATTTTTAGTAGAGATGGGGTTTCACTATGTTTGCCAGGCTGGTCTCGAACTCCTGACCTCGTGATCTGCCCACCTCGGCCTCCTGAAGTGCTGAGATTATAGCCGTGAGCCACCGCGCCTTGCCAGACATGACCCTGTCTCTAGAAAACAAAACAAAACTCAACCCCAGTCAGCAGCTTTTCCCATTTCTACATCCCTTCTACACCTTCTCTCTTCCCTCCCTCTGCCAGTGACAAACCACCCCAATTCACTCAGAAAAACGACAGAACCTGAAGTGAGGGTCTCTAGTGGGAAAAGCTGGTAAACTTTGAAGGAGGTCTAAACTTTAGTTCATTGTATTGTACCACTGTTAATTTCCTGGTTTTCCTAATTATACTATGGTTACATAAGATAGTAACATTAGGGAATCTGGGTGAAGGGTACACAGGGCCACACTGGAAGATCTGTCTTGGGCCACACATAAAATACACTAACACTAATGATAGGTGATGAGCTTAAAAAAAAAAATCACAGCCGGGTGCAGTGGCTCACGCCTGTAATCCCAGAATTTTGGGAGGCCAAGGTGGGTGGATCACCTGAGGCCAGGAGTTCGAGACCTGCCTGGCCAACATGGTGCAACCCCATTTCTACCAAAAGTACAAAAAAAATTAGCCAGATGTGGTGGCATGTACCTGTAATTCCAGCCACTCGGGAGGCTGAGGTAGGAGAATCGCTTGAACCCAGAAGGCAGAGGTTGCAGTGAACCAAGATAGCACCACTGCACTCCAGCCTGGGCTACAGAGTGAGACTCTGTCTCAAAAAAAAAAAAAAAAAAAAATCACACACAAAAAATCTCATGTTTTAAGAAGGTTTACGGGCTGGGTGCGGTGGCTCACGCCTGTAATCACAGCACTTTGGAAGGCCCAGGCGGGCGGATCATGAGGTCAGGAGATCTAGACCATCCTGGCTAACACGGTGAAACCCCGTCTCTACTAAAAAATACAAAAAATTAGCCGGGCGTGGTGGCGGGTGCCTGTAGTCTCAGCTACTCAGGAGGCTGAGGCAGGAGAATGGTGTGAACCTGGGAGGCAGAGCGTGCAGTAAGCCGAGATCGCACCACTGCACTCCAGCCTGGATGACAGAGCAAGACTCCATCTCAAAAAAAAAAAAAAGAAACTTTACGAATCTGTGTCGGGCCACATTTCCAACTAAGACATCACCTCCATAAGGAGGTGTTCTGTTTACTGCCACGTCTCTATTCTTTTTTTTTTTTTTTTTTTTTTGAGACGGAGTCTCACTCTGTCACCCAGGCTGAAGTGCAGTGGCGCCATCTCGGCTCACTGCAAGCTCCGCCTCCCGGGTTCACGCTGAGTAGCTGGGACTACAGGCGCTGGCCACCACGCCCAGCTAATTAATATATATATATATATATATATATATTTTTTTTGGAGATGGAGTCTTGCTTTGTCGCCCAGGCTGGAGTACAGTGGCGTGATCTGGGCTCACTGCAAGCTCCGCCTCCTGGGTTCACACCATTCTCCTGCCTCAGCCTCCCAAGTAGCTGGGACTACAGGCGACCGCCACCACACCTGGCTAATTTTTTTGTATTTTTAATAGAGACGGGGTTTCACTGTGGTCTCGATCTCCTGATCTCGTGATCCTCCCACCTCGGCCTCCCAAAGTGCTGGGATTACAGGCGTGAGCCACCGCGCCTGGCCCATGTCTCTAGCATCTACAACACATCCTGGCACATAGTGGGTGTTCAATAAACAGTCACTGAATGACTGAGTTCTAGGTGTCTTTTTCTTTTTTCCCAGTCAAGGCAAGGGACATCTCTGATTGTCATCTTTGCATTCCAGCACAAGGCTTGGTACAGAGTAAAAGTTCAATAAAGTACCAAGCAAATGAGTAACAATGACAACAGCTAACATTTATTGCCCATTCCAGATGCTTTGTATCAATTTGCTCTTCTGAACACCCACCCTAGAAAAATAGGTACTATGATTGTTTCCATCTGACAGGTGAGGAAACTGAGTCACAGAGAGGTTAATTTACCCAGGATCACATAAGAAGTTGCTGGGGGAGTAAGATTTCAAAGCCAGGCAGTCTAGCCCCAGAAAACATACTGCTTAACTACTACCTCCTACTGCTCCCTGGCTCACATGTGTTAAGATCTGAACATATGCTTAAGATTTTAGGGCTTTAAAAAAAAAAAAGTTATAGAGTGAGTGACTTTCAGACATTTTTGTCTGGCACCTACAATAAGAAATACATTTTTGGGGCCAGGCACATGGCTCACGCCTGTAATCCCAGCACTGTGGGAGGATCCCTTGAGCCCAGGAGTTCAAGACCAGCCTGGGCAACAGAGTGAGACCCTATCTCTACAAAAAAATTTAAGAATTAAAATATATATATATATTTTTGAAGAACCACAAGTATACATGAGTGTGCACATCTGTATGAAACAAGTTTCACGAAACAGATGAACTTGCACCATATATACTTGTACCATGGTATAAATACCATGTGGATGTTCTCTGGCGCTTTCTGTTCTATTTCATGTTTCAAAATACTGGCTGCAACCCACAAATTGAAATTCATAATTACTAATAGGTCACAACCCATTGTAGGAAAACACTGCATTATTTCATTAACTGCTCACTATCACCGGGTGAAATGAGTCTTCAACTACTAGGAGAGGCCCAAGGAGGTGAAGTCAGCACAGCCAGTAACATGCACACGTGGGCTATGACCCCAGAGTCTGTTTCTAATTACTGTGCAGTGCCAGTGAGCGAGCAGGGAGCAAGGCGAAGAGGCCAGAAGATGAGAGCTCGGGGCAGGGGCGAAAGGGCTCACCTGTTGTGTGATGTGCCACCGCCTTTGCCAACATGGTCTTCCCACAGCCAGGTGGGCCATACATGAGGACGCCTCGGGGGGGATCGATGCCGATCTGAAACCCAGAGGAAGGAAGAGAAGTGGGAGTCAGGGGTTCCACCTCCAACCCCAGACCCAATGGGGCCTCTCCCTTCCCTGCCACCTGCACCGCCTCACCTGCTTGTAGAGCTCGAAATGCGTGAGCGGGAGCTCCACGGCCTCCCGCACCTCCTGCTTCTGGATGTCCATGCCTCCGATGTCCGCGTACATCACATCTGGCTTCTGGTCTGGTGGGAGAGCAGAGCTGGGGCTCCTGGCCAGGTCCTCAAGGTCCCCATGGGGCCCTCCCAGCTGCAGGCTCCCCCTTTACCTGAGGTGAGCATCATGATGCTGCTGTCGGCTTCGGGGGGCAGCACGTCCACCAGTGCATTGCTGTGCTTGTGGAGGGCCACTGAGGCGTTGGGCTTGAGCAGCTCCCGATCGATGGTGCTCAGGATGCGCACATAATAGTTGGAGCCTGCGAGAAGGGAGAGAGGAAAACGAGAAGTGTCAGCCTGGAAACTGCCCCTTCCCCCTTCCTCCCTCCTAATCTCCACACCCCAACATCTCTGGTTCAGACCCTGAGGGGTCCCCTCTCGGCCTCCAGCCTTCCCTCCTGCTGTCCGTCCCCAGTATTCACACGAACTCCTTGTCTACCGCCCTGATTCTCTCTTGACATCCAGCCCTGGCTGTCCAGCAGGCCTCCCCCTGCATCTCATACTAGTGAGGCACACTTCTGTTTCCAGGCTCAGTCTCTCTCCTGATTGTCAGACCTGGCTGACCAGCAGCCTCCTGGACACCTCCCATGTGCTCTGGACTGCCCTCCCTGTCTTCCCACAAACCTACTCCTCTACCCATGGTGCCATCTCAGGGAAAGCCACACTATCCCAACTCCCACAGGTCAAAGAGAAAGGCCTCATCCTGGATACCACCCTCTCCTCACTTCCTCATAGCCCACCAGTCCAATTCCAGGCACAATCGCACACCTTTCTCCAAAACCTTTACAAGAACATGGCTTGGTCCAGAGGAGCAGAGCCCAGAAACAAGAAAAAACAGATAAGATGCCAGTGACAATGACTATCAAGAGGGCAAGGCCTAGACCTATATAAACAGCAGCAGCTACAATATACTCTGATAAGGACTCTGAGTCCCTATCAGGGCCCAGTATTTTTTTTTTTTTTTTTTTTTTTAGACAGAGTGTTGCTCTGTCACCCAGGCTGTAGTACAGTGTCACGATCTCGGCTCACTGCAACCTCCACCTCCTGGGTTCAACAGATCCTGTGCCTCAACCACCTGCGTAGCTGGGATGGCAAGTGTGTGCCACCACACCCAGCTAATTTTTATATTTTCAGTAGAGACGGGGTTTTGCCATGTTGCCCAGCCTGGTCTCAAACTTCTGGCCTCAAGTGATCTGCCCACCTGAGTCTCCCAAAGTACTGGGATTATACGTGTGAGGCACCATGCCTGGCCTCAGAGCCCAATCTCTTAACACTCCTACTCATCGTTTCAAACTGCAGGCCCCAAACCAGTAGTAGTTGTGAAATCAATTTGGAAGGTCATGACCAGAACTGTGTTTAAAGCAAAACAGACTAGAATAGGATAGAAAACATCAGCATATACCACACCTAGTAAGGCTAAATATTTCATGGTGAAACTTATGTTTTACACATCTATCTAAAAAGTAAGAGACAGATACAGATAATCACAATGTAAAATACATTTCTGGCCAGGTGCAGTGGGGCTCAGGCCTGTAATCCCAACACTTTCGGAGGGTGAGGCGGGTGGATCGCCTGAGGTCAGGAGTTCAAGACCAGACTGGCCAACATGGTGAAACCCTGTCTCTACTAATAATACAAAAATTAGCCAGACTTGGTGGTCCATGCCTGTAATCCCAGCTACTTGGGAGGCTGAGACAGGAGAATCGTGTGAACCTGGGAGGTGGAGGTTGCAGTGAGCCGAGATCATGCCATTGCACTCCAGCCTGGACAAGAGCAAAACTCTGTCTCAAAACAAAAAACAAACAAACAAAAAAAACATAGATATACATATATATATGTGTATATATATATATATGTATGTATTTCTACCTTTCGATCAGTCAAAATACTCTGAAGAACATTGCACTGCACTGCCCTGCCTTGTTTGCTGCTGCCTAGCACATGGTAGGAAATAGTTGTTAAGTGGACAGATGAATGAATGAGGTGTCCTTAGCACACCTGTGGTAGAGCCCACGATGGCTGTATTCTGATCCACAGCCTCCAGAAATTGTCCGATGACCAGCGGGATGCTTTGGATTCGCTTCACCTCCTCCTGGGCATGGAGAAATTCCTTTTTCAGGTTCTTTTGCTCATCTTTGATGTATTCCTCCTGCACCTCCAGGAACTCCAGCTCTTGCTGCAGCTTCTGCGAGCAGAGAGGGGACAGAAGGGGATGGCTCCAGACTTGCTGATCCAGAGAGTGGTGGAAAGTGGGGAAGAGTATGAGATGTCAGGTCCTGTGCAAGGTCTGGGTTGGGGGTCGAATGTACCTTGTAGCGGCTGTACAGGTCCTCCAGGTCCTCAGGCTCAGGGCCCAGGAAGGACAGGCCGGTCTGGGGCCGGGACACGGACAGTGCTGGGATCTCATCCTAGACGAAAGGGGATAACTCACATTGGAAGAAGACAGTCCTCTCATGAAAGCTTCCCAACTTCACTAATGTTTGTTCCCCTCCCCACTTCACCCTGATGTCACTTAGCCCCTAACAGACCCCTGATATCTTAAGACCCTCTAAATAGATCCTGGAAACCTTTTGGCCACCTAAACAAGCTCTTTATGTCAACTTGCCCCTCAAACAGATCTTATGTTATCATATACCACTCATAACATGTCCCCAGTGTCACACAACCCCCAACTAGGATCTAAACGTCACATCAACTCCTTATCAGACCCAAATGCCACCCAATCCCCTTCAAGAGGTTCCTAATGTCACATGGCTCTCCTAGATAGGCTGTTAAAGTGACTGCGCCTTCAACGAGTCCCAACATTCCCCAGTTTCCCCTCAAAGATCCCTTATGTCACAGTCTCCTAACTCACCTTAGACCTAAATATCACTCAGGCAAGCCACAGATAATACTTAACTACCCGCCCCATTACCCCCATCAGCAAAGCCCTGAACATCAGTCAGCCCCGCAGCCCAGACCCGGGGATCACTCGGCCGCACGGCGGGATCCCATATATCACTCACCGCCTGACCCAATCCCAACGCCGGGCCACCGACCTCACTAAGCACTACCGGCCAGGGTTCGAAATCAATCCGTCTCAAAGACCCACTAACGTCACTCACTCCCCCAGCCCCGCTTTCTGAGCCTTACCTCCTACCATCACTCGGCCACCCAGACAGGCCTTCGAATGGCACAAAGCTCTCCACCGAGGCCTCTAAAATAACCCCAACCTGGGCCGGGGTCCTGGAAGCCATTCCTCCCCCCACTCAGGTCTGGCTTCACCCTCTCCCCGCGAGCCCGGCCCGGACTAAAAAGCCCAAGTCCCCACTGTACCTGAGCCTTCTCCACCAAGATGCCTATCTCCTCCATAGTGACCAAGCCGGCCTCTGTGTGGCCTGGGATGATCTGTCACCGCTTCCGCTGACGACAACGGAAGTCCCTGGCTGAGGAGGCTTCTGGGAAGTGTAGTTTAAGTTACGGCTGAGAGGTGCTGGAAGGGCAGGATAGGACGAAGGGCTGGTCTGGGCTCCGCCCTCAACATAAGCTCATGCGCTGTCCGTACCCGCAGGCGCGAGGGCGGGACGGGAGCTGTGGGCGTGCGCAGTATCACGCGGTGGCGCCATCTCGCCCTGCCGTGGAGGGCTGGGGGTTCTCTCCGGGAGGTGGCGCAGCCCCGTTGCTCTTTCAACGGAGTAAGTTCGCAGAGCTCTGGCACGGACAGTCTGGCGGCCAACTGCTCTTCGCTTTCTAGTGTCTGGGCTGGAGGGTCCTTGAGCTGGGTTCCACAGAAGGGATTGATCGTACGGGCGGGTAAGGTCTCCACGTGGCGCTGATCCAAAGATTGTGCGCCGCGCGGGCGTGGGAAGATCCGAGCTGCCCCTGAAGGTGACATTTCATACTGGGCTTTACCCCGGGATTGAGGAGCCCCGAGCCCGCAGTGAGCAACCAATCGAGTAGAACCCACGCGTCTGGGCTGGGGAAAAGGAGGCAGCGAGTGCCCAGAAGTTGGGTAGCACAGGAGATCCATAGACCTTAGTTCTGTATCCCAGGTTTCCGCCTTACAGATCTATGCCAGGTCCTGCGCTTAAGCTTTACAGGCATCATCGTCGCAAGTATTATGTTTCCTCATTTATAGAGAAGGAGACAAGCTCAGAGCCACGAAGCCACCAGCCACAGTCAACAATGTGCCGAAGGGACAAAGCATAGATTGGGACCCAGGTCTGTCTGTCCCCAAAGCCTGTACTCTTGGCCCCAGGGAAACACTGCTACCCTTCACACCAGCTACAATTTTTGTTAAGTAAACCTTTTATTGAAGTTAAATAAAGAGAAGAGCACAAATCATTACAGCTCGACAAAATTACACAAAGTGAACATGCCCATACAACCTGAATCCAGATCGCAAAACCAAACAGTAGAAGCCTCATGTGCTCCCCTTTCCCCCATCCCTTCTTCTCCCCCCTCCACTCCCCGCCCCGAGACGGAGTCTCACTCTGTTGCCCAGGCTAATATTTGTATTTTTAGTAGAGACAGGGTTTCACCATGTTGGCCAGGCCGGTCACAAACTCCTGACCTCAAGTGATCTGCCTGCCTTGGCCTCCCAAAGTGCTGGGATTATAGGCGTGAGCCACCACATCCGGCCTCCCGATCCCTTCTAAAGGTTATCATTCATCTGTTTTTTTCTTTTTTTTTTAAGAGCTAGAGTCTCTGTCGCCCAGGCTGGAGTGCAGTGGCACGATCATAGCTCACTAGAGTCTCCAACTGCTGGCCTCAAGCTATCCTCTCTCCTCAGCCTCTGAAAGCACTGGGATTACAGGCATGACCCACCCCATGTAGCCTTTAAAAATATATCTTTTGAAAGAGATTCTTGCTCTGTTGCCCAGGCTGGAGTGCAGTGGTGAGATCACTACTCACTCCAGGTTCAACCTCCCAGACTCAAGCAATCCTATACCTCAGCTTCCCAAGCACCTGGAACTACAGGCGTGTGCCACCACGCCTTGCTAATTTTAAAATGTTTTTTGTAGAGATAGGGTTTCGCTGTGTTGCCCAGGCTGGTCACGAACTCCTGGACTCAGATGATCCTCCCACTTCAGCCTTCCAAAGTGCTGGGATTACAGACATGAGCCACTGTGCCTGGCTGGACTCGCCCTGACTTGTAACAGCTGGGTTACTTTTGTTTGTTTTGAATTCTCCTTCTCTCTAGACCAGTACTCTGTGTACTGTGTTTGGTTTCTTTTAGTTAATGTTGTTTTTGTGAGATTCATGCATACCGTGTGTAGAAATAGTTCTTTCATTTTCATTCTGGATGGTTTCCATTTTATGACTATGCCCTATACCTCAGACTGGATATTTTCCAGTTTAGGGGTGTTATAGTGCTATTGTTACTGGGGGTCCTTGTTCTTAGAGCTCCCAAGATGGTGGTGGGCCGCTTCCAAGATGGCAGTAAGTCTCTTGTTCTCTGACCTGGGGTTCTTGGCCTCACGGATTCCAAGGAATGGAATCTTGGGCCATGCGGTGAGTGTTATAGCTCTATTCAGCTCGATTAGGAGGAACCCCGGGCACTTAGCCCGCGCAAGAACAATGGTGAGCCTCTAGCCCAATTGGGAGCGGCAATGGGTGCCGCCTCGCTGGATCAGAAGTGCAGTGGACACCCGGATCCGGAGGGGTGGAAGTCAGCGGCAGGTCTGCCACAGCTGCCATGGCAGCAGACAGCAGCGGTGGACAGTGAGCGAAAGCTCAGCTCAAGCCATAACAAACACAGACCAGAAGAGTGTACAGTTGCAAGGTTTAATAGAGTGAAAACAGAGCTCCCATAAAATGGGAGGAGACCCAAAGGGGATTGCCTTGCGGGCTCCAGTGCTGGGTTATATCCCGCCGATCATTGTCCCTCTCTCTGTGCTCTCAGGCGTTAGATGATTGGCTATTTCTTTACCTTCTGTTTTTGCCTAATTCGCATTTTAGTGAGCTCTCTTTACTACCTGATTGGTTGGGTGTGACCTAAGTGGCAAGCCCCTTGTTTAAAGGTGGATGCGGTCACCTTCCCAGTTGGCTTAGGGATTCTTAGTCGGCCTAGGAAATCCAGCTAGTCCTGTCTCTCACTATGAATATTCTAGTACATTTCTTTGGACAAACTTACGTATTCATTTCTTCTGAAAATAGATCCCCCTCCCAAAGAAAAACAAAAACAAAAACAAAATAGACCCAAGTGTGGAATTGCTGGTCGTAGGGCAGGTATGTGTTTAGCTTTAGTAGACACTGTCAGACTGTATTAATTTACACTCCCACCATTTGTATGTATACTCTTGATATTTTGTGTGTTTGGACATTGTTTTCTATTTGGTGGATGGATCATGGGTTGTCACACGAGACACCACTTGCGCATTCACTTTTGGCCAGGAAAATTCCAAACCATGATCTCATAACAGCCCTCAGAGGTAGGTTTGCTTTTCCTCATTTTACAAATGAAACTGAGGTGCAGACAGGGGAAAGCCACTTCCATTAAGTTACAAAGAGAATTGGTGGCTCCTGCTCAGTGGAGATCACTGAGTAGGGAGGATCACTCTGCTGGGAGAACCCAGAGATTCATTAGATCTGGCTCCTGCCTTTCTTAAAGTCCTAGTGTCTGTGTTTCCACAAAAAAAAGGAAAACGACAATGACAATAAATCTTTTTGTTTTCCTCTGCATGAGCAACTCTTAATTCTGTAAGTTTTTTTTTTTTTTTTGAGACAGAGCCTTGCTCTGGCGCCCAGGCTGGAGTGCAGTGGCACAGTCTCGGCTCACTGCAACTCTGCCTCCCAGGTTCAAGTGATTCTCATGCCTCAGCCTCTGGAGCAGCTGGGACTACAGGCGTGGGCCACCACACCTGGGTAATTTTTTGTATTTTTAGTAGAGACGGAGTTTCGCCATGCTGGCCAGGCTAGTCTCAAATGCCTAACCTCAAGTGATCTACCCTCCCAAGCCTCGAAAAGTGATGGGATTATAGGCGTGAGCCACCGTGCCTAACATGGGCAATTCTTAATTCTGTATCCCAGGTTTCTACCTTACACCCAAAAGGCAACCTTGATTTTTACTTGAGACTTAGAATCTATTACTTAAAATGGAATCCATCATCTTGCCCCTGGCCTCCCATCCTCCCTGTTTCCAGGCTTCAGACTGAAACTCATCTGAGAGCTTTGCCTTTATTCCCCTAAGCCCAAATAATTGCCAGGTTCTCTCTGGCCCCTTTGGTAATGACAAATCAGTGTATCCCTTTGGAATTTTTATGGATAATAATCATAAATAACCATTTCCTGAACACTGACTATTGTCAACTAAGACAAAAATCAGGCCAAGTGCTCATTCCTGCTCCTATAATCATCTCAGCACTTTGGGAGGTGCAGGCAGGAGGGTTGCTTGAGCCCAGAAGCTCAAGACCACCCTGGGCAACATAGTGAGACCAAAAAATGTTTATAAAAATTAACCCAGCATGGTCGTGCGCCCGTAGTTCCAGCCACTCAGGAGGCTCAGGGGGGAGAATCACTTGAGCCTAGGAGGTCAAGGCTGCCAGTGAGCCAAGATTGTGCCACTGCACTCCAGCATGGGCGACAGAGTGAGAGACCCTGTCTCAAAAAAAAAAAAAAAAAAAAAAAAGGAAAGAGAAAAACCTACTTTTAGAGAATTAAAGTTAGTTTGATTCAGAAGTCTTACTGAGGATCACAACCTGGGAGAGTCTTTCAAAGTAACCGTTGGACTGCTCCGGAGGGTTTCAGCCTGCGGTTTTTATACAGGTGGCTGCAGCTCATGTTCTCAGAAGTTACATGAGAGCAAAATCCCATCAAGGTTTGGGTGTGACACATAATCATTAATCCTCTTCGATATTTTCCTACACACGGGCAGAGGCAAGGGCTAGGATCAATGAACTTTTCTTTTCTTTTTTCTTTTTTTTTTTTTTTTTGAGACCCAGTCTCCCTCTGTCACCCAGGCTGGAGGGCAATAGCACAATCTTGGCTCACTGCAACCTCTGCCTCCTGGGTTCCAGTGATTCTCCTGCCTCAGCCTCCCAAGTAGCTAGGATTACAGGTGTCTGCCACCACGCCCGGCTAATTTTTGAACTTATCTTTTCCAAAATACAGTGATTTGGGCCGGGTGCAGTGGCTCACGCCTGTAATCCCAGCATTTTAGGAGGCCGAGGCGAGTGGATCACCTGCAGTCGGGAGTTCGAGACCAGTCTGGCCAGCATGGTAAAACTCAGTCTCTACTAAAAAATACAAAAAATTAGCTGGGCGTGGTGGCGTGTGCCTGTAATCCCAGCTACTCGGGAGGCTGAGGCAGAAGAATTGCTGGAACCTGGGAGGCGGAGGTTACAGTGAGCCAAGATGGCACCATTGCACTCCAGCCTGGAGACAGAGCAAGACTCCCATCTCAAAAAAAAAAAATCTCTTTTCTTAGAAATTTGAAAAAAAGGCCGGGTGTAATGGCTCACATCTGTAATCCTAGTACTTTGGGAGGCTGAGGCAGGTGGATCACTTGAGGTCTGAAGTTTGAGACCAGCCTGGCCAACATGGTGAAACCCGTCTCTGTTAAAAATACAAAAATTAGCCTGACATGGTGGCATGTACCACTGTGGATTCTAAGTCCAATTTATCAATTTTTTCTTTTATGAATCATGCTGTTGGTGTTGTATTTTTAAAAACCTTAGCCTGGTGAAAACTCACAAAGTTTTTTTAAATGTTTTCTTCAGAAGTTTGATAGTTCGATTGGCTGGGTGTGGTGGCTCACATCTGTATTCCCAGCACTTTGGGGGGCGAAGAAGAAGTTTGATAGCTCGATATTTCACATTTACATCTATGTTCCATTTCGAGTTTGTTGTTGTTGTTTTTGAGACAGAGTCTCATTCGGCCGCCCAGGCTGGAGTGCAGTGGTGCGATCTCAGCCCACTGCACCTCTGCCTCCAAGGTTCAAGCGATTCTCCTCCTTCAGCCTCTGGAGTGGCTGGGATCACAGGTGCCTGCCACCACGCTCGGCTAATTTTTGTATTTTTAGTAGAGATGGAGTTTCACCATGTTGGCCAGGGTGGTCTCGAACACCTGACCTCAGGTGATCCACCTACCTGCCTCGGCTTCCCAAAGTGCTGGGATTCCAGGCCTGAACCACTGTGCCTGGCCGAAGTTTCATCTTTTTGCATGTGAATACCCAGTCGCTCCAGTACCATTTATTGAAAACATTATCTTTTCCCACTGAAATGCCCTGCAGCTTTGTCAAAAATCAGTTGATTATGCATGTGTGTACATCTATCTGTGGACTCTTGATTCTGTTCTGTTGATCTAATTTTCTTTCTTTTTTCTTTTTTTTTTTTTTTAAAGATGGAGTCTCACTCTGTTGTCAGGCTGGAGTGCAGTGGCACAATCTCGGCTCACTGCAACCTCCGCCTCCCGGTTTCAAGAGATTCTCCAGCCTCAGGCTCCCGAGTAGCTGAGACTATAGGCGTGCGCCACCACACCCGGCTAATTTTTGTATTTTTAATAGAGACGGGGTTTCACCATATTGGCTAGGCCTGTTGGCTAGGATGTTCTTGATCTCCTGACCTCGTGATCCCCCAACCTGAGCCTCCCAAAGTGCTGGGATTACAGGCGTGAGCCACCGCACCCGGCCAGCATTAAATCTTATAATCTATGAACCTGGTATATCTCCCTATTTATTTATTTATTTATTTATTTATTTAATTTATATTTTGAGAGGGAGTCTCGCTCTTTCACCCAAGCCAGAGTGCAGTGGCGCTATCTCGGCTCACTGCAAGCTCTGCCTCCCAGGTTCACGCCATTCTCCTGCCTCAGCCTCCCGAGTAGCTGGGACTACAGGCGCCCACCACCGCACCTGGCTAATTTTTTGTATTTTTAGTAGAGACGGGGTTTCACCGTGTTTGCCAGGATGGTCTCGATCTCCTGACCTCGTGATCCGCCTGCCTCGGCCTCCCAAAGTGCTGGGATTACAGGCGTGAGCCACCAACGCCCGGCAATCTCCCAATTTATTTAGCCATTCCTTAACTTCTACCAGCAATGTTTTTTAGTTTTCAGTGTATAGGTCTTGTAAATCTTTTGTCAGGTTATCCCTATGTATTTCATATTTTATGATATTATAAATGTTATTAAAATTTTTTAAATTTCTGATTTTTGTTTCCTTATGCTTAAAAATATGATTGACTTTTGCACATTATTCTGTGATCTTGTAAAAATCATTTATTAGTTTTAGGAGTTTCTGTAGATTTCCTGGAGTTTTTTTTGTGACAACTATGTCATTAGTGAATAAAGACAGTTTTATTTTTCTTCCTTTTCAATCGACATTACTTTTGTTTCCTTTTCCTACTTATTACATCGGCCAGGACTTTCAGTACAATATTGACTAGGAGTGGTGAATGCAAACATTCTTTTCTTTGTTCTCAATCTTTGGTGGAAAGCATTTAGACTTCTAACATTAAGTGTCTTTCAAAATGCCCTTTTAGCAGATTAAGGAAGTTTCTTTCTCTTCTTAGTTTGCTGAGTTGGTTTTTTTTTTTTAAACCCTGAATGGATGTTCACTTTTTTTTTTTTGAAATGAACCCTTGCTCTGTCACCTAGGATGGAGTACAGTGGTGCCATCTTGGCTAACTGCAGCCTTCGCCTCCTAGGTTCAAGCAATTCTCCTGCCTCAGCCTCCTGAGTAGCTGGGATTACAGGTGCCTCCTACCACACCCGGCTAGTTTTGCATTTTTAGTATAGAGACAGGGTTTCACAATGTTAGTTAGGCTGGTCTCAAACTCCTGACCTCAGGTGATCTGCCTGCCTCAGCCTCCCAAAGTGCTGGGATTACAGGTGTGTGCCACCACGCCCTGCTAGATGTTCACTTTTGTCAAGAAAATTTTGAACAGACCTTGTATTCCCAGGATAAGCCCTACTTGACCATGATGAATTGTCCTTTTTATATTGCTAGATTCAATTTGCTAATATGAGGGATACTGATTTATAGTGTTCTTTCATTGTAGTGTCTTTGGCTTCTGGTATCAAGGCAATGCTAGCCTCATAAAACAAATTGGAAAGTATTTCTCCTCTTATATTTTCTGAAAGAGAATTTTTTAGAATTCATGTTATTTCTTTCAATAATACTTGATAACATTCTCCAATAAAACTGGGCCTAGAGATTTTCGGGGGAAGATATTTAACTATAAATTTAATTTCTTTAATAGTTCTAAGACCTCTTTATCTTGTTCATCTTTGGTGAATTGTGGTAGTTTGTATCTTTCAAGGGACTGATCTATTACATGTAAGTTGTAAAATTTATAGATACTGTAGTGATATCTCTTCTATCATTCCTAATATAGGTAATTTTTGTCTTCTCTGTTTTTTTCTTGGTTCGTCTGGTTAGAGGTTTATTAGTTGTATTGACCTTTCATAAGGAAAATTTTTGGTTTCATTGATTTTTCCTGTTTTTAATTTCATTGATTTCTGCTCTTTATTTTCTTTTTCCTTCAGTGCTTTGGATTTCATTTACTTTTCTTTTTCTACAATATTAACGTGGAGGGTTAGATTTGAGATTTTCTTTCATGACATATGTGTTTGCTAATATAAATTTACCCCCTAAAAACTGCCTTAATTGCTTACATACATTTTGTTATATTTTATTTTCATTAAGTGAAAAATATTTTCTATTTCTTCTTAATACTTCTTCTTTGACTCCTGGATTATTTAGAAGTGAGTGATTAATTTCCAAATATTTGGGCATCTCCTAGACATCTTTCTGTTAATTGATTTCTACTTTAATTCTATTATGGTCAGAGAAGAGTAGCATTGTTTTGCATTTTTGCAAATCTCTTTAATGTCCAGCTTGATGGAAAACAACTGGATCTTAATGTCTGCTTTTTTTTCTGCTTTTTTTTTTTTTGAGACAGAGTCTCACTCTGTCCCCCAGGCTGGAGTGCAATGGCACGATCTTGGCTTGCTGCAACCTCTGCCTCTCAGGTTCAAGTGATTCTCCTGCCTCAGCCTCCCACGTAGCTGGGATTACAGGTGCGAGCCACTGCGCCCGGCTAGTGTTTTGTATTTTTAGTGGAGACGGGGTTTCGCCATCTTGGCCGGGCTGGTCTTGAACTCCTGACTTCAGGCAATCCTCCTGCCTCGGCCTCCCAAAGTGCTGGGATTACAGGCGTGAGCCACTGCGCCTGGCCAATGTCTGCTTTTGCATTCAATGTGCTGTGATAGTTTGTTTCGGTTAACGTATACCAAAAAAAATGTAGCCACACATATATAAGTAGTGGTAATATGGAAGTATATTTAATCTGCCACCATGAGCTTGACAGCTTCCCAAATGCTTATTGCCTTTCAGATTAGAATGATGTGGATATCTATGACTATAATTTTTCAGTATTTTATAACAAATGTTTCAACATTTGGAAAGCTGTATAACTCACTGCACCAATATTTTCCAAATTCCTGTTGCATGATGCTATAAAACTATGAATGGGTAAAAGATCCATGCAAAGTGCAATATAGACCAAGGGATTTTACTGTAATAGCATGGAAATAATTCACTGATATCGTTTCAGACACCATATTGCAACTAACCTTTAAGATACTTCCACTTGTAGAGTTTTGGTGTAATATTAAAACAAGAAGATTCCATTAATCTGATGATTATTAGCTAAATTGATTTGGGGCAAGGGCCAGTAGTCTTACTTACCATTGTTTTTGCACTATCAGTGCAAATATTAAGAGTGAAAAATTTGAATAACATCTTAGTATTATTATAAAAATAGTTTTGACCTCAGGGACCCTCTGAAGGGATCAGGGACATGCAAGGGTCTGCAGTCCCACTTTGAAAACTTCTCTACTAAGGAAAAAGAGAAAAGTCCAGTGTTTTCCTGCAGGAATTAGAAAGGTAGAGCATTGGTCCAGCCAGGAGGTTAGAGCCAAGGTGAGACCTGAAGGACAAGTACTAATTAGCTAAGAAAGGTGAGGAGAGCCAGGCGTGGTGGCTCATGCCTGTAATACCAGCATTTTGGGAGGCTGAGGTGAGCGGATCACGAGGTCAGGAGATCGAGACCATCCTGGCCAACATGGTAAAACCCCCATCTCTACTAAAAATTCAGAAAATTAGCTGGGCATGCTGGTGCACCCCTGTAATCCCAGCTACTCAGGAGGCTGAAGCAGGAGAATTGCTTGAACCCGGGAGGCAGAGGTTGCAGTGAGCTGAGATTGCGCCACTGCACTCCAGCCTGGGTGACAGAGTGAGACTCCAACTCAAAAAAGAAAAAAAAAAAAAAGAAAGAAAAAAAAACAAAGGCGAGGAGAAAGACATTCCAGACTTTAAAAAAGCAACCCAAGTGGGAGTATGTGTGGGAGACATGTAGGGTGAGAACAGGAGTTTTGGGTTGAGATAGGAGAGGAAGGCTTGAATTATAGGAAGTCTTGAATGTCACCTAAGGAGCTTACAATTTGTCCTGAGGGCAAGGGACAACCCGTGAAGGGTTTTAAGTGGCAGGGAGTGGGGGATTGGGGGAATGACTTAACAAGATTTGTGTTTGTTTAGGATGATCATGCTTACTGTGATGTAGATAGAGACTCAAAAGGATAAGACTCAGCAAAAAAACCCAGAAAGCTGTTGGAATAATCCAGTTGAGAGGTGGTTGCCAGAATCACTTGTAAAATGGTTGTGGATTTAGAAATAGATTGTTTTGAGAGATATAAAGAACATATAAGCAATGAGATTAAGAGAGTAATTAGAGCCGGGTGCAGTGGCTCATGCCTGTAATCCCAGCACTTTGGGAGGCCGAGGCAGGCAGATCACCAGAGGTCGGGAGTTCAAAACCACCTGACCAACATGGAGAAACCCCGTCTCTACTAAAAATACAAAATTAGCTGGGCATGGTGGTGAATGCCTGTAATCCCAGCTACTCTGGAGGCTGAGGCAGGAGAATCACTTGAACTCGGGAGGCAGAGGTTGTGGTGAGCCGAGATCGTGCCATTACACTCCAGCCTGGGCAACAAGAGAGAAACTCTGTCTCAAAAAAAAAAAAAAAAAAAAAAAAAAAAGAATAATTAGAAAGAAGGGTGAAAGGAAAAAAGAGGAACCCAGGATGACACTCCTAGCTTGGACTGCTGGATGATGGCATAGTGTTTGACTAGAATCTAGACATAGGAGGAGGGGCATATTGGAAGGAGAGCAATGAGGTTGAGCTAAGGTACCTGTGGGACATTCGAGTGGAAATTTTCCATAGTCAAATGGGTACATAGGACTGGAGGTGACGTACTTTCTGATTCCATTTGTATGACATTCTTGAAAACACAAGATTAAAGGAACAGAGACGAGGTCACTGGTTTCCAGGGGTTGGTGGGGAGGGATACTACAAAAGGACAGCATGAGAGAAGTTTTGGGGTGATGAAACTGTATCTTGATTGTGGAGGTGTGGGGAAAAGAAAGAGAGATCAGATTGTTACTGTGTCTGTGTAGAAAGAAGTAGACATAGGAGACTCCATTTTGTTCTGTAATCTGTAACCTTACCGCCAACCCTGTGCTCCCTGAAACACGTGCTGTGTCAACTCAGGGTTAAATGGATTAAGGGCTGTGCAGGATGTGCTTTGTTAAACAGATGCTTGAAGGCAGCATCCTCCCTAAGAATCATCACCACTCCCTAATCTCAAGTACCCAGGGACACAAACACTGCGGAAGGCCGCAGGGACCTCTGCCTAGGAAAGCCAGGTATTGTCCAAGGTTTCTCCCCATGTGATAGTCTGAAATACAGCCTCGTGGGAAGGGAAAGACCTGACCGTCCCCCAGCCCGACACCCGTAAAGGGTCTGTGCTGAGGAGGATTAGTAAAAGAGGAAGGAACGCCTCTTTGCAGTTGAGACAAGAGGAAGGCATCTGTCTCCTGCCCGTCCCTGGGCAATGGAATGTCTCGTGTAAAACCTGATTGTATATTCCATCTACTAAGATAGGGGAAAACCGCCTTAGGGCTGGAGGTGGGACATGCGGGCAGCAATACTGTTCTTTAAGGCATTGAGATGTTTTTATGTACACATATCTAAAGCACAGCACTTAATTCTTTACCTTGTCTACGATGCAGAGACCTTCGTTCAAGTGTTTATCTGCCGACCTTCTCTCCACTATTATCCTATGACGCTGCCACATCCCCCTCTCCGAGAAACACCCAAGAATGATCAATAAATACTAAGGGAACCCAGAGGCCGGTGGAGCCTCCGTATGCTGAACGCCAGTTCCCTGGGCCCCCTTTATTCTTTGTCTGTACTTTGTCTCTGTGTCTCTTTCTTTTCCAAGTCTCTCATTCCACCTAACGAGAAACACCCAGAGGTGTGGAGGGGCAACCTACCCCTTCATGGAGGTGGTTACACAAATCTATACATATCAATTTTACTGTTTTTTTTTTTTTTTTGAGACAGGATGTCTCTGTTGCCCAGGCTGGCGTGCAGTGGCACAATCTCAGCTCACTGCAACCTCCACCTCCCAGGCTCAAGTGATCCTCCCACCTTTCATGCATGTCTGTGTGAAGAGACTACTAAACAGGCTTTGTGTGAGAATAAAAGCTTTTAATCACCTGGGTGCAGGTGGGCTGAGTCCGAAAAGAGAGTCAGCCTTCTTGTCTCCAATGATTTGAGATGCAACCTTTATCATATACTAAATATCTATATGCATTTGGGTCTGCTCTGGATTCTCTATTCTGTTCCTTCATTCTGTGGTATTCATGTGCTAATACCACACTGTTTTCATTAGAGGTTTTCTGTTTTAATATCTAGTCAGGTCGGCCAGGCGCGGTGGCTCATGCCTGTAATCCCAGCACTTTGGGAGGCTGAGGCATGTGGATCACGAGGTCAGGACCTCAAGACCAGTCTGGCCAACATGGTGAAACCCCGTGTCTACTAAAAATACAAAAATTAGCTGGGCATGGTGGCACGCATCTGTAATCCCAGCTGCTCGGGATTACAAAAAACAAGAACAGCTAAGAAAGTTCTGAAAAACTCAGGAGGCTGAGGCAAGAGAATCACTTGAACCCAGGAGGCAGAGGTTGCAGTGAGCTGAGATTGTGCCACTGCACTCCAGGCTAGCGATATATATATATATATATATATATATATATATATATATATATTTATATATATGTAGTCAGGTCAGTGGTGCCTCCCTACTCTGGGAGATAGGGTGGGGGCAAAGGGAGATAGGGGTGGGGCCATTTTATAAGATTTGGGTAGGTAAAGGAAAATTACAGTCAAAGGGGTTTTGTTCTCTGGCAGGCAGGAGTGGGGGTCGCAAGGTGCTCAGTGGGGGAGCTTTTTGAGCCAGGATGAGCCAGGAAAAGGACTTTCACAAGGTAATGTCATCACTTAAGGCAAGGACCAGCCATTTTCACTTCTTTTGTGGTGGAATGCCATCAGTTAAGGCGGGGCAGGACATTTTCACTTCTTTTGTGATTCTTCAGTTATTTCAGGCCATCTGGGCTTATACGTGCAAGTCACAGAGGATGCGATGGCTTAGCTTAGGCTCAGAGGCCTGACACCACCTCAGCCTTCCGAGTAGCTGGAACTACAGGTGCACACCACCATGCCTAGCTGATTTTTTGTAGAGATGGGGTTTCACCATGTTGCCTAGGCTGGTCTTGAACTCCTGGACTCAAGTAATTCTCCTGCCTCAGCCTCCCAAAGTTCTGGGATTACAGGCGTGAGCCACCACACCCGGCCTATTTTGCTTTTTTTTTTTTTTTTTTTTTTAAAGATAAACGTGAATAGTGTCTGCTTTTCTATTATTCACAAAGGTAAACATGAACATATATAGATGGAAGGGCAATGGTTTTGGATAGGAGACTCACATAATAAAAATATCTCTCAAAAAGTTAGTTTAAAAATGTAATGCAATCCCTCCAAAAATATCATCAGGTTTTTATCTAGAATTAGAGAAGTTATTGTAAAACTTATTTGGGAGAATGAGAAAAACAAGAACAGCTAAGAAAATTCTGAAAAAGACCAGAGTAGGGAGGCACCACTGACCTGACTACACATATATATATATATATCGCTAGCCTAGAGTGCAGTGGCACAATCTCAGCTCACTGCAACCTCTGCCTCCTGGGTTCAAGTGATTCTCTTGCCTCAGCCTCCTGAGTTTTTCAGAACTTTCTTAGCTGTTCTTGTTTTTTGTAATCCCGAGCAGCTGGGATTACAGATGCGTGCCACCATGCCCAGCTAATTTTTGTATTTTTAGTAGACACGGGGTTTCACCATGTTGGCCAGACTGGTCTTGAGGTCCTGACCTCGTGATCCACATGCCTCAGCCTCCCAAAGTGCTGGGATTACAGGCATGAGCCACCGCGCCTGGCCGACCTGACTAGATATTAAAACAGAAAACCTCTAATGAAAACAGTGTGGTATTAGCACATGAATACCACAGAATGAAGGAACAGAATAGAGAATCCAGAGCAGACCCAAATGCATATAGATATTTAGTATATGATAAAGGTTGCATCTCAAATCATTGGAGACAAGAAGGACTTTTTAATCAGTGATACTGGAGTAAGCTGACAACTCTATGGAAGAATATAAAATTAAACCCATTCCTCAAACCACACAGCAGGACAAATGTGAAAAGGTCAGAGATCTAAATTTTAAAATGTGAAACCCTGTAACTACTAAATGTGAATGAATTTATTCATTTAGGTTTTAAGTTGAGACAGGGTCTGGCTCTACTGTCCAGGCTGGAGTGCAGTGGCATGATCTCGGCTCATTGCAACCTCTGCCCCTTTGGTTCAAGCAATTCTCCTACCTCAGCCTCCTGAATAGCTGGGACTACAGGCACACACCTGCACAACTGGCTAATTTTTGTAATTCTTTGGTAGAGATAGAACTTCCCAATTTTACCCAGGCTGGTCTCGAACTCCTGGGCTCAAGCAATCCTCCTGCCTTGACCTCCCAAAGTGCTGGGATTACAAGCATGAGCCACTGTGCCCGGCCAATGAATTTCTTTATAACCTGGCAGTGGTCAATTTTTTTTGCTACCTGATTCAAATTACAGAAGCAATAAAAGAAAGGACTGATACATTTGACTACATAATAATTACAATTTTATGCATGACAAAAACACAACAAGGTAAGAAAACAAAAGAACAGAATTCATAGAAAATGCAAACCCTTAAATGAACAAATGATTTATCTCATGATACTACAAATGCAACATAAAACTGTATCGAGATACCATTTCTCACCTATCAGATTGATAACATACTCTTGCCAAGGTTGTGGGAAAATTGGCACTCTCACATTGCTAGTGGGAATGAAAAATAGTACGTGCCTGCCTGGCGTGGTGGCTCATGGGCCAGGCACAGTGGCTCATGCCTGTAATCCCAGCGCTTTGGGAGGCTGAGGTGGGCGGATCACCTGAGGTCAGGAGTTCAAAACCATCCTGACCAACATGGAGAAACTCCATTTCTACTAAAAATGCAAAATTAGCCGGGCGTGATGGCACATGCCTGTAATCTCAGCTACTCGGGAGGCTGAGGCAGGAGAATTGCTTGAACCCAGGAGGCAGAGGTTGCGGTGAGCCAAGATCGTGCCATTGTATTCCAGCCTGGACAACAAGAGTGAAACTCCGTCTCAAAAAAAAAAAAGTCAAGTAAAAAAAGTAAAATAAAGAACAGTGTGAGCTGGGCGCAGTGGCTCACTTCTGTGATCTCAATAGTTCGGGAGGCTGAGGTGGGAGGATCACCTGAGGTCGGGAGTTCAAGACCAGCCTGGCCAACATGGTGAAACCCGTCTCTACTAAAAAATACAAAAATTAGCCGGGCATGGTGGCACACACCTGTAATCCCAGATACTTGAGTGGCTGAAGCAGGAGAATCGCTTGAACTTGGGAGGTGGAGGTTAGTGAGGTGAGATCGTGACACTGCGCTCCAGCCTGGGCGGCCGAGTGAGACTTGGTCTCATAAAAACAAAACAAAACAAAACAAAAAGAAGAAAACACAATGTGTATGATATGCTATAATATGCTACCTTTTGCAAAAGAAGGAAAGGGAAATGCACAGACACGCACACTTGTATATGTATGTCTTTCCCTATATTTTCAAAGAGAAATGATGGAAAGTTGAATGAAAATCCCATAAAAATGGTTACTCACAGGAGAAGGGAGGAAATGTGGAGAGGACAGGGATGGCAGCTAAAGCTCTGTGAAGATAACTTATTGTCAAGTTTTGGCTCTGGAACTGTGCAAATGTTTTACAAAATTAAAAATATTAAAGGCAGTTCCTCCCCTAGTGCTCAAATTATAGTGTCTAAATTCAATTTGGGGCCAGGCACGTGGCTCACACTTATAATCCCAGCACTTTGAGAGTCCAAGTCAGGAGGATCACTTGAATCCAGGAGTTTGAGAGCAGCCTGGGTAACATAGGGAGACCTTGTCTCTACAAACAATTTAAAAATTAGCTGGGTGTAGTGATGCACGTCTGTAGTCTCAGCTACTTGGGAGGCTGAGGCAGGAGGATCACTTGAGCCCAGGAGGTCAAGGCTGCAGTGAGCCATGATCATGCCACTGTACTCCAGCCTCAGCAACAGAGCAGGACTTTGTCTCAAAATAAATAAATAAATACAATTTGGTAATCATAGGAATTGTGGCTCTTTTAGAAATGGATGATTGTGGTTCTGGGTAGGAAATGTACCATAAACCAAGACAGCTCCCACTGGTCTAAGGTTTGACCACTTCAAATGTTAAAAATCCATGCATTCATAAGGATATTACATACACACACACACACACACACACACACACACACACGCACACACACGTTTTGGTTACCTTTAGAGAGAATGTACTAAAACTGAAAATTGAAGCATTTAAGTTGCTTTTTCTGTATTAACTACAATTTAGGGTAACCAGAGAATTAATGAGGGGATGCTTCTTTGTATAATAGCATTGTAGTTAATAAATGAAGAGAAAATAATACATTAAAAATCCCCATTTTGCAAAGCCCTGGTGAAATAATGGAACTAGACAGGTTTCCAGATTTAGCCAATAAATGGCATGGGACATATTTATACTAAAAATTAATTGTCACCTGAAATTCAAATTGAACTGGAGGTCTTGTATCTTAGTTAGCAACTCTACATCAAGGTAATGATCAACAATGGATATTAATATCATTGAGACAGATGCAGAAAAATCATTTGATAAAGTTAAACATCTATTTATGATTAAACAATTAAAAGTAGAAGGAAACTTCTTTAATACAATAATGTATACTTTCAAAAATGCTACGGTAAGCATCATACTTAATAGCAAAATATTGAAAACAGGCTGGGTGTAGTGGCTGATGCGTGTAATCCCAGCACTTTGGGAGGCTGAGGGAGGTGGATCACTGGAGCCCAGGAGTTCGAGACCAGCCTGAGCAAAAACCCCATCTTTACAGAAAAATACAAAAATCAGCTGGGCGTGGTGGCATGTGCCTGTAGTCCCTACTACTTGGGAGGCTAAGATGGAAGGATCGCTTGAGCCCAGGAGGCAAAGGTTGCAGTGAGCTTAGATTGTGCCGCTGAACTCCAGCCTGCGTGACAGAGCGAGACTCCCTCTCAAACAACAACAAAAACCAATGGAAAGTATTTTCTTTGTGATCAGAAGCAAGACTAGGATGCCCCCATCATATCTTTTATTCAATTATCTATTGGAAAGCCTAAAGAAAAGTTATAAAGATGAGAATGGAAGGAATTAAACTAATTCATAAGCAATATGATTGTATGTGTAGAGAACCCAAAAGAACCTACAAATACATTATTCAAATAATAAATCATTTTATTTATTGACTCCTGGTTTTGTGACAGGCAAGCTGGCTGACTTCCTGTTTTGATGTGGTCCAGAGAAAAAGAAGAAAAGCCCCTTACTCAAGATGTAGCTTACCTAATCTCCAGCCAATCAGCATCAAAGGCCCAAGAAGCTAGTAACCACAAGTTCCTGCTTTAGGGGCCTAGGGACTTCCCCAGGGACCTGCAAGTACAGCTAGGCTTGTTTCAACTTTTCCTTATTTTAATGCTAAAAATCATGCCCAGAGGTGATTTAAAATGCTAATGTTATATACAATGTATGAAAAAGCGTGTTGAACCACTGTGCAGGCACCAAAGAAATCCCTCCTAAACATTCAATGACAGGCACGTCACAGCAGCTAGGCCCCTATAAGACAGATCAACCTGCTCCCTTTGGGGTGCAGCCCACCCTTTTCCTTTTGCAGTGCTGACCTTTCTTGTGCACAAGCTAAAATAAACATTCTCTTTTTCTTTCTTTTTTTTTTTTTTTTTGAGATGGAGTCTTGTTTTGTCGCCCAGGCTGGAGTGCAATGGCACAATCTCAGCTCACTGCAACTTCTGCCTTCCAGGTTCAAGCAATTCTCCTGCCTCAGCCTCCCAAGTAGCTGGGATTACAGGTGTGCACCACCACACCCAGCTGTTTTTTTTCGTATTTTTAGTAGAAATGGGTTTTCACCATGTTGCCCAGGCTGGTCTTGAACTCCTGGGCTCAAGCAATCCACCTGCCTCAGCCTCCCAAAGTGCTGGGATTACAGGGGTGAGCCACCACACCCAGCAATCTCACTTGATTTCTATCCTGGAAGACTACAAGAACCAAGGATGATTGTAACATCTCCTGGTACCCCAGATGGGACCCTCATTTTAGGTCCCCACAGGAGTTAGCAAGACTTCCTGGAGGACAGAGGCAACTGACCAGGTGGTAACAAAGGTGGCCACTCTGGACCATTGCTTTGGTGTTGGTGCTTTGGAGAGTCAAGTCTGGACCCTAGGTGAGTCTGCTCTTCTTCTTCTCTCTCTCTCTCTCTCTCTCTCTCTCTCTCTCACCAGATGCCCAGTAAATGGCATGGCCAGGATTATATCTGGCCATCTCCTCTGCGTATTTCTTACCCTTTCCAAGATTTGAAACTTTCACCAGGAGTACAATGAGTGAGGACTACTAGAACATCTTGTCAAGTCAAAGGAAATGTTAGACTAAACTTAATACATTAATCACTAAACCTATCTGGATTGTTCAAGAACCGGCCAAACCAATCCTTGCCTTGACTTATGTCTGACATTGATAAGGGCCTCTTTCTTTCTTTTGTCTCTCCTTCTCTCCCTTATTTTTGGAAATTTGGGTGGGAAGTTGGGGTGATTCCAGTTAGCCCTTCTGGGAAACTTGCGTAGGCAGTTGGAGTGATTCTGGCTGGCCCTTCTGAGATTGGTCTAGGGAACTGCCCCAGACATGTGTGGGCTAGGTACCAGCCGGCAATCTGGAATTCTCTTTTGTTTCAAATACTGAAACCACTCAGTATTTTCCCTGACCGTATTCTTCTTTGTGGAGCCTGGACGTTTATAATCTGTTTTGTCAGTTGTCTGAATGGAAATGCGTTCTTGTTTCTGGTCCTTGTTGCATGGGTGAAGCCACCCTCCAGGATTCTTGGAAGGAAGCCTTACTCATTAGGCCAGATGAAATTTTTCCTCTGTCTAGTACATCATCTCGTTTCTTGTTAGAGTCCATGTAAATAAATGTGGGTGTAGAGTAAGTTCTACTTGGAGCTGATGTAAAATCTACTACTTGCTAGACTTTGTGGGTTGAAGCTGGCAAATCCAAGAGCTAAAGGCTCTCAAGCCCCCTCGTTCTGCTCTCCTCCCTCTGTCCTCTTTGGCTTGCTTAGTTCTTGCCAGGGATTTGAAGGTCTGGGATGAGTCAGACCAGGATGTGTGCTGCAATTGTGAAGACTGTCAGAGTCAGAGGCTGCATCCCTCACCAGACCTCTTGATTACAGGACACCAGCTCTACCATGGGAAACACTACAGACGTCCCAAAAGATTCCCCCCCTTGGATGCATCCTCTGTAATTGGGATCAGTTTAAATGAGATATTACAAAGAAAAAGAAGCTCGTGTTTCTCTGTGATGTTGCTTGGCCTCAGTATCCCCTGGGGTACCAAGAGAAATGACCTGAGAATGGGGTCCTTCAGTTACAACATCATTTTCCAATTGGATATATACTGTAAAAAATTCTAATAAATAGCTTGAGATTCCATACATGCAGGCCTTCAGGAAATTATATCTGGATCTCAAACTCTAGGACTCCTGCCAGGTTTATATGGTACCTCTCAAGCAACAGCTGAGAGATGAGCCAAGTCCTGTCTCAGATTTTAACCCCTAGGGCTCAATTCTCTCACTACCTTTCTAAGGGCAGGGTGGGAAGCAGGCCTCTCTGCTACTGTGGATCCTTTCTCCTTCTGTCTGGAGCCTCCTCCATACCATGCTGGGTCAGGAAGGCTTTCCCCTTCTACTCCTCAACAACCCTCAGTGCTGTCCCCAGTGTGGCTCCAACTGGGCTCCAAGTCAGCACCCTCCTTCACTTCCCCACCATACCAGGGCTGCTTTCCCCCTGGGAGGTAACGGATGGAACTAGAGGGGCAACTCAGGTACATGGACCCTTACCAATGTCAGACATAAATCAAGGCAAGGATTGGTTTGGCCGGTTCTTGAACAATCCAGATAGGTTTAGTGATGAATTTATTAAGTTTAGTCTAACCTTTCCTTTGACTTGACAAGATGTTCTTGTAGTCCTAACTCGTTGTTGTACTCCTGGTGAAAAAACTCGAATCTTGGAAAGGGTAAGAAATATGCAGAGGAGATGGCCAGATATAATCCTGGCCATGTCATTTACTGGGTATCTGGTGAGGCAGTCCCAGAGCAGAACCCGCAATGGGTTTATACGGATGACAGGGACTGGTTAAGGATCAATCACTTCCTTAATTGCATATCAGAGGGTGTCAGACAAAACCAGTAAAGTATAATAAAGTAAAATAATTGCTCAGGAAGTGGATGAAAATCCAGCTGGGTACCTTAATAGGCTCTCTGAGGCTTTTAGAAAGTATAGTAACATAGACCCAAGGACCAATGAAGGCCTAACACTTCTGGCCATGCATTTTATAACCCACGCTGTGCCAGACATTTGGGAAAACCTTCAAAAGCTGAAAGCTGACCCTTAGACCCTTCAAGCAACGTTGGTAGCAGAGGTCTTCAACATTTTTAACAACTGGGACCAGGCAGAGAAGGTGTAGAAAAATGAGAGAATAAAAAGGAAGACACACATTTTGGCTGCTATAATCATAGGCCCACCTTGAGGTGACCTTAGGTAACAGAGAAACCTGAATGCGGGGGGGTGGGGATTAAACCCCACCCAATGTCCATGGAAATGGGGTGCAACCAGTGTGCTTACTGTAAGAAGAGGCACTGGAGAAAGGACTGTCCATTCTTTTCTGGGAAGCCAGGATGGAGTAGACCTCCCCAGCCCACTCCTCTTGTTGCTGGCCTCTCAAATAAAAAGGCTACCCCCTCTGAATGAGGTGTTCTCAAATGCTTATCTGCCTCCAGTCCTGAAGAGTTCCATCACCATCACCACTGTGGAGCCTTGGGTCACCCTCAATATGGCAGGTAGGAAACTGAATTCCTTATGGATACCAGAGCCCCCTACTCTGTCCTGACCCATCCTGATGGATCTCTGTTCAGCGCCAGTTGTACAGTGACGGGAACAGATGGACAACCCAAGGTAAGACAGTTTACCTTTCCTTTGACTTGTAAAATTGGATCTAAGGCTATCACTCATTCCTTCCTATATGTCCCTGAGTGTCCCCTTCCTTTAATGGTTCATGACTTATTATCTAAGTTGGGAGCCTCAGTTTCCCTCCAGGGGAATGCCATACAAGTCTCAGTGCCTCCTGAGAAAGGAATCCATTTACTGGCCCTTTTGGTTCCCCAAGATCAGAAGCTACCCCCAGTCCTAGAAAAGATATTGATTTGAGTGGAAAAGTCTGTATGGGATACCAACATTTCAGGACAGGTCATCAATGAGGAGAATATTAAAATAAAGCTTAAGCCAGGCCTACCCTACCCACGCAAGCCAAAATACCATTTGAGGCCAGAAGCCCTACAAGGGATATGGCCCCTCCTGGAAACATTGATACAGAACAGACTAATTCAGCCCTGCAGTCCCCTTGTAATACTCCAGTCCTGCCTGTGAAGAAACCAAATGTAGAATACCAGTTTCTTCCACACTTTAGAGTAGTGAATGACTCAGTTGTTCCCACACATCCTTCAGTCCCTAATTCATACACACTCCACTCTCAAATCCCTGGGTGCACACAGTTTTACACTGTACTGGATCTAAAGGATGTTTTCTTTAATATATGCTGCATCCTGACTCCACCTACATTTTTGCCTTTGAATGGAAGGATCCAGAGACTCAGGAAGCTCCCCACTGTACTTGGACAGTGCTACCCCCGGGGTTTCCAGATAGCCTCCACCTCTCTGGGCAAAGCCCTGGAAGTCCTAATTCAGAAGCTAGGGCCTGTCCAAAGGCCAGTGACTTATTTTTTAAATCAACTGGACCCAGTAGCCCAGGTGTGGCCTGGCTGTCTTAGGGCAGTGGCAGCCACCAGCCTCCTGGTCAGGGATATCTCCAAACTCATGCTAGGCCAATCCCTTGAAGTTTATACTCCTTACCAGGTCCAGAATGTGTTGGAAATCAAAGGGAGCCACTGGCTAACTCGGGGAAGGTTAACTCAAAATCAAGCCCCACTGTTAGACACCCCAGACTTGACCTTAAAGATATATGAGTCCTTGAATGCTGCCACCCTCCTTCCCTTGCCCACCTTGGGGACACTGGAACACACCTATGTGGAAACTTTGGAGCAGATCTATTCTAGTTGGATAGATTTACGGGAGACCCCTTGAGAGAATCCAGATGAAGAATGGTTTACAGATGGGGGTTGTTTTGTAGAAAATAGAGCCTGCAGGCCAGGCATGGTGGCACGCCACCACACCCAGCTAATTTTTTGTATTTTAGCAGAGACAGGTTTCACCATGTTGCCCAGGCTGGTCTCGAAGTCCTGGGCTCGTGATGCGCCTGTCATCCCAGCTACTCAGGAGGCTGAGACAGGAGAATCGCTTGAACCTGGGAGGCGGAGGTTGCAGTGAGCCAAGATCACGCCATTGCACTCCAGCCTGGGTGACAGAGCGAGACTCCATCTAAAAAAACAAACAAACAAACAAATAAAATGGAGCCCGGAAGGCAAAACATGCTATTGTCAGCCTACGCTGGACCAGAGAGGCAAAATAACTTCCCCTAAGCACTTCAGCTCAGGAAGCAGAGCTCCAAGCCTTAGTTAAGGGCTCTTCAGCTTGAAGAAGGGAAGAGACTTAATATATATACTGATTCTAAGTATGGATTCCTAATGCTCCATACTCATGCAGCTGTCTGGAAAGAGGAGAATGCTAACTGCCAGGAGCACCCCGACAAAACCCAATGAAGCGATTTTATTCCTCCTTGAGGCAGTTCATCTCTATGTTAGTCTGTTCTTACACTGCTATAAACACATACCTGAGACTGGGTAATTTATAAACAAAGAAAGTTTAATTGACTCACAGTTCTGCATGGCTGGGAGGCTTCAGGAAACTTACAATCATGGCGGAAGGTGAAGGGGAAGCAAGGCACATCTTGCATGGCAGCAGGAGAGTGAGTGAAGGAAGCCACACACTTTTAAGCTATCAGATCTCATGAGAACTCACGTACTATTGTGAAAACAGCATTGGGGAAACTGCCCCCGTGATCCAGTCACCTCCCACCAAGTACTTCCCTTGACATGAGGGGATTACAATTCGAGATGAGATTTGGGTGGGGACACAGAGCCAAACCATATTAAGCTCCCTGCCCAAATAGCTGTTATGTCCTATAAAGGGCATCAAAAAGACAATTCTTTAATCAGCCAAGGAAACAACCAGGCTGATAGAGCTGCCAAACGGGCAGCTGGGCCGGGCGCGTTAGCTCATTCCTGTAATCCCAGCACTTTGGGAGGCCGAGGCAGGCGGATCACGAGGTCAAGAGATCAAGACCATCCTGGCTAACATGGTGAAACCCCGTCTCTACTGAAAACACAAAAAATTAGCTGGGCATGGTGGCAGGCGCCTGTAGTCCCAGCTACTTGGGAGGCTGAGGCAGGAGAATGGCGTGAACCCGGGAGGTGGAGCTTAGAGTGAGCTGAAACCGCACCACAGCACTCCAGCCTAGGGGACAGAGCGAGACTCCATCTCAAAAAAAAAAAAAAAAAAAAAGAAGTTGGCAGTGGTTGGCCAGGAGTGATGGCTCATGCCTGTAATCCCAGCACCTTGGGAGGCCAAGGTGGGAGGATCACCTAAGGTCAGGAGTTCGAGACCAGCCTGGCCAACATGGTGAAACCCTGTCTCTACTAAAATACACAAAAATTAGCTGGGCGTGGTGGTGCATGCCTGTAGTCCCAGCTACTTGGGAGGCTGAGGCAGGAGAATCGCTTGAACCCAGGAGGGAGAGATTGCCATGAGCTGAGATGGCACCATTGCACTCCAGCCTGGGCAACAGAGCGAGACTCCATCAAAAAAAAAAAAACTGAGCAGATGAAGGAGGGTATAATTTAAATGGTCAGGGTGGCTAGAAGATCAGCAACAATGCCTTTTCCTACCAGAAGCTGACCAATGGAAAGTCATCAAAAGACTTCATGAGGAAACTCATTATGAGAGAGACTCACTATGGAATTTAATCCAAAATCTCCTAGTGAGCAAGGCTTTAAAAGCTACAGCCTAACAGGCATGGTGGTTCACACCAGTAATCCCAGCATTTGAGGAGGCTGAGGCAGGAGGATTGCTTGAGCCCAGGAGATCAGGACCAGCCTGGGCAACACGATAAGACTGTGTCTCTACAAAAGCATTTTTAAAAATTATCTGGGCATGGTGGAATGCATCTGTGGTACTAACTACTTGGGAAGCTGAGGTGGGAGGATTGCTCGAGCCCAGGAGTTTGAGGCAGCAGTGAGTCAAGATTGCACAATTGCACTCCAGCCTGGGTGACAAAGCGAGACCTTGTCAAAAAAAAAAAAAAGAAAGAAAGAAAAAGCCACAGTGGGCCAGGTGCAGTGGCTCACACCTGTAAGCCCAGCAGTTTGGGAGGCTGAGGTGGGTGGATTACCTGAGGTCAGGAGTTCGAGACCAGCCTGGCCAACTTAGTGAAATCCCGTCTCTACTAAAAATATAAAAATTAGCTGGGTGTGGTGGCGCATGCCTGTAATCCCAGCTACTCAGGAGGCTGAAGCAGGAGCATTGCTTGAACCTGAGAGGCAGAGGCCGCGGTGAGCAAAGATCATGCCACTGCACTCCAGCCTGGGTGACAGAGTGAGACTCAGTCTCAAAAAATAAAAATAAAAAAGCCACAGTGGACTCTGTAACTCAAGCATGTGAAATTTGTCTTAGAAATAATTCCTGAGCCCATCCACTGGCTCTGCCCCAGTGCAGCATAAGAAGACCTATCCTGGAGAAGATTGGCGAATTACACAGATACCCCTAAAGGGGAATTCAAATATATTCTGATTTTTATAGACACTTTCGCAGGCTGGGTGGAAGCTTTCCCCACACAAACAGAAAAAGCAATTGAAGTTTGTAAATGACTGCTTAAAGGCCGGGTGCAGTGGCTCACGCCTGTAATCCCAGCAGTTTGGGAGGCTGAGGTGGGCGGATCACCTGAGGCCAGGAGTTTGAGACCAGCCTGACCAACATAGTGAAACCCCATCTACTAAAAATACAAAAATTAAGGCCAGGTGCGGTGGCTCACACCTGTAATCCCTGCACTTTGGGAGGCTGAGACGGGCAGATCACAATCAGGAGATCGAGACCATCCTGGTTAACACGGTGAAACCCCATCTCTACTAAAAATACAAAAAATTAGCCGGGCATGGTGGCAGGCGCCTGTAGTCCCAACTACTCGGGAGGCTGAGGCAGGAGAATGGCGTGAACCCGGGAGGCGGAGCTTGCAGGGAGCCGAGATCGCACCACTGCACTCCAGCCTGGGTGACAGAACGAGACTCCGTCTCAAAAAAAAAAAATACAAAAATTAGCTGGGCATGGTGGCACAGGGCACCTGTAATCCCAGCTACTAAGAAGGCTGAGGCAGGAGAATTACCTAAACCCTGGAGGTGGAGGTTGCAGTGAACTGAGATCGTGCCACTGCATTCCAACCTGGGCAACAAGAACGAGACTCTGTCAAAAAAAAAATTAAAAACCAAACCAAACCAGACAAACAAAAAGTAAATGGCTGCTTAAACAAGGAATTCCTAGGTTTGGGCTTCCAGCCTCCCTACAAAGTGACAACAGGCTGTCTTTTATCACCTAGGTCACCAAAGGGCTGTCTAGCAGTCTTAGCATCCAATACAAACTTCACTCTGCCTGGCATCCTCAATCTTCTGGGAAAGTTGAGAGAATGAATCAAACCCTTAAAAAGAACCTTGGCTACACTATGCCAAGAAGCCCAGAAATCATGGATTAAGTGCCTCCCTATTGCCTTACTAAGAATAAGATCCACCCCAAAGGGGAACTTAAAGCTCAGCCCTTTTAAAATGACCTATTGGAGCAGTCCTTTCTCAAGACAAACTTTCTAATAGATGAAGACTTAAATCAGGCTTTAAAATACATTATCAACTTGGGGAAAATTTAGCAGACAATATAATAATAAAATATTACCCCAGCTGGGTAAGATAGTTTGGGATCATTTCCCTATTAGGTGCACAGGTCATACTCAAGACATGGTGAGGGCCTGGCATGAATCATGCTCCCACTGTACCCTCTTCCTTTTTTTTTTTTTTAAACGGAGTCTCACTCTGTTGTCCAGGTTGGAGGGCAGTGGCACGATCTCGGCTCACTGCAACCTCCACCTCCTGGGTTCAAGGGATTCTCCTGCCTCAGCCTCCTAAGTAGCTGGGACTACAGGTGCATGCTACCATGCCTGGCTAATTTTTTGTATTTTAGAGATGGGGGTTTCACCGTGTTAGCCAGGATGGTCTTGATCTCCTGACCTTGTGATCCACCCGCCTCGGCCTCCCAAAGTGCTGGGATTACAGGCGTGAGCCGCCGCGCCCAGCCACTGTACCTTCTATCTCACTGTAACCTCTTCCTTTTAGTCTGGGTGCAGGGTACCTGGAGTCACAATAGCCCTAGGCATATAGTGGACCAGGTGAGGCAGGCCCTGGAAAGGCTAAAAACCTCCCTCAATTCTCTTGCTAATGTGGTGTTGGACAACTGCTAGGCCTTACCCTCCATAACTTGGGCCTTACCCTCCATAACTTGGTTCCTTCCTTTCTTAAGCCCTTATTAGCTATCTTTCTTCTTTTAATCTTTAAACCATGCTTCTTTAACCTGCTGGTAAAATTTGTGTCTTTCAGACTACAATAGTTTCATGTCAAGTTAATCATTGTGCAAGACTTCTAGGTTACTTATTAGCTGAACAGGAAGATGTTTGTACAGTCACCATACCTCCTGCTGCACTTGGATAAATACTACTGGGCGAGTAGAGGTTAACACCCAGGCAATTTACAATCAGGAAATTGGTTACACTCTTTTGATAAAGGAAGTCAACTTAGTGTACAATGCTGTCAGATGAACCTTACCCTTGTAAGGCTTGTAACTTGGTTCCTCCCTTTCTTAAGCCCTTATTGGCTATCTTTCTTCTTTTAATATTTAAAGTTTTTAATCTTTAAATTTTTAATTTTTAAACCATGCTTGTTTAACCTGCTGGTAAAATTCACGTCTTTCAGACTGTAATGCTTTCATGCCAAGTAAATGGTCTTGCCAGGCTTCCAGCCTGTTTCAGAGACCACTAGCCCAGAGCCGTATCAGCCCCTTCAGCAAGCCATAAGAAATTTCTACTCCTCCTGGAAATAGATGTAGAGACTATGTCCATGCTTAGCAGGAAGTAGTTCCAGAAGAGACCTTTGCTCCTTAAGAATAAGGAGAATGAGGACTGCGAAGGAGAACGCAGCAAGCCCAGGCGGCGGTGGAAAGGCTGGAGGACACACCTAAACATGTGGAATCCCAATGCCGGGCAGCCAGGGCCAAATCCATATCCCCCCAATATTGGGTGCCCTGGAGGTTCCAATCCTGCCCACCCACCACCTATTAATCCACCCTTTCCCCCAGGCCCCTGTCCTCCTCCCCCAGGAGCTCCCCATGGCAATCCAGCTTTCCCCCCAGGTGGGCCCCCTCATCCTGTGCCACAGCCAGGGTATCCAGGATGCCAACCGTTGGGTCCCTACCCTCCTCCATACCCACCGCCTGCCCCTGGAATCCCTCCTGTGAATCCCTTGGCTCCTGGCATGGTTGGACCAGCAGTGATAGTGGACAAGAAGATGCAGAAGAAAATGAAGAAAGCTCATAAAAAGATGCACAAGCACCAAAAGCACCACAAGTACCACAAGCATGACAAGCATTCCTCCTCTTCCTCCTCCTCTTCCAGCAGTGATTCTGACTGAATACAGGCCCTGGACCCTTCCCTCAAGTCCCACCAGTTCTGCTCTCCCATCAAGCTTCAGATGCCACGTTGTACTGGGGGAATGTAGCCCTTGTGCTCCCCACCCCCTACCTCCACCTGAGCCTCACCCTGCTGTTGAGCCCTGAGTGGCTAGGGGAAATAGGAAGAGGATTGCCATGGCCTGGCCATCTTGTTGCTGCTTGGAGAGATCATATAGCTAATGAATTAGGCAGGGGAGCTATTTTTTGAAGATGATGAACTAAATGTTGAAGACAAGTTTGAGATCTGTAAAATGTGATTTTTTACTTCCACTTATAATACTTGTGATTGGGGAGGTTTGTGGAAATTCAATTATGATGAAAAACCTCTATCTTTTTTGTAATGTTGGCATACTTGGGGGATTTAGTGGCAAATACATTCCCCAGCAGGCCTTTTGTTGGTTGCACTAACTGCAAGGTTGCTGGGAAGTAGAGTCCATTTGGTTGATGAGCTTTGACTGCGGTTTTGGAACCTTACCTCTCCTCCTTAGCCCAATATGCTGTCTCGGGTCCTATTCAAATAAAGTTATTTCTCCTGGTCTAAAAAAAAAAAAAAAAAAAAAAAGAATAAGGAGAATGAAATCTCTTGGCTGGGAGTGAGACAGCTGGCTGGCTTCCTATTTTGAGGTGGTTTAGTGAAAAAGAACAAAAGCCCCTTACTCAAGCTGTAGCTTGTCTGCAGCAGGATAATTAAGGAATCAGAGAGACCGTGGGGTTGAGGAGGAATTATTTAATTATTCAGGTGCACCGACCCAGTCAGATTAACATCCAAAGGACTGAGCCCTGAACAAAGAGTCAAGCTACCTTTTAAGCATTTCGTGGGGCTGGGGGAGATCTGTGCAGGGGGAAGCATATCACAGAAGTGAGAAACAAAGACAGTCATTCAATTGAGACATGCATTATATCATTTTTTTTTCAAGGAACAGCATGTTTTACGACTTGAGATTATCTGTCTAGTGATCTTACA
This sequence comes from Homo sapiens, assembly GCF_000001405.40. Taxonomy (NCBI): domain Eukaryota; kingdom Metazoa; phylum Chordata; class Mammalia; order Primates; family Hominidae; genus Homo; species Homo sapiens. Next base: position 217,373 of record NW_009646206.1, on the reverse strand, counting down.
GCTGCACAGCTAGAGAAACAGAGTCTTCACAATGCCTGGGAAAGGGAGAGATAAGGCTCACTAGCCATAGAAAAACAGGCAGTTAATTTTAAAGGACTCCAGCTCTTTCTCTTCCTCAGGGGGAATTGGGTTTTCTTACATACAACTAAGTTTTGCTTACACATTCTTTATTTCTTTTAATTCCTGTTCTATACCTAACCTCCAGCCAGTCAGCATCAGAGGCCCAAGAAGCTATTAACCACAAGTTCCTGCTTTAGGGGCTTAGGGACTTCCCCAGGAAGCCACAGGAACAGCTTAGGTTTCAACTTACAGTGATAATTTCCTTATTTCAATGCTAAAAATCATGCTCAGAGGTAGAGATTTAAAATGCCAATATTACATGCAATGTATGAAAAACCATGTTGAACCATTGTGCAGGCGCCAAGAAATCCCTTGTTAACACATGATGACAGGCACATCATGGCATCTGGACCCCTACAAGACAGATCGACTTGCTCCCTGTGGGGAGCAGCCTACCCTTTTCCTTTCACGGTGCTGACCTCCCTTCTGCACAAACGGAAACAAACTTTTTTTTTTTTTTCTCTTTAATACTGTGTCTGGTAATCTCACTTGATTTCTATCTTAGGAGACTACAACAAGCCAGGATGATGGTAACATCTCTGTCAAGATGACATAGATTTATTTTTCCTGGCTCCTCTCTGCTAAAAACCCTGGAATAACATAACAGACATTCTTAAGAGGACTCTGAAAGATAAAAAGAAGGAAAACTGACAAGGGCCTTAGAACTCGAGAAACATCTCAGTGGCCCAGCATCTCTCAATTTCCCACCCAACGACAGGACGTGGTCTAGATCCAGCATCTCCCCAGCCCCCTATCCAGCGGCAGAAAGCACCCAGGTAGGTGCTTTCCCCACCCTAGTGGATGGCAGAGATGAAGGAAGAGCCCTGCTGGCACCACGCAGCCCAGGGAAGTACTCTCCACCCTTTTGTGCCAGTGTCTCCTACTCCTAACGTAGCAGCACCAAGCAGGCCCCAAGAAAATGCTTTTAACCTCCATTGGTGGTACTAACAGGAATTGGGTATGAGCTCAACCAGCACCAGGCAAATGAAATAGACCGGAATAATAATGCAAGGGCTCTGAAAACTAAATTGTCATTGGAATCATAGCACACAAAAGTAGGCCAGGACCTGCATGCTAACCTAAAAACAGTGACTGCTAAAATGGAAGAGTTAAATAGGATCCAGGGTCTCCTCTCATAATACCAGAAATGTCCAGGATATAATTTAAAAATCATACATAATATGAACAACCAGAAAAATCACAACTTGAATGAGAAAAGCCAATCAACAATCTAACACTGAGATGAAAGATTTTAGAATTATCTGACAAAGATCTAAAGTAGCCATCATAAAAATGTTTCACCAAGCAAGTAGAAATTCCTTGCAAAGATGGGAAAGAAAAGAAAATCTCACCAAAGAAATGGAAAGTATGTTCTTAAAGAATCAAATGAAAATGATAAAACTGAAAAATACAATAACTAAAATAAAAACTCACTGGAAAGGCTCAAGAGCAGAGCAACTATGACAAAGGAAATAAGAAGTGAACTTGAAGATAGAACAATAAAAATTACCCAATCCAAAAAACAGAGAGACAATCAACTTTAAAAAAGAGAAACAGAAAATGACTAACAAGGGCTCAGAGAACCTGCAGGACAATTATAAAATAGCTAACATTTGTATTATCAGATTAACAGAAGGAGAAAAGAAAGTGGGGCTGAAAAATATTTGAAGAATAATGACCAAACCTTCCCAAATTTGGCAAAAGACATAAACCTACAGATGCAAGAAGCTAAACAGAATAAATCTGACGGATTCCATGCCAAAACACAGTATAACTAACTTATGAAAACAAAGGCAAACAATGAAACTATCTTGGAAGCAGCTAGAGAGGAATTATAAATTGTCTATAGGGAACACTGATCAAATGACAAAAAATTTCTTATCAAAAACCATGGAGAAGAAAGCCTGGAGCAATACTCTTCAAGTGCTGAAAGAAAATAACTATCTGCTGAGAATCTTTTTTTTTTTTTTTTTGAGACAGTCTCGCTCTGTCCTCCAGGCTGGAATGCAGTGGTGTGCTTTTGGCTCACTGCAACCTCCACCTCCCAGTGATTCTCCTGCCTCAGCCTCCCAAGTAGCTGGGACTACAGGCGCCCGCCACCATGCCCGGCTAATTTTTGTACTTTTATTAGAGACAGGGTTTCACCATGTTGGCCAGGCTGGTCTGGAACTCCTGACCTTGTGATCTGCCCGCCTCAGCACCCCAAAGTGCTGGGATTACAGGCGTGAGCCACTGTGCCCAGCCGAGAATCTTATATGCAGCAAAACTATCTACGGGGTATGAAGAAGAAATAAAAAGCTTTTAGATGAAGGAAGACTACAAGACTTTGCCGTCAGCAGAATTATTTTTAGAGAATGATTAAAGGAAGTTCTCCAAAGTCCAAATGATTACAGGAAAAGGCTCAGAACTTTAGAAAGGAAGGAAGAACAGCAGAATGGACAAAAATAGTGATAACTATAGCAGATTACCCTTCTCATGAGTTTTTAAAAATCGTAGTTGGTTGAAGCAAAAATTATAGTATTATCTGATGTCTATAGGAAGAGACAATACTTAAAATAGTTATATGTGTATACACACACACGCATATGTATAAGTGGGAGGGTAAAAGGATCTATATGGATGTAAAGTTTCAACACTTCAATCAAAGTGGTAAAATATTCATAAGTTGGATTATAATCAGTTACATATGTATATTGTAGTACTAGAGCAAGTGCTAAGAAAATTCTACAAATTATGTATTCGAAAATAATATGAATCAAAATGGAATGCTAAAAAATGCTCATGTAACTCACAGGAATGCAAGAAAAAATAAGAATGAGAAATGGAACAAATGGAAAATGAATATTAAAATGTTAATCTTAAGTCCAAACATATCAATAACTACTTTAAATGTAAATAGTCTATCTCCTTACATGAAATAAAAGGCCAGAGATTGGTAGAGTGGATTTAAAAAATGATCCAACTAGATACTGTCTCCAAAAAACTTTACTCCAAATATAACAACATAGGTAGGTTGAAAATAAAAGAATAGAAATATATATTAATTTTATTAATTTATGTTATTATAAATATAAATTTTAGGCTGGGTGCAGTGGCTCACCCCTGTAATCCCAGCACTTTGGGAGGCCAAGGCAGATAGATCACTTGAGGTCAGGAGTTCAAGACCAGCCTGGTCAACATGGTGAAACCCCGTATCTACCAAAAATACAAAAATTAGCCAGGCGTGGTCACAGGTGCCTGTAATCCCAGCTACTTGGGAGGCTGAAGCAGGAGAATTGCGTGAACCTGGGAGGCAGAGGCTGCAGTGAGCCGAGATCATGCCCTTGCACTCCAGCTTGGGCAACAGAGCGAGACTCTGTCTAAAAAATAAATAGATAAATAAATAAATAAATATATATATAATTTTAAATATAAATTTTTAAAAGGAAGGAAGTACTATATTAATACGAAAATACTTTCCTTCAGAGCGAAAAACATTGCTAAAAACAAAGGATCATTCTGCCAAGACATTGCAATCCTAAGGTATATGTACCAAACAACAGAGATTCAAGTACATGAAGCAAAAACTGATAGAGCTGAAAGGTGAAATAGACAAGTCCACAAATATAGTTGGAGAATTAAAAACGTCAGTCTCACCAAATTGATAGAACTACCAGGATAAAATATGTGAGAATATCAAAGAACTGAATAACAGCATCAATCAACAGGATCTAATTGATATTTATAGAATGCTCTATTCAACAATAGACAAATCCACAAATACATTTGGGAAATTCAAAGACTTGCTCTTGTTAGCAACAACAACAACAACAAAGAAGTAGTTCTTTCGTTTCATTGATTTTCTCATGTTCAGTTTTATTAATTTCTGCTCTTCATTATTTCCTTTCTTCTGCGTTGTGTTTGTTTTGGTCTTTTACTACTTTATTGTGTAAGAAGAGCTTAGAATATTGGTTTAAGAACTTTCCTCTTTCCTAATGTAAATATTTAATGCCATAAATTTCCCTTTAGCTATATCCCACATATTTTGAAATATCTTCTTTTCATTTTCATTTAATTCTATGTATTTTTGATACTTCCTCTTTGGCCCATGGATTATTTAGAAGTGAGTTGCTCAATATCCTTGTGAGTGGAGATTTTCCTGTTTTTCTGTTATTCATTTCAAGCTGATTCCATTATGGTCAGAGAACATCTCCTATAGAATTTCAATTATTATAGGCAGAGAGGAAGTGTGAATGTCAAATGTTAGAGGGAAGGAACTAGAGGCAAGTGGCAAATAATGGGTCATTGGAGAGTTTAACAAAACGTTCAGTGCTTATGGAAGTCGGATTGTGGGATCCAGAGCGTAAAGGAATTAAGTTAGAAATTGCCCGCAAGCCTGAATTTAGCTGGAGAGAGTAAATTCTCTTCCACTGTGCTCCAGTCTATAAAGCCAAGACTAGTCAGAGGGGCCCAGGGGTCTGGGATGGTATAGCCAGTGCCCATGCTGCAAGGAGACGGAAGCAGATAAGCAGGAAGAGGCCGAAAGGCTCAGGTACACAAATACCCTTGTTTGGGCTCAGAGCAAGGCTGCCAGTGGAGGGATGGATGCGATTTCTCTGACCATAAGGAAGTGTCCCCAGAGTTTATTTCCCGGGTCACCAAAGGGTTTCCTGAGAATTGATATAATACAGGGTAAAGCACAGGGGTGTACACACACACATACACACACACACACACACACACCCACACACACACCCACACACACACCACTTGGGCCTTAAAAGGAGTGAGAAAGAAGACCCAAGGGGATTGGCACATACAGAGTATTAATTTGTGAGATCTCCCACCACAACCACCCCATTTCTGGGGACTCTGGCTGTGGAGAGCGATGATGAATTTTGAAGGCAGGAAGCTTCTTTCTGTGATCAACCAGGGGAAACCCCAAGGCTTAGAGAGAATTGAGGGCCAGAAACACCCATGAAACTCACCCTGATTCTTTCCCTTCACCTCCCATTTGTCTCTGAGTGCCTCTAATTACAAGAGGCATATGGCACACAGAGGATTTTATTTTCTTTTTTCTTTTTCTCCCCAGGCCAGAATGCAGTGGCATGATCACGGCTCGCTGCAGCCTCAGACTCCTAGGATCAAGCAATCCTCCCACCTTAGCCTCCTGAATGGTGGAGACTACAGGTGCATGCCACCACACTCGGTTTATTTTTATATTTTTTGTAGAGAAAGGGTCTCACTATGTTGCCCAGGCTGGTCTTGACCTTGTGGCCTCAAGTGATCCTCCTGCCTCAGCCTCCCAAGTAGCTGGGACTACAAGCGTGCACCACCGTGCCTGGCTAATTTTTGTATTTTTTTGTAGATACAGGGTCTCACTATGTTGGTCTTGAACCAGGCTGGTCTCAAACTCATGGCCTTAAGCAATCCTCCTGCCTCAGCCTCCCAAAATGCTGGAATTATAAGCTGAGCCACTGCGCCTGGCCTCAGACAGAGAATTTTCACATCTTGGTTTGCAATTGCTGTTTCCTCCTAGGAATCCCGACGTCTCCTCCTCCGAGTCCTTCTCTGTCTCAGGGACCCAGCAGCCCCTTCCACCAACTTTTAGACCCCTCAGGGACCCAGGCATCCTTTTCCCAAAGCTTCCACTTCCTGTGGGTCCCCTGCCCCTGCTTGTTTCTTGTTATCTCTGGCTTTTAGCCAGTCTCCTATTTACTCACCTCATTCTCCTGGTTGACTTTATGTCCCAGTCAACTCTTAGCCTTTATCTTTCCCTCCAGGAACGTTTCTTGGGTGGGCGTGGGGATTGGTTGGAGCTCCAGGGAGAGAGAAGCCCCCCACCCGCTCTGGCCTCCCAGAGGCCCAGGCTGCTGTGATAAGAGAGGAGGAGCCCCAGGGGCAGCAGCTGCTAGGGTGTTGGTCCAAGAGAGCACCCAGGCTTTGCAGCTGCTGGTCCCAGGGGAGACTCCCCCAGCAAACAATGAGATCCTGAGTCAGGGAGAAGGCAGGCAGGGCATGGGTCAGGCCAGCCCCTCAGAGGAGCTGACTCCAGCTGAGAAAGCCCAACTTTCAGCTCATTCTTCTGCTCCTTGTGTGCAACCTAGACCTCCACCTCCCATCTCAGGCAAATTCTGGGGTGATGGAGAGGCACAGAGTCCCCTAAACCTGTTCAGCTAGCCCCTGCTAAGAGCAAACCCTCCCTACACACAAAAAAACTCCAAAACCAACAGGTCCTGGCTCTTCCTCAGTCCTCACAGGCTGGGGAGTCCCTGGCCACCTATATCCTGTTTCCAGCACCACTGAGGAGCAGGTGTCTGGGATCAGAAGTAGAATCTGGGTGTCTGTGTGGAACCAGGAAACAGAGGCCATTGTCCCTTCTTCACACACCGCCTCAGTCCCAGTGCCCACCTGCAGCCTGGCCTGCGCCCACACCAGAGGAGGCTGCCCCCCAGCTCTACAGTCCTTGAGAATTTTTTTACATCTCTGGGACGTAAAGATGCCCAGAGAGGCTGGTTTTGGTGTTCCCATTTTGCAGATGAGAAACCGCAGACGCCCCACTGGGCTGCGGTGGAGGTCTTGTGTCCCACTCCATAGCCTCAGACTCCTGCCCATCCCAGACACCTGCCCCTAGTGGTGTCTGGAAGCAGGATGTGGGTGGCTAGGGACTCCCCAGCCTGTGGGGACTGAGAAGGAACCAGGACCCGGATATGGGTCCCTCACTGTTGTTCCTGGCAGGAGCCAAAGGAAGGAACCTAGCCACTAAGCCAGCAAATATGACCACATGCCACCTCCCACCCTCACTGCCCACACCCCCACCCTACCCCACCTCCACCCAGGGACCCAGGTGCTCATCTGCCTGCTCCCCAGCTGTCTCCCTCAGGGACCCCACCCTTCCAGGACCAAACTCTCCAGAAGGCTTCCAGGGAATGGCCACCAGCTGTCCTCACTCCCTTCTTGGAACCCAGGCATCCAGAATCACTGTCCCTCCTTCCCAGGCCTTCACAGTTTCCCATTTCATCTGGCCATGAGGATGGCAGCCTCCTCCAGGAAGTTGGCATCATCTGCCTGGCACGTGGCCCAGGGTGTGGCCCAGAAACTCCACTATATAGCCCTGCCACAGGGCTGGCCCTGCAGCTCCAGGGACCTGCAGGTGAGAAGGGCTGGGGTCCCCTTTGGAAGTGGGACAGCAGGTCCCCTACTCTTGCCCCTGACTGTAGGCCTCCTCATCCTACCCCTAGACCCACAAGACAGCCAACTCTCCACCCCGTCCCTGGCTTCTGCCCTCCCCAACCCACCTCCAGACCCGCTGGACAGCCAGCCTCCCCTATACACACACACTGGTCCTTGGATCCATACCCCCTGGCCCAATCTGCCCGACTTCTTTCCCCACCTCAGCCTTCATGGTCCCAGGTGGCCCTTGTCATGAGAGTGGGCCCTTCTGCCCAGGACAGTCTCCAGCAGAGGCGGTGGATCAGCCTTCTATGATCCTTTCTCTTTTCCTACTGCAGCCATGGGTGCCCTATGGAGCTGGTGGATACTCTGGGCTGGAGCAACCCTCCTGTGGGGTAAGTCAGACCAAGACCCTCTCCATGTCCTTGTTCCAATCTGGGGAACTCTGCGTGGGTCCACGCCTTCCATGTGTGCCTCCTCCACATGTCACCCCAGGCTAGCTGAGACAGGAGAGAGGCCCTTAGGCTCTGCAGGGGGATGTGGTAGAATTCACCAATTCTCACCCTTTTCTGGATGGGAGCACAGGCAAAAACCTTAGTCCCCAAACTCAAGTGTGCAAGAACTTTCTTGGTTTTCTGCAACTCAACTAAGGTTTTGACTCTGAGCCTCATTCTGCTAAGTTGATGGAAAATTTCACGAAAGTCATTCTTGGAGGGTGTTGTCCCCACTTCTCCCAGGGATGTGTCCAGAACTAAAATTTTGGATAAAGCCAAAGTACTGGGGGGAGGATGGGATATGAGGACCCTCTCGTCACCAGTCAGCATCCATCTAGGTTACTTTTGAAATGTCCATTGTTCCTGATCCCCTGGCCCCCTGGGATATCCTTCAAAGCCCCCTTTATATGGAAGGTGGTCATTCCATAGCCCCCACACTCTCTTCAAGATTCCTTAGACCTCTCTCTCCTCAGCCCCAGGGACGCTCTTCCTAGTTGGGGGTGGTCAGAAGCCCCCACTGCCATCTATTTCTAGGAGACAATTCATTCACCCTTCCATAATCCCCTTCTTCTCTTTATCCCCTTTTCACAAACCCCCAAGTCCCATTATTATTATTATTATTATTATTATTATTATTATTATTTGAGATGGAGTTTCACTCTTGTTGCCTAGACTGGAGTGCAATGGTGTGATCTCAGCTAATTGCAACCTCCACCTCCTGGGTTCAAGCGATTCTCCTGCCTCAGCCTCCCTAGTAGCTGGGATTACAGGCGCCCCATGCCACCATGTCCGGCTAATTTTGCATTTTTAGTAGAGATGGAATTTCACCACGTTGGTCAGTCTGCTCATGAACTCCCGACCTCAAGTGATCCACCCGCGTTGGCTTCCCAAAGTGCTGGGATTACAGGCAAGAGCCACCGCGCCTGGCCCCCACAAGTCCTATTAAGACAAAAACCAGCTGGGTACAGTTGGTCACGTCTGTAATCCCAGCACTTCGGGAGGCTGATGCAGGAGGATCACTTGAGCCCAGGAGTTCAAGACCAGCTTGGGCAACAAAGTGAGACCCTGCCTCTAGAAAAAAATTAAAAAATGAGCCAGGCACACAGTGCGTGCCTGTGGTCCCAGCTATACCAGAAGCTGAGACAGGAGGATCCCTTGAGCCCAGGAGGTTGAGGCTGCAGTGTGTTGTGTTTAAGCCACTGCACTCCAGTTTGTAAAAAGATGGAAATCATACACTGGCAGCAGAGTACATCCACCTTGAGCCCCAAAGTGCTTAAAACAATTGTGGGTTGGAGATTTCACATGAAAATTCAGATAGCCACATTCTCTTTAAAAACAGAAAGAACGGCCAGGCGTGGTGGCTTACGCCTGTAATCCCAGCACTTTGGGAGACCGAGGCAGGTGGATCACCTGAGGTCAGGAATTTGAGACCAGCCTGGCCAACAGGGTGAAACCCCATCTCTACTAAAAATACAGAAATTAGCTGGGCGTGGAAACCGGGAGGCAGAGGTTGCAGTGACCCAGGATCGCGCCACTGCACTCCAGCCTGGGTAACAGAGTGAGACTCCATTTCAAAAGAAAAAAAAGAAAAAATACAAAAGTTAACTGTGCCTGGTGGCGCACACCTGTAGTCCCAGTACTCGGGAGGCTGAGGTGGTAGAATCACTCGAACCTGAGAGGCAGAGGTTGTGGTGAGCCGAGATCGTGCCACTGCACTCCAGCCTGGGTGACAGAGCGAGACTCCATCTCAGAAGAAAAAAAAAAAGAAAAACAGGAAGGTCTTACAATTTAAAAAAGCTCACATTCTTTCATTATAACAGGTGAAAGCTAGTACCAACAATCCACTTTTTTTTTTTTTACTAGTTTATATATTTTTAAAATTTTTAATTTTTATGGGTTTGCATTTATGGGGTACCTGTGATATTTTGATACAGGCATACAGTGTGTAATGATAAAATCAGGGTAACTAGGGCATCCCTCACTTCAAGCATTTGTCATTTCTTTGTGTTAGGAACATTCCAATTCCACTCTCAGTTATTTTAAAATATACCATAAATTATCGTCAACAATAGTCATCCTGTTCTGCTACCAAATACTAGATTTTATCTATTTTATCTAACTGTTTAACTGTATTTTTGTACCCATTAACCATATCTACTTATCCCCCAGTCCCCGCTACACTTTCCAGCCTGTGGTAATCATCGTAACCATCATTTTACTCTCTATTTCTATGAGTTCATCAGTTAAAAATTTTAAATTCCCATCTATGAGTGAGAACATGTGAAATTTGTCTTTCTATACTGGCTTATTTCACTTAACATCATGTCCTCCAGTTCCATCCATGTTGTTGCAAATGACAGGATCTCATTCCTTTTTTTTTTTTTTTTTTGAGACCGAGTCTCACTCTGTTGCCCAGGCTGGAGTACAGTGGCGCGATCTTGGCTCACTGCAACCTCCGCCTCCCAGGTTCAAGTGATTCTCGTGCCTCAGCCTCCCGAGTAGCTGGGATTACAGGTACATGCCACCATTCCTGGCTAATTTTTGTAGTTTTGGTAGAGACAGGGTTTCACCATGTTGGCCAGGCTCGTCTTGAACTCCTGACCTCAAGTGATCCACCTGCCTTGGCCTCCCAAAGTGCTGGGATTATAGGTGTGAGCCACTGTGCCGGGTGATCTCATTCTTTTTTATGGTGGATAATTCTCCATTGTTTGTATGTACCAAATTTCCTTTATCCACTCATCTGTTGATGGACACTTAGGTTGATTCCGTATCTTGGCTATTAGGAATAGTGCTGCAATAAACATGGGAGAGCAGATGTCTCTTACATATACTGACTTCCTGACTTGGAAGGAAAGGAATTGCTGGATCATACAGTAGTTCTAGTTTTAGTTTTCTGAGAAACCTTCATATTATTATCGATAGTGATTGTACTGATTTACATTCCCACCAACAGGGTAACAGGGTTCCCTTTTCTCCACATGCTCAGCAGCATTCATTACTGCCTTTCATTAGGATAAAAGCCATTTTAACTCGAGTGAGATGATATCTCACTGTGGTTTTAATTTGTGTTTCTCTGATGATTAGTGATGTTGAGCATTTTTTGATATACCTGCTGGCCATGTGTATGTCTTCTTTGAGAAATGTCTATTCAGATCTTTTGCCCATTTTAAAATCAGATTAATCCGGGCGTGGTGGCTCACGTCTCTAATCCCAGCACTTTGGGAGGCCGAGGCAGGCGGATCACTTGAGGTCAGGAGTTCGAGACCAACCTGGCCAGCATGGGGAAACCCTGTCTCTACTAAAAGTACAAAAATTAGCCGAGCATGGTGGCGCATGCCTGTAATCCCAGCTACTTGGAAGGCTGAGGCAAGAGAATCACTTGAACCCAGGAGGCGGAGGTTGCAGTTAGCTGAGATCGTGCCACTGCAGTCCGGCCTGGGGTGACAGAGTAAGACCCCATCTCAAACACACACACATACACACACACACACACACACACACACACACAAATCAGATTATTTGATTTTTTTCCTATTGAGTTGTTTGAGCTCCTTTTATATTCTGGTTATTAATCCCTTGTCAGTACCATCTAGAAATGCTACTGATTTTTGTATGTTGATTTTGTATCCTGCAAATTTAGTGAATTTGTTTATCAGTTCTAATAGCTTTTTGATGGCGTCTTTAGGTTTTTTTTAAATATCAGATTATATCATCTGCAAACAAGGATAATTTGACTTCTTTTTTTTTTTTTTCCAGTTTGGATGCCTTTATTTCTTTCTCTTGTCTAATTGCTTTAGCTAAGATGGGTTGTATATATTTTCTCTTATTCTGTCAGTTGTGTCTTCACTTTGTGGATTGTTTCCTTTGCTGAGCAGAAGCTTTTTAGGTTGATGTGATCCCATTTGTCCATTTTTCTTTGGTTGCCTGTGCTTTTGATGTATTACTTAATAAATTTTTGCCCAGACTAATGAACTGGAGAGTTTCCCAAATGTCTTCTTGTAGTAGTTTCGTAGTCTGAGGTCTTAGATTTAAGTCTTTAATCCATTCTGATTTGATTTTTGTATGTGGTGAGAGATAGGGGTCTAGTTTCACTCTTTGCATATGGATATCCAGTTTTCCCAGTACCATTTATCTTCAATAAATGCAATGTATGTTCTTGGGATCTTTGTCAAAAATGAATTCACTGTAGGTGGGTGGATTTGTTTCTGGGTTCTATGTTCTGTTCCACTGGTCCATGTGTTTGTTTTTATGCCAGTACCACACTGTTTTGGTTATTATAGTTTTGTAGTATAATGTGAAGTCAGGTAATGTGATTCCTCCAGTTTTGTTCTTTATGCTCAGGATGGCGTTAGCTATTCTGGGTATTTTGTGTTTCCACACAAATTTTGGGATTAGTCTTCTATTTCTGTGAAGAATGTCACTGGTATTTTTATAGAGATTGCATTGAATCGGTAGATTGCTTTGGTTAGTATGGACATTTTAACAATATTGTGTCTTCCAATCCATGAACATGGAATATCTTTCCATTTTTTTTGGTGTGTGTCCTCCTCCATTTCTTTCATTACTGTTTTATAGTTTTCATTGTAGAGATCTTTCATTTCTTTCGTTTATTCCTAGGTGTTTTATTTTATTTGTGGCTATTGTAAATGGGATTACTTTCCTTTTTTTTTTTCAGATTGTTTGCTGTAAGCATATAGAAATGCTACTGATTTTTGTATGTTGATTTTGTATCCTGCAAGTTTAGTGAATTTGTTTATCAGTTCTAATAGCTTCTTGATGAAGTCTTTAGGTTTTCTGTTTTTTTTGTTTTGTTTTTTGTTTTTTGTTTTTTGAGATGGAGTTTTGCTCTCGTTGCCCAGGCTGGAGTGCAATGGTGCCATCTCAGCTCGGTGCCATCTCAGCTCACTACCATCTCTGCCTCCCAGGTTCAAGCGATTCTCCTGCCTCAACCTCCCGAGTAGCTGGGATTACAGGTGTCTGCCACCATGCCAGGCTAATTATTTTTTTGTATTTTTAATAGAGACAGGTTTTACCACGTTGGTCAGGATGGTCTCAATCTCTTGACCTCTTCATCTGTGCAGCTCAGCCTCCCAAAGTGGTGGGATTACAGGCTTGAGCCACTGCACCCAGCCAAAGTTGTTTTTTTTTTTGAGACAGAGTCTTGCTCTGTCATCCAGGCTGGAGTGTGGTGGTGTGATCTTGGCTCACTGCAACCTCCACCTCCTGGGTTCAAGAGATTCTCTTGCCCCAGCCTCCCGAGTAGCTGGGACTACAGGCATGTGCAACTATACCCAGCTAATGTTTGGTTTTTTTTTAGTAGAGATTGGGTTTCGCCATGTTGGCCAGGCTGGTCTTGAACTCCTGACCTCAGGTGATCCACCCACCTCGGCCTCCTAAAGTGCTGGGATTATAGGCGTGAGCTACCAAGCCCAGCTGTCTTCAGGTTTTTCTAAATATAAGATTATATCATCTGCAAACAAAGATAATTTGAATGCCCTTTTTCCAGTTTGGATGCCCTTTATTTTTTTCTATTGTCTAAGTGGTTTAGCTAGGACTAACAATAATATGTTGAAGAATAGTGGTGAAAGTGGACATCCTTGCTGTGTTCCAGATCTTAGAGCAAAGGCTTTCAGTTTTTCCCCATTCAGTATGATACCAGCTGTGGGTCTGTTGTACATGGATTTCATCATGTTGGGGTGTGTTCCTTCCGTGTCTACTTTCTTGAGAGTTTTTATCACGAAAGGATGTTAAATTTTATCAAATGCTTTTCTGGCATCAATTGAAGTGATCACATAGTTTTTGTCCTTTATTCTGTTGATAAGATGTATCACACTGATGGATTTGCATAAGCAACAACCCACTTTAGATGGTATAGGAGTGCTTCAGTTCCACAGTCGCCCCTCCGGGACTGTTTCACACATTTATATTTCTTGCCTGGCCCCATCAGCATTGGAGTTTGAGGGCCCTGTCTAAGGTGTTTAGATTTTTGAAAAACAAAAGCCAGGAAGGCTTGTAGACGAAAGCTGCATGAATCAGAAGAAAGGAAAGAGAAGGGTGGTGGGGGAAAGCCCAAGTTAATACTTCAACATGTTTCTGGGTGCAGAGCAAAAGTGGGGAGGATTGGATAAGTGGACCCACAACTGTATTTTCTCAACCAGGATTGACCCAGGAGGCTTCAGTGGACCTCAAGAACACTGGCAGAGAGGAATTCCTCACAGCCTTCCTGCAGAACTATCAGCTGGCCTACAGCAAGGCCTACCCCCGCCTCCTTATCTCCAGTCTGTCAGAGAGCCCCGCTTCAGTCTCCATCCTCAGCCAGGCAGACAACACCTCAAAGAAGGTCACAGTGAGGCCCGGGGAGTCGGTCATGGTCAACATCAGTGCCAAGGCTGAGATGATAGGCAGCAAGATCTTCCAGCATGCGGTGGTGATCCATTCTGACTATGCCATCTCTGTGCAGGCACTAAATGCCAAGCCTGACACAGCGGAGCTGACACTGCTGCGGCCCATCCAGGCCCTAGGCACCGAGTATTTTGTGCTCACACCCCCCGGCACCTCAGCCAGGAATGTCAAGGAGTTTGCCGTGGTGGCCGGTGCCGCAGGTGCCTCGGTCAGTGTCACGCTGAAGGGGTCAGTGACATTCAATGGCAAGTTCTATCCAGCAGGCGATGTCCTAAGAGTGACTCTACAGCCCTACAATGTGGCCCAGCTACAGAGCTCAGTGGATCTCTCGGGGTCAAAGGTCACAGCTAGTAGCCCCGTGGCTGTCCTCTCTGGCCACAGCTGTGCGCAGAAACATACGACCTGCAACCATGTGGTTGAGCAGCTGCTACCCACGTCTGCCTGGGGCACCCACTATGTAGTACCCACGCTGGCCTCCCAATCTCGCTATGATTTGGCCTTCGTTGTGGCCAGCCAGGCCACAAAGCTGACCTACAACCATGGGGGTATCACTGGCTCCCGTGGGCTCCAGGCAGGTGATGTGGTAGAGTTTGAGGTCCGGCCATCCTGGCCACTCTACCTGTCTGCAAATGTGGGCATCCAGGTCCTGTTGTTTGGCACAGGTGCCATAAGGAATGAAGTGACTTATGACCCCTACCTGGTCCTGATCCCAGATGTGGCGGCCTACTGCCCAGCCTATGTGGTCAAGAGTGTACCAGGCTGTGAGGGCGTGGCCCTGGTAGTGGCACAGACGAAGGCTATCAGCGGGCTGACCATAGATGGGCATGCAGTGGGGGCCAAGCTCACCTGGGAGGCTGTGCCAGGCAGTGAGTTCTCGTATGCTGAAGTGGAGCTCGGCACAGCTGACATGATCCACACGGCCGAGGCCACCACCAACTTGGGACTGCTCACCTTCGGGCTGGCCAAGGCTATAGGCTACGCAACAGCTGCTGATTGCGGCCGGAGTAAGTAATGGAAATGTCCCCTGGTCCTGTCCACCTGGTGACCGCTTTTCCACCCACCTACTCCTCTGTGGCTTTCGGGATCCTGATTGTCCTCCCCTCACTTCTCTTCTCCGCGACATCCTTCCTCAAGTCTTCTCAGCCCCTCCCATCCGCCCAGAAACAATATTCTAAATATTTAGCAACCAGGGAGAGCTGGGGCACTACCAGTCAGAAGAGACAGCAGCCAAAGCACTGTGACAGGGTCCTGAAGCCCCCATCATGCTGGCATCAGCCCCTGTCTGTTGGTTTGTTCTGGAAAGGGCCCTAGGGGAGAGCCAGGGTGCTGAGAAGGAGGGATCTTTGGGGTTGTGGGGGACAGTCAGGTCAGCAGCTTCTCACCAACCAGTTTGGAAATATTTTGATATTTTAGCAACTGACATAGCCACACCAGTTGCTAAGCCACTCTCCACACCTCATGTAGGAATGTTGATACCCAAACTTAGGAGATCTAAATGTATGATAATAAGATGACTACGCGTTGGGGAGGGGAGTATCTTGCAATCTTTCTAGGTGTTTCACGTGTTTTTGACACAGTTAATGTATATGACCTGGCAGTTTGTGTGACCTCAGGCTCAGCCCATGAGACGCTGTCAGTGTAGTGCAGGGTCCCAGGGTTCAAATCCCAGCTCTGCTGTGTGATCTTGGACAAGTGACTTCATCTCTCTGGGCTTCAGTTTCCACATCTGTAAAATGGGGATAACTGTTTCTCCCTCAAAACTTTGTTTTAGAGACAGGGTGTCACTCTGTCACTCGGGCTGGAGTGCGGTGGTGTGATCACAGCTCACCGTAGCCTCGAACTCTTGGACTAAAGCAATCCTCCCTCAGCCTCCCAAGTAGCTGAGACTATAGGCATGCACCACCACACCCAGCTAATTTTTAATTTATATTTTGTAGAGATAGGGTCTTTCCATGTTGCCCAGGCTGGTCTCAAATTCCTGGGCTCAAGCGATCCTCCTGCCTCAGCCTCTCAAAGGGCTGGAATTACAGGCCTGAGCCACCACACCCAGCTGCAAAAACTTTTGAGGACTGGGAGGCAGATGGAGGAAAGCTGTTTCTTCCCATGTAGTCCCTGCCACGCTAAGACTCTGGCATTCCTGGACCTGGCAAAAATGCCCCTCCCCTCCCCTCCAAGGCATGGAAGCCACCCAACTTCAAGGAGCCACTTTGGGCTTGAGAAATAGAATGAGGGAGCGGTGGGTGATTAATTATAATGGGTAACACTCCACTTAACACGTAGGTTCAGTTCTAAAGCTTTCTCGAGTTTTAGCTTATTTAATCCTAACACCCCCCACCAAGATCCCTACGAAGGAGGTATTATTATCACCCCCATGTTACAAATGAGGAAACTGAGGCAGAGGGAGTTTAAAACCACTTGCCCAGTGTCTCAGAGCCAGTTGGTTGAGCCAGGATTCCTACCTAGGCGGCCTGACTCCATAGTCCTTTTCATCCTGCTGAAGGCTGTCTTCCATTTTCTGTCCTTAAAAAAATCCCTTAGCTCTTTTTGACCCTGGAGGGAAGGTAGGGAAGAGGGGAAAAGGGGGAGAGAAAAACACAAATTAACATTTTAATGACCGTTTCTGCCTTTTCTTATTTACTGCCTTCCCTTCTTCTAGGCTGCCCTGTGTTAAACTGGAGAATCAGAAAACATGGGGCTCTCAGAGAGGCCTGAGCAACTCTCTCCCTGTGGGGTTCCAGACCTCGGTTTCCCCACCTTTAAAATGGGCAAAAATGGGCAAAAATGGGCAGTTGTGAGCGAATTGCTCAAGCTTCCCCGGCAAGGTGGGCTCCAGGATGCCTCCCTCTGAGGCCTGAGGCGGTTTCTTCCTTCTTCCTTCTTCTTCCCTCCTCCTCCTCCTCCTCTTCCTCCTCCTCCCCCTTCCCTCTTCTTCTTCTTCTTCTTCTTCTTCTTCTTCTTCTTCTTCTTTCTTCTTTCTTCTTCTTCTTCCTCTTCTTTCTTCTTTTTTTCTTTGTGAGACAGAGTCTCACTTTGTCACCCAGGCTGGAGTGCAGTGGTGCCATCTCAGCTCACTGCAACCTTCGCCTCCTGGGGTCAAGAGACTCTCCTGCCTCAGCCTCCCAAGTAGCTGGGATTACAGGCATGTGCCACCATGCTCTGCTAATTTTTGTGTTTTTAATGGAGATGGGGTTTCACTATGTTGGGCAGGCTGGTCTCGAACTCCTGACCTCAAGTGATCCGCCCCCCTCACCTTGGCCTCCCAATGTGCTGGGATTACAACCCCGCGGACACTTCTGATTCTCTCTTTTCACCGTTCCCTTCCCTCCCCAGCTGTACTGTCCCCAGTGGAGCCCTCCTGCGAAGGCATGCAGTGCGCAGCCGGGCAGCGCTGCCAGGTGGTAGGCGGGAAGGCCGGGTGTGTGGCGGAGTCCACCGCTGTCTGCCGCGCCCAGGGCGACCCCCATTACACCACCTTCGACGGCCGTCGCTACGACATGATGGGCACCTGTTCGTACACGATGGTGGAGCTGTGCAGCGAGGACGACACCCTGCCCGCCTTCAGCGTGGAGGCCAAGAACGAGCACCGGGGCAGCCGCCGCGTCTCCTACGTGGGCCTCGTCACTGTGCGCGCCTACAGCCACTCTGTGTCGCTGACCCGCGGTGAAGTTGGCTTCGTCCTGGTGAGTACCTGGGGGCTTTGGGGGGTTAACATCCATGAGCTGCGGGTCCGAAGGCGGAGGCAAAGCCCAATGGCCGACCTCAAACCAGGGTGCAGGGAAGTGGGCCATGGAGTTGGAGGGTGGGGAGGCGGATTTGAAAATCAGTAGCAGGACCTTAGAACCCTGCCCTCCAGCCATCCCACGTCTAGAAATTTAAAGGATATTCAGAGACAGAGACTGGGGGGTAACATGCCAACATGGTTTATAATAGCATAAAACAAAAACAAACAAACAAAAAATTATCCAGCAATGGGGGATTTACGTTGACCAAATAACTAAATTTAATGAGCACCTGCTATGCACCAGATATGTTTCTTAGCACTTTTCTCATCTTAACGAATTTAATGCTCACAAACTCAGTGCAGGAGGCATTATTATTATGAACATGTTCAGATTGGGAAACTGAGGTTGAGATAGGCTAGTGACTTCCCCAGGGCTCAGAGCTAGTAAGAGGTGGAGCTAAGGGCACAGGCATGCTGGCTCTGGAGTCCTTGTTCTTAATCCCTCAGCTGTCCTGACTCTGGTAAATGCATTTCTATTCAGTTCATATGAATAACAGCAGCCTAGAGCAATTACTTCCTTTTTCTCGCCATGTTATTATGAAAATATTAAAATGTCCAAAGTTGAAATTCTTATACAGTGAATGCTCATATGCCAATCGCCTAGAGTTTTCTTTCTTTCTTTCTTTCTTTTTTTTTTTTTTTTTTGAGATAGAGTCTTGCTGTGTCACCCAGGATGGAGTGCAGCGGCAGGATCAGGTTCAAGCGATTCTCCTGCCTCAGCCTCCCGAGTAGCTGGGATGACAGGCATGTGCCGCCATGCCCAGCTAATTTTTGTATTTTTGTAGAGAGGGGTTTCACCATGTTGGCCAGGCTGGTCTGGAACTCCTGGCCTCAACTGATCGGCCTGCCTCAGCCTCCCAAAGTGCTGAGATTACAGGTGCCAATCATCTAGATTCTAAACACTGTACTCTTCTTGATTGATCACACACTGATCCATCGGTTCATCCCTCTGTCCATTCCACAATCTCTCTTATTTTTTATGCACTTCAAAGTTCCAGACATGAGTACATATCACCCAAAAGACTTCACCATGTCATTAACTAGAATATAATATTTTCACACTTCTTTTGGCTGATTTTGGAGGTGAAATTTATATATAACAAAAATCACAAATCTTAACTGTATAGTTCACCTTTGGCAAATGTGTAACCAAATTGCCCATTAAGATACAGAATATTTTTATCACCTGGGAAAATTCCCTCATGTGCCTTACCAAACAGTCCCCAACCTACTCCTGGAGATGATCACAATTCTGATTTTTTTTTTCCAGCATAGATTAGTTTTGCCTGTTCAATAACTTCAGGGCCAGGCGCAGTGGCTCATGCCTATAATCCCAGCACTTTGGGAGGCCTAGGTGGGTGGATCACTTGAGGTCAGGAGTTAGAGACCAGCCTGGTCAACATGGTGAAACCCCATCTTTAGTAAGAGTACAAAAATTAGCTGGGCGTGGTGGCGCATGCCTGTAATTCCAGCTACACGGGAGGCTGAGGCAGGAGAATCGCTTGAACCTAGGAGGCAGAGGTTGTAGTGAGCCAAGATTGCACCACTGCACTCCAGCCTGGGTGACAGAGTAAGACTCTGTCTCAAAAAAAAAAATAAATAAATAAAATATATATATATATAGAGAGAGAGAGTATATATGTGTATATATATATATATACATATATACACACACATATATACATGTATATGTGTATATATATGTTGTGTTCTCTACTTTGCTTTTTGCATTTAGCAATACATTCTGAAACAGTTTCTCTATCAACAGTTTCTCTATCAGCCTCTATTTTTTTTTAACATCTGCACAATTCTTTATATGGATATGAACACCATGGTTCATTCAACCAGTCCCCTGTGGATGGACACATTGTTCACTATTACAAACAATACTGCAATGAATATTTTTTTGATTTTTTTTTTTTTGAGACAAGGTCTTGCCCTGTTGCCCAGGCTGAAGTGCAGTGGTGTGATTATAGCTCACTTCAACCTCAAACTCCTGGGCTCAAGCAATCCTCCAGCCTTGGCCTTCCAAGTAGCTGGGACTACAGTCTCATGCCACTATACTGGGCTAAGTATTTTTATTTTTAGTAGAGATAAGGTCTTGCTATGTTGCCCAGGCTAGTCTCGAACTCCTGGTCTCAAGTGATCCTCCCACCTTGGCCTCCCAAAGTTCTGGGATTAGAGGCGTAAGCCCCTGTATCTGACCTGAAATAAATATTCTTGTACCTCCCTGATTTTGTGAGTGTGCAGGTAGATCTCTGCGATTAATAATCAGTTGGTGAAAGGAGGTGTTCTTCAGCCCTGGAGGGGTTGAGCACAAGTTCAGGCGGACTTCAGATCCCTTGAAATTATATACAGAATTTTATACCTCTCTCTGAAAACTACTTTTTATTTTTTTTGAGACGGAGTCTCGCTCTGTTGCCCAGGCTGGAGTACAGTGACGTGATCTCGGCTCACTGCAACCTCCGCCTCCTGGGTTCAAACGATTCTCCTGCCTCAGCTTCCCGAGTAGCTGGGACTACAGGCACATGCCACCACGCCCGGCTAATTTTTTGTATTTTTAGTAGAGCTGGGGTTTCATTGTGTTAGCCAGGATGGTCTTGATCTCCTGACCTTGTGATCCGCCCAACTCGGCTTCCCAAAGTGTTGGGATTACAGGCATGAGCCACCGCACCCGGCCTTTCATTTTTTTTTCCGTCAGATCCTCACAGAGGTCAGTGACTTGACAAAGGTGCAGAGCTACTGTCAGAATCATAGTAGGATACTCACAAGACATTGTTAGGAGAGGAGTTAATGAAATAGTGACTTCAGCATGGTCTTTTTTTTTTTAAGTGTAAATATATCTAAAGGTAGGAAAAAACTCAACAGGATCTATACATTTGTATGTGTCTGCCTACAGGGTGATTTTCTTTTCTCATTTTTGCTCCTGTGCATTTTCAGTTTTCTGTAATGAACGAATATTATTTGTGTCATTTAAAAATGGAGATTGGCTGGGCATGGTAGCTTACGCCTGTGATCCCAGTACTTTGGGAGGCTGAAGCTGGAAGATTACTTGAGCCCAGAAATTTGAGACCAGCCTGGGCAACATAGGGAGACCCTATCTCTACCAAAAAAAAAAAAAAAAAATAGCTGGGTGTGGTGGCGCCTGCCTATGGTCCCAGCTACTTGGGAGGCTGAGGCAGGAAGATGGCTTGAGCCCAGGAGGTCGAGGCTGCAGTGAGCTATGATGCTGCCACTACACTCCAGGCTGGGTGACAGAGCAAAACTGTCTCAAAAAAATACATAAATAAAAAAATAGAAAAATTAAAATGGAGATCACTGGACTTAGGGGAGAAACAGATTTGAGCAGCCATGCTGGACTGAGAGCTCTGAGCATGGGGCCATGGCCTGTCTCCATCACTGCAGTGTCTAAAGCACCAGCTGGCACAGAGCAGGCCACACAGTGGGACTCACAGAAGCTTTGCTGGGAGCCGGAATGAGTGAATGCTCTGTCTTCCTTCTGGGCCATTGCTCATGCTGTCCTCTCTCCTGTTGCTCCTTTTATCATATTCCATCCTCTTGGCTAAGACTTCTCCACTTCAAGTCTCAGCTCTGGCACAGCTCAGAGAATGTGTAAGGAAAGAGTAAGAAAGAGATGCCCAGGCTGGGTGCGGTGGCTCACACCTATAATCCCAGCACTTTGGGAGGCCGAGGTGGGAGGATTGCTTGAGCCATGAGCTCCAGACCAGCCTGGACAACATAGTGAGACCCCCATATCTAATTTAAAAAATTTTTTTATTAATTAAAAAAAAAAAAGGCTGGGTACGGTGGCTCATGCCTGTAATCCCAGCACTTTGGGAGGCTGAGCAGGGGTGGGCAGATCACTTGAGGTCAGGAGTTCAAGACCAGTCTGGCCAACATGGTGAAACCCTATCTCTACTAAAAATACAAAAATTAGCTGGACGTGGTAGCAGGCACCTGTAATCCCAGGTGGGAGAATCACTTGAACCTGGGAGACAGAGGTTGCAGTGAACCGAGATCGTGCCAATGCAGCCCAGCCTTGGTGACAGAGCAAGATTCCATCTCAAAAAAAAGATGCCCCAGGGCACAGAGAGACATAGTTCTTATCTCCTGGTTCTTAGTCAGACTTCAGGCTTCTCCAGAGCCTGGGAGGCTTATAAACAACACAACCTCGTCTCTGTGTTCTGGAGGCTGGAAGTCCAAGATGAGGTCACCAGCACTGCCAGGTTCAGGTGAGGGTGCTCTTCCAGGTTGCAGATGGCCTACTTCTCCTTGTATCCTCACACGGTGGAAAGCGGATCTGAGAGCTCTCTGAGGCCTCTGTCATAAGGGCACTAATCCCATTCATGAGGGTGCCACCCTCATGACCTAATCACCTCCCAAAGGCCTCCCCCCACTCTTAATACCATCATGTTGGGTGTTAAGATTTCAACATCCCTGACCAGCAAGGTTAGATCTGGCCATTTTTCTAGGTTTTCACAGCCTCCTATCTCCCCACTATCCCAGCTCTGAACCCTCAGCCTGTACCTCCCCTATCCCATCCTTGACCCCTCTGCCTGGGCCTTTCTGATCCTGGCCTTGACTTTTCTGCCTGTGCTTCTCCCATCTCTGCCCTGACCCCTCTGAGCTCTCACTGTCTGGTGATGTGTCTGTTTCTCCCAATGGACTGGGAGCCCCATGAGGGTAGGGCTTGGGGCTGTCTCCGCCACCTTCGTATTCCCAGGATCTCCCAGCTCAAGGCCAGGCACAGAGTGAGTGCCCAGTGAATGTTTATTAAATGCAGCAGTGACTTAATTCACTTAGTGAGTGCCTGGGATTCTACCAGGCCCTGTTCTATGCACTGGGGATAAAGCAGTGATCAAAGCAGACCCAAACCCTTGTCTTTGTGGAGCTGCCATTCTGATGGAGTAAGACAGATGATAAACATGGTCAATTTGTGAATTATATTTCAGAAGGCCAGATGCTATAGAAAAAAAAGGAAAGCAGGGAAGGAGGCTATGGAATAGGGAGAGGCTGCCTTTTTTTTTTTTTTAGACAGAGTCTCACTCTGTTTGGCACGATCTTGGCTCACTGCAGCCTCCACCTCCTGGGTTAAAGCAATTCTCCTGCCCCAGCCAACTGAGTAGCTGGGATTACAGGCGTGCCCCACCACACCCAGCTAATTTTTTTATTTTTAGTAGAGACAGGGTTTCACCATGTTGACCAGGCTGGTCTCAAACTCCTGACATAAAGTGATCCACCCGCCTCAGCCTTCCAAAGTGCTGGGATTACAGGTGTGAGTCACTGCGCCCGGCCCAAGGCTGCCATTTAAAAAGGGGTGTAGGCTGGGTCCCATGGGTCATGCCTGTAATTCTAGCACTTTGGGAGGCTGAGGCAGGAGGATTGCTTGAGGCCAGGAGTTGAGATCAGCCTGGGCAACATAGCAAGACCTCATCTCTATAAAACAAAACAAAACAAACAAACCATAAAATAAAATCATAAAATAGGGCAGTCAGGGAAGGCTTGAGTCAGTGACGTTTGAGCACATACTCTTTTTCTATATTCTCCTATTTAAAACTTTTAATTAAAAAGTACTTTAATGAGGGCTGGAGGCCAGATGGCACAGGGGCCTGACCACCTCCTCTTCACCCACTCTGCAGGTTGACAACCAGCGCTCGCGCCTGCCAGTCTCCCTGAGTGAGGGTCGCCTGCGTGTGTACCAGAGCGGACCACGGGCCGTGGTGGAGCTGGTCTTTGGGCTGGTGGTCACTTATGACTGGGACTGCCAGCTGGCACTCAGCCTGCCTGCACGCTTCCAAGACCAGGTGTGCGGGCTGTGTGGCAACTATAATGGTGACCCAGCAGACGACTTCCTCACGCCTGACGGGGCTCTGGCTCCTGACGCTGTGGAGTTCGCAAGTAGCTGGAAGCTGGATGATGGGGACTACCTGTGTGAGGATGGCTGCCAGAACAACTGTCCCGCCTGCACCCCAGGCCAGGCCCAACACTATGAGGGCGACCGACTCTGTGGCATGCTGACCAAGCTCGATGGCCCCTTCGCTGTCTGCCATGACACCCTGGACCCCAGGCCCTTCCTGGAGCAGTGTGTATATGACCTGTGTGTGGTCGGTGGGGAGCGGCTCAGCCTGTGCCGTGGCCTCAGCGCCTATGCCCAGGCCTGTCTGGAGCTTGGCATCTCGGTTGGGGACTGGAGATCACCAGCCAACTGCCGTGAGTGATGCCCTGGGTGGGGGCTGGGAGCATACAGTGAGGGGCAGGAGATCCCTAGCATCTGCTTAATATCTGAGAAGTTATTATGGTTCAGCCTGGTGCTGGGCAATGCCAGGGGCCTAGTGATGGCCAAGACAGCCAGCTCTGTCCACAATGAGCCTAAGGTTGGAGAGACGTTTCACTAGACATTGACAGTCTGGAGGGGTCCAGGCAGGATGGGGAGGCCCACTCGGATGGGTTGGGGCCAGGATGGGAGAGAGACAGGCAGATGAGTCAGGGCTGGGATTGCGGGGGACACAGGCAGAGGGGTTGGGGCCAGGATGGAGGAAGTCAGTGGGGCTATGGGAAACCAGAGGAGGTTCCTGGCCCAGCCTGGGGAGCAGGGGTGGTCAGGGAGGGTTTTCTAGAGAAAGATGTCCAATTTGAAACCCATAAGAGGGGCTGGAAGTTGCCAAGAGAAAGAGGAGGAAGTGAGTTGCAGGCCCAGAGAACAGCATGCTCAAAGGCTTGGCAGGACGGGAATTCTTGTCTGCAGAATCCCAACACAGAGACGTGACGTCTCTTCCTTTGCCTATAGCCCTCCCATGACTCCCATTGCCCTCTAGATAAAGTCCAGGCTCTTTAGCCAGGTGTCCGTCTGCTTAATCGTTCACTCATTCATTCCACAAGCATTCCTTGAACCCCTGCCTGCCCCCTGTGCATGCTAATGATATTGAAGACACAGTGAAGACCAGCATAAATCTATTCCTGCCCTTGTGAGTGAGGCTCCTAGAGACATGTCCCAGAGGCAGAAAGGACAGGTAGGAGGGAGGAAGAGGCATCCAGGCCCAGGCCCAGAGGGAGGGGGAGTAAGTACAGGGCAGACATAGAGGCCACTAGGTGTTTGTCTTGGCCAGTTCTGTGTCCCCACTGCCCAGTAAGCACCCCCCCAACCCCATGCCTGGCGCAAAATAGGAATCAGAGAGTTCATTTATTCTCCCTTTCACTTCTGCAGTATTTCCTGAGCACCTGCTGCGTACCAGGCCCTGTCCTTGGTGCTGGGGACTCAGCAGTGATTGAGACAGATCAGGTCCCCACTCCCGCAGAACTTCTCTCTTAGCGGCAGGGGAGGGACACAGACAGTGAGCAGATGAACTAGGAAGTATCTTCAGAGAGGCAAAGAAACAAGTTCATTCAATGACAGTGACTGTGAGGCTCGTGAAGAGGGTGATCAGGGAAGGCCTTTCTGGGCAGGTAACATTGGAGCTGAGACCAGGGTCAGGCAATGGAGTCAGCTAAGTACTAACTAACAGTGATGTCCACAGAATGTTTCCCCATAGATCAACTCATTTAATCCTCACAACAACCCTGTGAGGTCTCGACTACATTATCCCATCTTACTGATGGGGAAACTGAGGCACGGGGAGATTGGAGTCAGTGGCCGAGAAGGAGAGATCTGGGATCTGAACCCAGGCCACCTGGGCCCCAGTGGGCTTTCTGGGGAAAGGGAAGGCAGAGGGAACAGCCAATGCAAAGGCCCTGAGGTGGGAGGGTGAGGACCCGGGAGGAGGAGGCAGCTGGGGCTGGGGCAGAGTGAGCCCGAGGGAGAGGGAGAAGAGGTGAGGGCTGAGAGGTGAGAGGAACAGATGGCACAGGGCCTCCTGAGGCATGGGGAGGACTCTGGCGTTTACCCTGAGTGAGAGGAAGCCACAGTAGTGCTCTGAGATGGGGAGGGACCTGATCTGACCCAGATGTTCCCAGATTCCTCGGCCTGGTGTGAGGAACAGGCTGTGGGGGCAGGAGGGAGCCCAGGCAGGAGGCTGCTGCGGTGGATAGGATCAGAGGCAGATTCTGTAACTGGGTGGATTTTTTTTTTTTTTTTTGAGACAAAGTCTTGCTCTGCGCCCGGGCTGGAGTGCAGTAGTGTGGTCTCAGCTCACTGCAACCTCCGCCTTCCGGGTTCAAGCGATTCTCCTGCCTCAGCCTCTTGAGTAGCTCGGATTACAGGCCTGCGCCACCACTCCCGGCCAATCTGGGTAGATTTTGAATATGGAGCTCACAGGACTTGCTGACAGATTGGTTGTCCAGTGAGCGTTAGGGGGTTGGCGGGGTGGAGATTAACTGCGTCGCTGGGGTGTGGCGCAGGAGCACCCAGAAGAATGGCAGTGCCATTATCTGAGATGGCGAGCTCTGAGAGAGGAGCAGGGTTTGGGGATGGAATTCCTGGGCGCCGTCCCCGACAGGGCGCTCTTCGACGGCCCCTGCTACGCGGGCCTGATCCACCCTCTCTGATCTCCCCGCAGCCCTGTCCTGCCCTGCCAACAGCCGCTATGAGCTCTGCGGCCCTGCTTGCCCGACCTCCTGCAACGGGGCTGCGGCGCCGTCCAACTGCTCCGGGCGCCCCTGCGTGGAGGGCTGCGTGTGCCTCCCAGGCTTCGTGGCCAGCGGCGGCGCCTGCGTGCCGGCCTCGTCGTGTGGCTGCACCTTCCAGGGTCTCCAGCTCGCTCCGGGCCAGGAAGTGTGGGCGGACGAGTTGTGCCAAAGGCGCTGCACCTGCAACGGCGCCACCCATCAGGTCACCTGCCGCGACAAGCAGAGCTGCCCGGCGGGTGAGCGCTGCAGCGTCCAGAACGGCCTCCTGGGCTGCTACCCCGATCGCTTCGGGACCTGCCAGGGGTCCGGGGACCCACACTATGTGAGCTTCGACGGCCGGCGCTTCGACTTCATGGGCACCTGCACGTACCTGCTGGTCGGCTCATGCGGCCAGAACGCAGCGCTGCCTGCCTTCCGGGTGCTGGTGGAAAACGAGCATCGGGGCAGCCAGACTGTGAGCTACACGCGCGCCGTGCGGGTGGAGGCCCGCGGGGTGAAGGTGGCCGTGCGCCGGGAGTACCCCGGGCAAGTGCTGGTGAGCGACGTGGCGCCCAGGGCTGGGTGACGGAGCAGGAAATACCCTCTGAAGACTTGGAGTTCTGGATGGGCCTGAGGGTGGGGGAGGCCTGTTAGAAGATTTTATTTTTTTCGTTTTCCTTTTTCCTTTTTGTGCAGAACGGAGTCGCACTAAGTTGCCCAGGCCGGTCTCCAACTCCTGGGCTCAAGTGACCCTCCCGCCTCAGCTTCCTGAAGTGCTAGGAAGTGAGCTATGATCGTGCCACTCCATTCTGGCCTGGGTGACAGAGTGAGACCCCTGTCTCTATTTTAAAAAGGAAGCTAGTGGCTGGGCACCGTGGCTCACGCCTGTAATCCCAGCATTTTGGGAGGCTGAGGCGAGTGGATCATCTGAGGTTTGAGACCATCCTGGCCAACATGGTGAAACCCCCTCTCTACTAAAAATAGAAAAAAAAATTAGCCAGGTGCAGTGGCTCACACCTGTAATCCCAGCTACTAGGGAGGCTGAGAGAGAATCGCTTGAACCCAGGAGGCAGAGGTTGTAGTGAGCCAAGATTGTGCCACTGCACTCCAGCCTGGGCAACAGAGTGAGACCCTGTCCAAAAAAAAAAAGAAAAGAAAGCTAGTATGGTTGCAGCAGCCTGAGTGAGAGGGACAGTGAGAAGAGGTGAGGCGAGGGAGGTAATGGGGAGATAGACAGATCATGTAGGTTTTGAAGGCCATGGGTGAGGGATTTGGATTTAAGCTGGTGCTTTAGGAATGAAGAGGGGTGAATGGTGAGCCAGGCAGAGGGAACAGCAAGTGCAAAGGCCTCGAGGTGGGACTGAGCGTAATATGTCCAAGAGAATAGCAAGGAGGTCAGGGTAGCTGGAGGTGAGTGAATTGAAGGGTGGGCCACAGAACTGTGAATACCCTGACCAGGTGGCCCTCTTGCATCTCCACCCAGGTGGATGACGTCCTTCAGTATCTGCCCTTCCAAGCAGCAGATGGGCAGGTGCAGGTGTTCCGACAGGGCAGGGATGCCGTCGTGCGCACGGACTTTGGCCTGACTGTCACTTATGACTGGAATGCACGAGTGACTGCCAAGGTGCCCAGCAGCTATGCTGAGGCCCTGTGTGGACTCTGTGGGAACTTCAACGGGGACCCAGCTGATGACCTGGCTCTGCGGGGTGGGGGTCAAGCTGCCAATGCACTGGCCTTTGGGAACAGCTGGCAAGAAGAGACGAGGCCCGGCTGTGGAGCAACTGAACCGGGTGACTGTCCCAAGCTGGACTCCCTGGTGGCCCAGCAGCTGCAGAGCAAGAATGAGTGTGGAATCCTTGCCGACCCCAAGGGGCCCTTCCGGGAGTGCCATAGCAAGCTGGACCCCCAGGGTGCCGTGCGCGACTGTGTCTATGACCGCTGCCTGCTGCCAGGCCAGTCTGGGCCACTGTGTGACGCACTGGCCACCTATGCTGCTGCATGCCAGGCTGCTGGAGCCACAGTGCACCCCTGGAGGAGTGAAGAACTTTGCCGTGAGTATCGGAAGTGGCAACTGGGGGACTCAGCCTTATATATATTCATTAATGTATAAATATCATTAATTCATTTAATCCTTATAATAGCCCTATGAGGTAGGGATTGTGGTTATACCCATTTAACAGATGAAGAAATTGAAGTTCAGAAAGGTTCAGTTACACACCTGGGATCATGATAGCTAGAAAATCACAGATGGTGGGCATGCAGTTGGTATTTTTTTTTTAGATGGAGTCTTGCTCTGTCACCAGGCTGGAGTGCAGTGGCATGATCTCGGCTCACTGCAACCTCTGAGTCTGGTTCAAGCTATTCTCCTGCCTCAGCCTCCAGAGTAGCTGGGATTACAGGCATGCGCCACCAAGCCCAGCTAATTTTTGTATTTTTAGTAGAGATGGGGTTTCACCATGTTGGCCAGGATGGTCTCGATCTCCTGACCACGTGATCCGCCCACCTCAGCCTTCCAAAGTGCTGGGATTACAGGCGTGAGCCACCGTGCCCAGCGGCAGTTGGTATTTGTAAAATGACTGAGTACACCTGGTGGCCCAGGGTCTGATTCCCACATAACAGCTGTCATTGAGATATGAGCAACAGTATTGTCATTAGGAGTCTCATCCCCTCTCTGGTTCTTTTTGGTCCCCATCTATCCTACCTCGCTTATTTACATCTGCCTGACCCCTTGGGCAGTCAGTTTGAGAGCCTTGTTTCAGAGGTGGGTGCATGAATGGTTTTCCAACACCTTTGCTTGCCTATGAAAGAAGTTTGAAAAGCCATGCATCCTCTCACCTGATTTTTTTTAAGATGGGGTCTTGCTCTGTTGCCTAGGCTGGAGTGTAGTGGTGCAATCATAGCTTACTGCAGCCTGGAACTCCTGGGCTCAAGCGATTCTCCTGCCTCAGCCTCCTGAGTAGCTGAAACGGCAGGCTTGCACCACCATCCCCCGCTAATTTTTAAAATATTTTTTATAGAGACAGGGTTTTGATATTTTGCCCAGGCTGGTCTCGGGCTCTTGGGCTCAAGCAATCCTCCTGCCTCGGCCTCTCAAAATACTAGGATGACAGGTGTGAGCCATCGTACCAGTTTCCTCTCACCCGATTTTTAATTTAAAAAATTTATTATTGAAATATAATACAGATATTTAAAAATATGTACATATCATAAGCTAACAGCTTGATCAGTTTTCACCAAGAGAACAAACCTGTGTGAACTGTCCCAAATTCAAGAAAAAAAAAAAATCCAGGTTCCCAACCCCAAGAGGTAACCACTATTCTGACTTCTAAAGTTTTTGAATTTTGGAATTAATAGAAGCATACATGTCTAGTTTTTCACCTGAAATAATCATAAAACTTATAATTTCTAACAAATGGTAACTTTTGACTTTTAAGAACCTTTTTTTTTTTTTTTTTTTGAGATGGAGTCTCACTCTGTCACCCAGGCTGGAGTGCAGTGGCACGATCTCAGCTCACTGCAACCTCCGCCTCCTGGGTTCAAGCAATTCTCCTGCCTCAGCCTCCCAAGTAGCTGGGACTACAGACGCCCGCCACCATGCTTGGCTAATTTTTTTGGTATTTTTAGTAGAGAGGGGGTTTCACCATGTTGGCCAGGCTGGTTTCGAACTCCTGACCTCAAGTGATCCGCCCAACTCGGTCTCCCAAAGTGCTAGAATTACAGGCGTGAGCCACTGCTCATGGCCTTAAGAACATTTTTATTAGGGAAAAATTTAAACATATCCAAAGTAAACTAGGATAGTGAGCCAGCATATATCCATCATTTAGTTTCCACAATTATCAACATAATATTGGTATTTCAAAATGAAACCATTACTTGACTTATGCTCCTCTTTTAAATGTATTCAACAGATACATAGCACACAGTGGTACACATCATTGTCCACTGAAAAATACAGGATAAATACATCATTCCTTTTTCTCCTTCAACTTACATTCATTCATTCAACAAATATCCAAAACATTCAAAAATACCTTCTGTATTCCAGGCACTATTCTAAACACTCCGGATACAATAGGGGAGAGAATAAGAAAACAAATCCTTGCCTTTCTGAACTGATTTTCTAATGCTTTTTAGTTCTAACAGAATTTAACCTAATGTAACACATTTGAATGCATGGAAGTCTTTTGTTAAAGTCACTGTATCAGCTGGCTTTTGGTGCCTAACAAACAACCCAAGGCTTAGTGGCTGAGTGCATTAAAACAAGTGTTTATTTTTATTTATTTATTTATTTATTTATTTATTTATTGACATGGAGTCTCGCTCTGTTGCCCAGGCTGGAGTGCAATGGTGTGATCTCGGCTCATTGCAACCTCCGCCTCCTGGGTTCAAGTGATTCTTCTGTCTCAGCTTCCCAAGTAGCTGGAATTACAGGCATGTGCCACCATGCCCGGCTAATTCTTTGTATTTTTAGAAGAGATGGGGGTTTCACCATGTTAGCCAGGCTGGTCTCGATCTCCTGACTTCAGGTGATCTGCCCGCCTCAGCCTCCCAAAGTGCTGGGATTACAGGTGTGAGCCACCATGCCCGGCCAAGTATTTATTCTTTCTCATGATTCTGGGGGCTGCTGAGCTGTTCTCCCAGCCTGGGCCAGCTTGGTTGATCTCTGCAGTCTGTTGGAGGCTCAGCCAAGGCCGGGTAATCTAGGGTGATTTTACACATCTGGCAGTTGTCAAGCTGGTTGGTTTGGGGGGCCCTCAGCTGGGAATTCTTGTCTCTGCTCTACTTGGTCTCATCTTCCAGCAGGTGAGCCAAGGCTTCTTCCCAAGGTGCTCTCAAGATTCCTAAGAGCACACAAGCCCCAGTGTGCAAGCACTTTCCAAGGCTCTACTTGGTATCATGGTGGCCAATGTCCCATTGGCCAAAGCAAGTGCCATGGTCATGCCCAGAGTCAAGACGTGACCATTGGCAGCCTGTGTCACAATCGCCATCACACTTCTCTGCCACAAACATACACATCTATGACTAAGATTTCAGAATTTTTATAATCCCAGCTACTCGGGAGGCTGAGGCAGAAGAATCGCTTGAACCCAGGAGGCAGAGGTTGCAGCGAGCCGAGATCAAGCCACTGCACTCCAGCCTGGGCAACAGAGCGAGATTCTGTCTCAAAAAATAAAATAAAATAAAATAAAATAAAATAAAATAATAACAGTGCAGTCTCCACTCATCCCAAATCTCAACACGTGGCATGTTGCCCTGGGGTGTGAAACCTCCCAGGACAAAACAGCCTTCTTATAAAAGATATAAGAAGTTTTAGAAATTCCTGAGACTCTAAGACTCTAAGTGGTTTTTTTAATGGAGTAAGATATCATTGCAAGAATTGTTTGTGCACAATTGATAAAAATATTAAACAGAAGTAAATTGTAATGGCCATTGTAATGGCATCACTCAGTGAGCTTACCCCCACCCAATATTTCACATATATTGTTAGAATGAGACAGGGTTCAGCATCAATTCTAATCCTATCTTTCATTTTTGTAGATATGATATTTATTTATTTTTGAGATAAGGTATTATCCTGTCACCGAGGCTGGAGTCCAGTGGTGTGATCACAGCTTACTGTAGCCTCCATCTTTGGGCTCGAGTAGTCCTCCTGTGTCAGCCTCCTGAGTAGCTGGGACTACAGGTGCACACTACCATGCCTGGCTAATTTTTTATTTTTTGTAGACACAAGATCTCGCTATGTTGTCCAGGCTGGTCTCAAACTCCTGGGCTCAAGCCTTCCTCCCGCCTTGGCCTCCCAAAGTGCTGAGATTACAGACTTGAGCCACAGCTCCTGGCTTACATGATATTAATAAGTGGGTGGGAGTGGACAGAGTGCAGGTGGAGTAACATCACTCCGTGCTCTGAACCCCTTCTGAGTCATAGGGAAGGCACACAGTGAGACACGACAAATTTATTTTATATTATCTGTGAGCAGCCAATTCTATTAGGCCCTCCTTTTGATTTATTACTCAATAATGATTCAGCATTCGTTGTGTTCACAGCGATAGCAATATTTGAAATCGTCCGTTTATGTCCTCAGAGGTTTCACACTCCAGGGCACTGTGCCATGTGTTAAGATTCAGGATGGGGCTGGGTGTGGTGGCTCATGCCTGTAATCCCAGCACTTTGGGAGGCTGAGGCGGGCAGATCACTTGAGGTGAGGAGTTCGAGACCAGCCTGGCCAATATGGCAAAACCCTGTCTCTACAAAAAATACAAAAGTTAGCTAGGCCTGGTGGTGAGCGCCTGTAATCCCAGCTACTTGGGAGGTTGAGGCAGGAGAATCTTAGCTTAAACCTGGGAGGCAGAGATTGCAGTGAGCCGAGATCGCACCACTGCACTCCAGCCTGGCCCACAGATCGAGACCCTGTCTCAAAAAAAAAAAAAAAAAGATTCAGGATGGGTGGGGGACTGCACTGTTCTCTTCTGTAAAGTGCAGGAAGCACACTTGTGAAGGGGACAGGTGGACAATGGGAAGTGGGAATGCTCTTCTAACAGAGCATTCTTGGGCTGTCCTTTTAGGCAGGACACGTATAATTCCAGCTAGCAGTTGTGTGACACGCATCCCACTGGGCAGGTCCTGTTCTAAGGGTTTCTCATTGAATCCTCACAACCACCCCGTGAGGCAGAATTGCTCTTATTCCTATTTTACAAGACGAGGAAACTGAACCACAGAGATGTTAAGGAACTAGCCTGAGGTCACACAGCCGGTGGGGTGATTTGAACAGGCTGGCTCCTGATTTTGTGCTGTTAATTATCAGACTCTGTGGCCTGTGTGGAAATTGAGAATCTCTTGTTTCCTTAAAACTACTCCTTTCCTTGTACCACCTGGAAGTTCTAGAAGACTGGATCATGAGGTCTTAGATATGCAGACGGAGGCCTGACCCAGCTTGAACAATTATTGGTATTTTGCCATTCTTAGTTCCTCTACCTCTCACTCCACCCCCTCTTTTTTGGTAGAATATTTTAGATCAAATTCTAGGCAGATCAGTTCTCCTCTAACTACTTCAGTAAGCATCTGCTTTTCAGCAACAAAAAAGGACTTTTAAGGCACAGGAGTTTGCTTTTCATG
Source organism: Homo sapiens (assembly GCF_000001405.40). Lineage (NCBI taxonomy): Eukaryota > Metazoa > Chordata > Mammalia > Primates > Hominidae > Homo > Homo sapiens. The sequence goes on along the minus strand of NW_009646206.1, from coordinate 183,770 downwards.
CCTGTAATCCCAGCACTTTGGGAGGCCTAGGTGGAAGGATCGCTGGAGGCCAGGAGTTCAAGACCAGCCTGAGCAACATAGCAAAACCCAGTCTCTACAAAAATAAAAATAAAGAATAAGCCGGGCATGGTGACTAGTGCCTATCATTTCAGCTACTCAGGAGGCTAAGGTGGGAGAATATCTTCAGCCCAGGAGGTGGAGGTGGCAGTGAGGCGAGACTGTGCCACTGCACTCCAGTGAGGCCCTGTCTCTAAAAAAAAAAAAAAAAAAAGGAAGGAAGAAAGAAAGAGATATGAGGGCATGTGGTAATTACCAGTAACAACAATAACATTAATTCCCTAACATCATGTAAAGCCCAATCTGGGTTCAAATTTTCCCAATTGTCTAAAAAAAAAAAAAGGTTTTTTTCTATTTTGTTTGGCTCTAGAACCAAACCAAATACACATACTGCATTGGATTGATCTACCTCTTTGCTTTTACTCTGTCAGAATTTCCTTCCTTTGTTCCTCCCAACATAGTATTATGAAAATTGTCAAATATACAAAAAAGTTGAAAGAATTTTACAGTGAAGACCCATAAACCTACCACCTGGACTCTACACTCTAATTCTTTTTCTTTTCTTTTTTCTTTCTTTCTTTCTTTCTTTTTTTTTTTTTTTGAGATGGAGTCTCACTCTGTTGCCTAATCTGGAGTGCAGTGGTGCAATCTCAGCTCACTGCAACCTCCGCCTCCCGGGTTCAAGCGATTCTCCCACCTCAGCCTCCCACGTAGCTGGGATTACAGATGTGCGCCATCATGCCCAGCTAATTTTTGTATTTTTAGTAGAAACGGGTTTTACCATGTTGGCTAGGCTGGTCTCGAACTCCTGACCTCAAGTGATCCTCCTGCCTCGGCTTCCAAAAATGCTGGGGTTACAGGTGTGAGCCACCGCGCCCGGCCTCTTCACTCTAATTCTAATTCATTCATTTGCCTTATCACATAGCTATCCCTCCATCCAGCTCTTCCTTTTGTCTATGTCACTTATTTACTGGGAAAGATAGGTTATTTATCCTGCAGAATTTCATACTTTCAGGATCTGGCTAGTTGCTATTTTGGAGTGTTATTGAACTTGTCCCTATGTCCCCATGATTCTCCTGTAAGCTGGATGTCAGCTTCAGAACAGCACCACCCAGCAGAACTTCAATGATGACAGCTCCATATTTGAGCTGTTCAAATACATACCAGGTCACCACAGGTCACATGTGGCTGCTGAGCACTTGCAATGAGGCTGTTGTGACTGAGGAGCTAAATCTTCAATTTTGTTTCATTTTAATTAACTTACATCCAAATGGTCACAAGTGGCTAGTGGCTACTGTATTTGACAGCACAGATAGAGATTTAATGTGGTTTAGTTTTAGTCACTTAGATTTGCTTTTTATGGAGTGACTGGAGTTTGGGGAGGGGAGCAGGGAGGTTTTTCTTTTTTTCTTTATAACACTGGCTAAATATTTTAATTACTGCTATAGAAGGAAGAAGCTAAAAGTATTGCATTCACAAATATTGCATAGATTATACAAACACAGAAATATATGCATATGCATGTTTAAAATATATGCCACATATCAACACCATGTATCCAACTTGAATAAGGTCATTAAAGACATAATAGAAGGCTGGGTGTGGTGGCTCATTCCTGCAATCCCGGCACTTCGGGAGGCTGAGGCAGGTGGACTGCTTGAGCCCAGGAGTTTGAGGCCAGCCTGGGCAACATAGCGAGACCGCATCTCTATAAAAAATTTGAACAGTTAGCCAGGCATGATGGTGCACGCCTATAGTCCCAGCTACTCAGGAGGCTGAAGTGGGAGGATTGCTTGAGCCCAGGAGGTCAAAGCTGCAGTGAGCTGTGATAGCAAGCACCACCGCGCTCCAGCCTGAGTAACAGAGCGACCCCTATCTCAAAAAAAAAAAAAACCATAATAGATAACTCCAAACCATAGTTAAATTGGGAAAGAATCTTAATTATCAGGATCAGATTAACTGCGATGTAATGTGTTCCCCAAGCACCCTGCAATGGGACCGCTTGTGTGTGAGTGTCTTTGAGCATCTGTGTGTGCATACGAATGTGTTGGGGGACCGCTTGTGTGTGTGTGAGTGTGTTTGAGCGTGTGTGTGCATATGAATGTCTTGGGGGACCACTTGTGTGTGAGTGTGTTTGAGTGTTTGTGTGCATACGAATGTGTTGAGGGACCACTTGTATGTGAGTGTGTCTCGAACTCCTGACCTGGGAGCAGGAATTCTTGATCTTGATGTCTCCTCTCCCTGCAGCACTGAGCTGCCCACCCCACAGCCACTATGAGGCGTGTTCCTACGGCTGCCCGCTGTCCTGTGGAGACCTCCCAGTGCCCGGGGGCTGTGGCTCAGAATGCCATGAGGGCTGCGTGTGCGATGAGGGCTTTGCGCTCAGTGGTGAGTCCTGCCTGCCCCTGGCCTCCTGTGGCTGCGTACACCAGGGCACCTACCACCCACCAGGCCAGACCTTCTACCCTGGCCCCGGATGTGATTCCCTTTGCCACTGCCAGGAGGGCGGCCTGGTGTCCTGTGAGTCCTCCAGCTGCGGACCGCACGAGGCCTGCCAGCCATCCGGTGGCAGCTTGGGCTGTGTGGCCGTGGGCTCTAGCACCTGCCAGGCGTCAGGAGACCCCCACTACACCACCTTCGATGGCCGCCGCTTCGACTTCATGGGCACCTGCGTGTATGTGCTGGCTCAGACCTGCGGCACCCGGCCTGGCCTGCATCGGTTTGCCGTCCTGCAGGAGAACGTGGCCTGGGGTAATGGGCGAGTCAGTGTGACCAGGGTGATCACGGTCCAGGTGGCAAACTTCACCCTGCGGCTGGAGCAGAGACAGTGGAAGGTCACGGTGAGAGCAGATGGGGAACAGGGGGCCAGGGGCCTGTGGGTGGGTGGGACACAGGCCGCGCTCAGCCCAGGAGTTGGGGGCACAGAGATGAGAGTGCATGTGCGAGGCCTGGGGTCCCTGAGGACAGAAGATGCCAGTCAGAACCCAGAGTGGGAAGCCAATGAGGGAGGTGTCATCAGGGACTTGGGAGCTGCTCCCCCATCTCTGTCCCTAAGTCTGCACCCTCTCTTCACCTCCATGCATTGACTTTTCTTTTTCTTTTTTTTTTTTTTTTGAGATGGAGTATGGCTCTGTCGCCCAGGCTGCAACGCAATGGTGCGATCTGGGCTCACTACAACCTCCGCTTCCTGGGTTCAGTGGATTCTCCTGCCTCAGCCTCCCAAGTAGCTGGGATTACAGGCGCCCACCACAACACCTGGCTAATTTTTCTATTTAGTAGAGACAGGGTTTCACCATGTTGGCCAGGCTGGTCTTGAACGCCTGACCTTGTGATCCACCCGCCTTGGCCTCCCAAAGCGCTAGGATTACAGGCGTGAGCCACTGCACCTGGCCGCATTGACTTTTCTCTCCAAATCTCTCCCACTCTCTCCTCCCTCCCGCTTCATCCTCTCCTCACCTCAATCCTGGATTCTGCCCTACCCACCTCCCTAGTCTGCCACTCATTGGCAGGATGTGATACCATCAGAGGTTGGGAAAAATCAAGTCTGGAGAAGCTTCATGGACAGAGGACAATCTGTGGGTGACACTCTCACCGCCTTAACAACAACAACAGCAGCTATAGTTTCTATACAGCTGACTGCACACCTTTTGGCTGCCAGGCACTTCACGTCCATGGTGTCTGTATGCTTCCAACAGGGGCTGCAGGCACTATGACTTGCTTTATTTTTCAGAGTGGGACGGCCCATCACTGGCCCATAGTCCCCCAGCAAAGGTGGAGCTTGAACCCCATGCTGCTCTGCAGTGCTTTGCTCACTGAGAAGATTTGGTCTCATGTGGAGACTGGCATCTCAGTTATAGTGGAGGGGTTTCCCCTGAGATCCCACTGAAACAGACACGCAGCTGTTTTTCTAGTAGCAGTATTGGCGAAGGTGCTGATCAATTACTGACTTAATCTGGTGAACTGGACAGGCGTGACTTTTTTTTTTTTTTTTTTTTTTTGAGAGACAGTCTCACTTTCTCACCCAGACTAGAGTGCAGTGGCGCGATCTCAACTCACTGCAACCTCTGCCTCCCTGGTTCAAGTGATTCTCCTGCCTCAGCTACAAGCACCCGCCACCATGCCCAGTTACTTTATTGCATTTTTAGTAGAGACGTGGGTTTCACCATGTTGGCCAGGATGGTCTCAATCTCCTGACCTCGAGATCCACCCACTTCGGCCTCTCAAAGTGCTGGGATTACAGGCGTGAGCCACCACATCCGGACAATTTTTTTTTTTTTATAGAGAGGGGTCTTGCTATGTTGCCCAGGCTGGTCTCGAACTCCTGGGCTCAAGAAACCCTCCCACCTTGGCCTCCCAAAGTGCTGGAATTACAGTTGTGAACCACTGCTCCTGACCAATTTTTTTTTTTATTTTTTTTACTTTGTAGAGACAGGATCTCCATATGTTGCTCAGGCTGACCTTGAACTCCTGGGCTCAAGTGATCTTCCCACCTTGGCCTCTCAAAGTGCTGGGATTATAGATATAAGCCACTGTGCCCAGCCCAGGGGTGGATTTAGGAGGCTTTGTTGGTGCCTATTAACCTTAAACTGAAACCACTGGTCCTCAGCTCATAGGTTTAAGTTCATTTCCCCAAGAATTTAGCCTAACTTTCCACTCGCTGATGCTTTAAAGCAAAAACCTGTGGTGTCTGTTTACTCTTCAAAAGAAAAAACTCCACTCATAGCTGCTAATAACAGCAAATGCTCCTGAAGCATGCATGCTATGCCAGCCACGTTTCTCAGCACTTTACAAATATTAATTTATCTGATCCTGACAACAGTTCCGTGGGGCAAACACCTTATTCCCGCCTGATAGATGAGGAAACAGAAACAGGGAGAGGTGACTTTGTGACCCCCAAGGTCACAAAGAGGGTAAGGGGGAAACTGTTTGAACTCGGGCAAGTGGCTCTGGGGGCGATCATTGCTTATTAATGACTGCAGCAAGTGGTAAACAAAGGATAGCTGGAGGCTTGTTACTTCATCGAGACCTGTATTCGTTTCCCATGGCTGCCATAACAAATTACCACGAGCTTGGTGGCTTAAAACACTAGAAATGTATGTTCCACAGTCCTGGGTGCCAGAAGTTCAACATCAAGGTGTGGGCAGGGCTGCACCCCTTCCAAAGACACTGGTTGGGGGATCTTCCTTTCCCTTTCCAGCTCTGCAGACTCCAGGTTCTCTGGGCTTGTGACACCACCATTCTAATCCCTGCCTTCATCTTCATGTGGCCCTTTCTGTGTGTCTCTTTGCCTTTTTCTTTCTGGCTCTTATAAGGACACTTGTCATTGGATTTAGGGCCCAGTTTAATCCAGGATAATCTCATGTTGAGATTATTACCCTGATTACATCTGCAAAGAACTTTATTCCAAGTAAGCTCACGTTATGGGATTCTGGGTGAATATGTCTTTTATGGACCACCATTCAATCCACTATCAGGCCCTATTATTCTACCAACTTTAGAGATACAAAAAGTGAAGCCCTAAGAGGTGTGGTCACACAGATCTTCAGCATCAGGCATGGGCTTGAACTAGGGTCCTACCCCTACTCAAAGTCTACTTTCTGAAGCGTGGCCTGCCTCTCTCACCTCCCAGGTGAACGGTGTGGACATGAAGCTGCCCGTGGTGCTGGCCAACGGCCAGATCCGTGCCTCCCAGCATGGTTCAGATGTTGTGATTGAGACCGACTTCGGCCTGCGTGTGGCCTACGACCTTGTGTACTATGTGCGGGTCACCGTCCCCGGAAACTACTACCAGCAGATGTGTGGCCTGTGTGGGAACTACAACGGCGACCCCAAGGATGACTTCCAGAAGCCCAATGGCTCACAGGCAGGCAACGCCAATGAGTTCGGCAACTCCTGGGAGGAGGTGGTGCCCGACTCTCCCTGCCTGCCGCCCACCCCTTGCCCGCCGGGGAGCGAGGACTGTATCCCCAGCCACAAGTGTCCTCCCGAGCTGGAGAAGAAGTATCAGAAGGAGGAGTTCTGTGGGCTCCTCTCCAGCCCCACAGGGCCACTGTCCTCCTGCCACAAGCTGGTGGATCCCCAGGGTCCCTTGAAAGATTGCATCTTTGATCTCTGCCTGGGTGGTGGGAACCTGAGCATTCTCTGCAGCAACATCCATGCCTACGTGAGTGCTTGCCAGGCGGCTGGAGGCCACGTGGAGCCCTGGAGGACTGAAACTTTCTGTCGTGAGTGAGGGAGAGCCGGAGGGGCAGGGAGGGGAGAGCTTGAGGCACAGAAGGGGTAGACCCTGGGCCTTGCAGCCCCTCCCTCCCCAGGGCTCTGATCGGCACCCCCTCCTTGCAGCCATGGAGTGCCCTCCGAACAGTCACTACGAGCTCTGTGCGGACACCTGCTCCCTGGGCTGCTCAGCTCTCAGTGCCCCTCCACAGTGCCAGGATGGGTGTGCTGAGGGCTGCCAGTGTGACTCCGGCTTCCTCTACAATGGCCAAGCCTGCGTGCCCATCCAGCAATGCGGCTGCTACCACAATGGTGTCTACTATGAGGTAGGAACCTAGTCATCTGGGGCAGAATATGGGGCCTCACCCCTCCCACTGCTCATCAGCCCCACGGCCTGTCTACTTGGCCTCTTATTTATTTCTTTTAGAGTCAGGGTCTCACTCCGTCACCCAGGCTGGAGGGCAAGGGTACCATAGCTCACTGCAGCCCCGAATTCCTTGGCTCAAGCAATCCTTCCACCTCACCTCCCAAGTGTCTGGGACTATAGGCATGCACCACCAAGCCCAGCGAATTTTTAATTTTCCTGTGGACACATAGAGATGGGGGCGAATCACTATGTAGCTCAGGCTGGTCTTGAACTCCAGGCCTCAAGCCATCCTCCTACCTTGGCCTCCCCAAGGGCTGGGATTAATGGCATGAGCCACCAGGCCCGACCCACTGAGCCTCTTTTTTTTTTTTTTTTTTTTTAAATGACATAGTCTTGCTCTGTGCCCAGGCCGGAGTGCAACCTCCACTGCCTGGGTTCAAGCTCACTGCAACCTCAGCATCCCAGGTTCAAGTAATTCTCCTGCGCCAGCCTCCCAAGAAGCTAAGACTACAGGCATGTGCCACCACACATGGTTAATTTTTGTAGTTTTGTTAGAGATGGGATTTTGCCATATTGGCCAGGCTGCTCTCAAATTCCTGACTGCAAGTGATCCTCCTGCGTTGGCCTCCCAAAGTGTGAGCATTACAGGCGTGAGCCACCACAGCTAGTCCACTCAGTCTCTTCAATGTCTCTTGTACCCACTCCTTTCCCCGTCCCCATGGCCCTCCCTTGGTCCAGCTGGTCCTCTCCCACCTGGGTCCCTCCCAGCTCCTACCTTTGCTCCCTCTGGTCCACCCTCCACGTGGCAGTGGTAAAGATCTTTCTAAATATGACCACGGGCTCTGAAGCTTTAAACCCTCCCCTGACTCCCCAGGTCAAGTTGTGGCTTTGCCTTCCAGGTCTGGACGAAGGGAGCCTTTCTGACCACAAAGACAAGATTTTCATGTGTTATACCAGCTGCTAACACCCTCTACTTCCCTCTCCCACTCTGTCCCCGTTGGTCCTTTTTCTTTGACTGGAGCATGTGTTTGTCCAATGTCCATCTCCCTTGGGGACTGTGAGCTCTCCTGGGGTGGAACCCTCTCTCTGTTGTTCTCCTCACATGAATAATAATAATAATAACAGAAAATGTGTAGATAGTGCTTACTATGTATCTGGTACCGTTTTAAGTGCTATGTGTGCATATTTTTATATATGCATTACATATCTAAAAACTTTTTATTCTGAAAACGTTCAAACATGCAAAAATCAAGAGAACAGTGGAATGACTGTCCATGTACTTACCCATCACTTAGCTTCAGAAATAAGCCACATTCTCCCAATCTTGTTTCATGTCTACCCCACTCATCTCTCCTATCTGAATGATTTAAGGGAAACCCTTTTCCTTTCATCTGCACTTCACATGTGTTATTAACTTGGTTATATTTCCATAGGCAGGTGCTACTATTATCTGCAATTTGCAAATCAGGAAACTGAGCCAACAAGAGGTGAGGTAACTTGCCCAGAGTCACACAGTTCGGAAACAGCAGAAACGGGCTTCAAGCCCAGGCGATCTGCCCTTAGTTACTGTGTCACACCATTTCTCCTACAGCAGACATTGAGCGGATATTTTGGAATGAATGAGTTAATGAAGAAAAGTGAATGAACAAATGTACAAATGAATCATGGCCTCAAAGCCATGCTGTGCCTCATCTTCACAGACAACGGGCCATCCTGCTGAGAGATGTCCCTTGTCTGTGATGTCTGCCAAACCCCTCTGTGCCAGAACGCCAGAGATGTGAGAGTCGGCTCCCACCCGTGGTGTCCCTGATGGCCGTTCCCTCTCTCCCCACAGCCGGAGCAGACAGTCCTCATTGACAACTGTCGGCAGCAGTGCACGTGCCATGCGGGTAAAGGCATGGTGTGCCAGGAACACAGCTGCAAGCCGGGGCAGGTGTGCCAGCCCTCCGGAGGCATCCTGAGCTGCGTCACCAAAGGTGCTGAGCTGGGGTTGGGCCTGGGGCTGATGCGACTAGGGATGGAGGACAAGGACTCTGGGGCTGAGGGTGGTGTAACTGGGGTGTCCATGGCGGGAGGTGCACAGGACTAAAGATTGAGGTCACAGACCTAGGGACCCCTGGGCTGGGTTTCATAGGGCCAGGGTTACCTACTATGGGAGGCAGGGACCCTTAAGGGGAATCTAGGCTGTGCGGACCCTCAGAGGTAAGTTTCTCAGGGTGGCTGTCAGAGGCCCTCAGTATAAGGCAGGCCCAGGCGCGCCTTTGCTCTAATGTGCTACATGGCAAATGTTTAAGCTCGCAGGGTGCATGGTCTCGTTCCAGCTACTCACTCTGCCACTGTGGCATGAAAGCAGCCGTAGACTATGTAAGTGAAGAGGTCAGGCTCCTATAAGACTTTAGAATACAAGAGCAGCAGCCTAGGGGGCCATCGTGAGCAGAACACTGATGTGTGGGATTAGTTGTGGGGTTCAGACACTAGCAGCACAGGGCAGGGGAGAGACTGGGATCCCAGGGGCAGGGACAGAGAGCAGAGTTCTGAGTCTCAGGCACAGAGACCCCACCAAGGCAGGATGTTGGATATGGGGACCCATCTCAAGTGGAAGATCAGGATTTCTAGGAGTATAGTCTCTGATGTGGGAATCCCCGAGACTAAATCTGGGACACAGCCACCCCCAGGGCTCATTTCTTAGGGTGAAGAGCAGAGAACTCTCCTCCCCCTAAGGATAAGAGAATGGGAGCTCCCGCACCAAGGAGTGGGGGCTAAGACTCTCAGGGCTGATGAGCAGGATAATGGGGACTCCCAGGAATGGGGGGTATATCACTCAGCATCTAGTCGAGAGACAGAAAGCGTATGGCCATTTGAATGAGGAAAGTTTAATTAAACATTTACTTATTAATAGGAGATTAACTATTAAGGGTAAAGAGGGCCTGCTGCCGTGGCTCACACACCCAGCACTTTGGGAGGATCGCTTGAGGCCAGGAGTTTGAGACCAGCCTGGGCAACATAGTGAGACCCCTGTCTCCACAAAAAATTGAAAATTAGCCAGGTGTGGTGATGCGTGCCTGTGGTCCCAGCTATTTAGGATGCTGAGGTAGGAGGATCAGTTGACCCCAGGATTTCGAGGCTGCAGTGAGCTATGATTGCACCACTGCTCTCCAGCCTGGGCAAGACAGCAAGACCTTGTCTCTTTACAAATAAATAAATAAACATAAATAAGAAACGGTAAAGAGAGCACTAAAGAATACCACCAAAGCAAACATAAGAAGTAGCTCCCACTCTAGGGCTAAGGTAGAGGCCTCAAGGAAGGGAGACATTGGCCCCTCCTCTTCAAGGAGGGGAGAATCAGCCCCAAGGCTGAGTCCAGTCTCACTGCAGCTGTAGCCCACTGGGTGGCACAGAGGTTTCTGCAGGCTGGACTTGGCAAGAAGGGAACCCCTCACTGGGAAGCCAGCTGCGGCCAGTGGCACTCGCTGAATGTGGCCCCGCACCCTGGCCAGAGCTGGAAGGACCAAACTGGCTGGAATCCAGACCAGTAGCCCCTCCCTCCTGTGGTGACTCTCCAGCGCCCTCTGTTGACAAAGCTTAACTCCGTGGGTATATTTGAAGCTGAGAGGCGGTACATTGATAATGGACACAGGAGGAAGGAGACGTTTGAAGGCTGGCCTCTCCCACACAGCGGTTCCGCAAGCTGGGGTCACAGATGTAGTAACTGTCCGAACAGGGTCTCGGACACAGAAGCCCTCCAGGACAGGGCCTCAGCAGTGAGACACGCTCAAGGCTACTGTCTTGAACACAGCAACCCTCAGGGATGGAGTCTTGCACTGAGGGAGCCCAGGCCATGAGACTTAGCTAGTTAGGGTCTCAAACGTTTGAAATCCTGCTGAGACCCTGGCACTGGGCTCTTGCCAGAGATCACCCCAGGGCCGTAGTCTTGGGCATAGAGGCCTCCAGGACCTGGAGAAATTGGAGACCAATTTCTCTCAAATGTGGAGATGTCCAGGGGGCTGAGATCTCAGGCATGGGGGGCCCTGAGGCCTAGATCTTTTTTTTTTTTTTTTTTTTTTTGAGATAAGTCTCACTCTGTCGCCCAGGCTGGAGTGTAGTGATGCAATCATAGCTCACTGCAGCCTCCATCTCCTGGGCTCAAACAATTCTCCCGCCTCAGCCTTCTGAGTAGTGGGGGACTACAGGCACACACCACCATGCCTGGCTCATTTATTAAGTTATTTGTAGAAATGGGGTCTTGCTATGTTGCCCAGGCCTGGTCTCAAACTCCAGGGCTCAAATGGTCCTCCCGTCTCAGCCTCTTAAAGTGCTGGGATTACAGGCCTGAGCCACCACACCTGGCCTGGGGCCCAGGTCTTGAACACAGAGAACCCTGGGGCTGGGATCTCAGACATGGATGCTCTCAGGGCTGGCATCGCAGACACAAGGACCCCTGGGGCACAGATCTCAACTGGGGTCAAGTGCACCTTTTCTCTAAAGGGCTAGATGGTAAGTGTTTAAGCTTGCAGGCTATACCTTCTGGATCACAACTACTCACTCTGCCACTGTGGTGTGAAAGCAGCCGTAGCCTATGTAAGTGAAGACGGTGAGGTTTCTATAAAGCTTTAGAATATAAGAACAGGCTGAACTCTCAAGCAAGGGCACAATGGAAACTGTAACTTAAAAACAGAAATCTGCAGGACCAGTGTCTCAAACATGGGGACCCCAGAGACTGGGTCTTAGGTGCAGGGACTCCAGGACCTCAGTCTCACACAGCAGATGGCAGGGCCTCAGTCTCAGAGGCAGGGGGACTCTAGGGCCTAAGTCTTGGCTGTAGGGACCTCTGGGGCCGGGATCTCAGATATGGGAACTTTGACACCCGAGACATAGACACAGTCCACCATGATGCCTCAGTGTCAGATGTGCAGGACTCCCAGGGGCTGGTCTTGAAAATAGCAGGCCGGGCGTAGTGGCTCAGGCCTGTAATCCCAGCACTCTGGGAAGCTGAGGTGGGCAGGTCACTTGAGGTCAGGAGCTCAAGACCAGCCTGGGCAACATGGTGAAACCCTGTCTCTACTAAAAATACAAAAATCAGCCAAGCATGCTGGTGGGCACCTGTAATGCCAGCTACTCAGGAGGCTCAGTCAGGACAATCTCTTGAGCCCGGGAGGCAGAGGTTGTAGTGAGCCAAGATTGCATCATTGCTCTCCAGCCTGGGTGACAGAGAAAGACTCCATCTCAAAAAACCAATAAAACAAAACAAAACAAAATAAAAAAGCAAACTATAGGACCTGGGTCCTAGACATGAGGACTCTGGAATGTGGTCTTGCCTGCAGTAACCCTCAGATCCCTGGCACAGACTGGGGTAGATGTGGAGGGAGCGGCCATCCTTTACAATGGGCAGCCCCTCAAGGTCCTCCTCCCTCTTCTGTCCCCAGACCCGTGCCACGGCGTGACATGCCGGCCACAGGAGACATGCAAGGAGCAGGGTGGCCAGGGCGTGTGCCTGCCCAACTATGAGGCCACGTGCTGGCTGTGGGGCGACCCACACTACCACTCCTTCGATGGCCGGAAGTTTGACTTCCAGGGCACCTGTAACTATGTGCTGGCAACAACTGGCTGCCCGGGGGTCAGCACCCAGGGCCTGACACCCTTCACCGTCACCACCAAGAACCAGAACCGGGGCAACCCTGCTGTGTCCTACGTGAGAGTCGTCACCGTGGCTGCCCTCGGCACCAACATCTCCATCCACAAGGACGAGATCGGCAAAGTCCGGGTATGTGTGGCAGGATGGTCCCCTGAGGTCCCCGGGAGGGCAGGAGGGATCCTGACGACCACAGTTAGCAGCTCAAGGCTCTTTGTCTTCACCTGGGCCTGAAACAAACTGTCAACAAAGAGAATAATTGCAACAAAAATGTCACCCTGTTACTGGGAATTAAATGAGCCTAGCCCCTGGCAAAGGGCTTTAACATAGGACCTCAGCATTTGCCTTTTTTATAGACCTGGGTTTCAATCCAGCCTCTCCTCCTTATGAGCTATGTGATGCTGGGCAGTTCACTTGGTAGGCCTCAGTTTCCTCATCTGTGAAGTGGGCATCGTATCAGGGCCTCCCCCACAGCAAGGCCGTGCATGTCACATGCTGAGCTCAGAGTCTAGTCCAGGTGAACAGTCGTTTGAGTGTCGGTGAGGGAAAAGTGAGAGGCCCAGAGACCAGGACATGGAGAGAAATACAGGGAGATCGGGCTAGGTGCGGTGGCTCACGCCTGTAATCCCAGCACTCTGGGAGACCGAGGCCGATGGATCATCTGAGGTCAGGAGTTCGAGACAAGCCTGGCTAACATGGTGAAATTCCGTCTCTACTAAAAATACAAAAATTAGCTGGGTGTGGTGATGCTCCTGAATTCTCAGCTACTCAGGACACTGAGGCAGGAGAATTGCTTGAACCTGGGAGGCAGAGGTTACAAGAGCCGAGACTGCAACACTGCACACAAGCCTCGGTGACATAGTGAGACTCCGTCTGAAAAATAAAAAAAGTAATCAAGAAAAAGAAATATAGGGAGATGGGGGAGAGGAATGGGCTATCCTTTCTGCCCAAGGAAATGGAGATGTAGCTTGATGGCAGCTCACATGGAGAGACTGAGTGATGCAGCAGAGTAGGCACTGAATAAATGATGGTGAGTGAGTGGAAGAGATGCACAAAGAATGAGGGAGGTAGGGAGGAAGGGAAAAGGGTGAGACAGAGACAGAGAGACAGAAAGAGAGAGAGAGAGACAGAGACAGAGAGAGAGAAGACCCAGAGGCATAGCCTTAGGTGAAGACAGGGGGAGAGAGACACAGAGAGAGAGACAGAGACAGGGGAGGGAGATAGAGATGAAGGGAGAAGATCTAGAAAAAGTAAAGTGAGGTTTCGTTCCCCAAGACCTGGGCTAGAACAACTGTCCACAGTGTGTCAGATGACAATCCAACTCTCGGGGGAAGGCCCTGGCCTCTCCCAGCCCCCGGTGGGATGAGAGAGAGGGAGGCAGAGGGCCAGAGCTGGGGCCGTAAAACCTCCAGTGACCCGTTTGCCTTCCCTCCTTCCCCCAGGTGAACGGTGTGCTCACAGCCTTGCCTGTCTCTGTGGCCGACGGGCGGATTTCAGTGACCCAGGGTGCATCGAAGGCACTGCTGGTGGCTGACTTTGGACTGCAAGTCAGCTATGACTGGAACTGGCGGGTAGACGTGACGCTGCCCAGCAGCTATCATGGCGCAGTGTGCGGGCTCTGCGGTAACATGGACCGCAACCCCAACAATGACCAGGTCTTCCCTAATGGCACACTGGCTCCCTCCATACCCATCTGGGGCGGCAGCTGGCGAGCCCCAGGCTGGGACCCACTGTGTTGGGACGAATGTCGGGGGTCCTGCCCAACGTGCCCTGAGGACCGGTTGGAGCAGTACGAGGGCCCTGGCTTCTGCGGACCCCTGGCCCCCGGCACAGGGGGCCCTTTCACCACCTGCCATGCTCATGTGCCACCTGAGAGCTTCTTCAAGGGCTGTGTTCTGGACGTCTGCATGGGTGGTGGGGACCGTGACATTCTTTGCAAGGCTCTGGCTTCCTATGTGGCCGCCTGCCAGGCTGCTGGGGTTGTCATCGAAGACTGGCGGGCACAGGTTGGCTGTGGTGAGTGTTGGGGGAGCAGAGGCGGGGCTGGGGGCGGGGTCCCATCTCTTCGGGGCTGGTTTGGTTTCACTCTGGTCCTTCTGGGTCTCTTTGTTTTCTTTTTTCTCTGTTTGTCTCTCTGTTTCTTGGTGCTCGTCTCTGGGCCTCGCTTTGCTTGTCTCTATCTGTCTGTTTCTCATTCTCTAGCTCCCTCAGTTTCTGCTTGGGTCTCCTGGTGTCTCGCTTTCTCCCATTTCTTTCTCTGTGTCCTCTCTCTGTGTCTTGTTTTCTGTCTCCCCCTTTCTCTGTCTGCTCCCTAGTGTCTCTCTCTGTCTCCTCCCACCCTGTTCTGGGACCCCACCCCTAACACCCTTCTTTCTGTTTCTCTCCTTCCTGCTCCTTCATCTGCCCACAGAGATCACCTGCCCAGAAAACAGCCACTATGAGGTCTGTGGCTCACCCTGCCCGGCCAGCTGTCCGTCCCCTGCACCCCTTACGACGCCAGCCGTATGTGAGGGCCCCTGTGTGGAGGGCTGCCAGTGCGACGCGGGTTTCGTGTTAAGTGCTGACCGCTGTGTTCCCCTCAACAACGGCTGCGGCTGCTGGGCCAATGGCACCTACCACGAGGCGGGCAGTGAGTTTTGGGCTGATGGCACCTGCTCCCAGTGGTGTCGCTGCGGGCCTGGGGGTGGCTCGCTGGTCTGCACACCTGCCAGCTGTGGGCTGGGTGAAGTGTGTGGCCTCCTGCCATCCGGCCAGCACGGCTGCCAGCCCGTCAGCACAGCTGAGTGCCAGGCGTGGGGTGACCCCCATTACGTCACTCTGGATGGGCACCGATTCAATTTCCAAGGCACCTGCGAGTACCTGCTGAGTGCACCCTGCCACGGACCACCCTTGGGGGCTGAGAACTTCACTGTCACTGTAGCCAATGAGCACCGGGGCAGCCAGGCTGTCAGCTACACCCGCAGTGTCACCCTGCAAATCTACAACCACAGCCTGACACTGAGTGCCCGCTGGCCCCGGAAGCTACAGGTGAGGAGGGCTGTGGGCCAGACAGGAGCAAGTGCCAGCTCTGGGGTTGCCTGAGATGGTAAGGGCTTCACCATTCCCCTGGGCACCTTTCACAGCTTAGCTGGGGCATGATGGAAGGGTCAGAGTGTACGCCTAGGAGCCTGACGGCTTGGCACAGCAGCTTCTTCCTCTGTGAGCCTAGTGTATTCCTCTGTAAACTGGTCTAGGAAAAGTACCTGTTTTCGAGAAGGATAAGGAGTCAGTGACATGAGCCAGTAGAGGCTCTTTGTTTTTCTTTTCTTTTTTTCTTTCTTGCTTTTCTTTCTTTCTTTCTTTCTTTCTTTTCTTAGCCTGACTCTGTTGCCCAGGCTGGAGTGCAGTGACAGGATTAGGGCTCACTGCAGCCTGGAACTCGTGGGCTGAATCGATCCTCCCGCCTTGGCCTCCACCTCCCAAGTATCTGTGACTAAAGGCACACGCCACCACGCTGGCTAATTTTTCATTTTTTTGTAGAGATGGGGGTCTCACTATGTTGCCCAGGCTGATCTGAACTTCTGGCGTCAAGCGATCCTCCCATCTCGGCCTTCCAAAGTCCTGGGATTGCAGGCTTTGCCACCAGGCCCGGCCTATAGATGCTCATTATTATTTTCAGCGGGAGGTGACATGCTCTGGGTCCCACAGCTAGTAGGTAGTGGGGCCAGGATTCAAACCCGTGTTTGCTCCGTTCACCGCTCCCCCACTGCCCACAGGTGGACGGCGTGTTCGTCACTCTGCCCTTCCAGCTGGACTCGCTCCTGCACGCACACCTGAGCGGCGCCGACGTGGTGGTGACCACAACCTCAGGGCTCTCGCTGGCTTTCGACGGGGACAGCTTCGTGCGCCTGCGCGTGCCGGCGGCGTACGCGGGCTCTCTCTGTGGCTTATGCGGGAACTACAACCAGGACCCCGCAGACGACCTGAAGGCGGTGGGCGGGAAGCCCGCCGGATGGCAGGTGGGCGGCGCCCAGGGCTGCGGGGAATGTGTGTCCAAGCCATGCCCGTCGCCGTGCACCCCAGAGCAGCAAGAGTCCTTCGGCGGCCCGGACGCCTGCGGCGTGATCTCCGCCACCGACGGCCCGCTGGCGCCCTGCCACGGCCTTGTGCCGCCCGCGCAGTACTTCCAGGGCTGCTTGCTGGACGCCTGCCAAGTTCAGGGCCATCCTGGAGGCCTCTGTCCTGCAGTGGCCACCTACGTGGCAGCCTGTCAGGCCGCTGGGGCCCAGCTCCGCGAGTGGAGGCGGCCGGACTTCTGTCGTGAGTACTGCTCCATGCATGGTCCACATAGTAGGGTCTCTCCCTGCCCTTCCCAGGACTGTAGGACAGCAGCCCCTTCCTCCTCCATGAGGCTGAGGGGCCACCTTCCTTCCCGAGCTCGGTATCTACTGTCAGGAAACACCTTGGCACTGACACACTGAAATGCCCCAAGTCAGGTACTGCAGTGAGAGAGAGTCCGTTAGAAACACCTAGTCAGAGTGTGGGCGCGGTGGCTCACGCCTGTAATCCCAGCAATTTGGGAGGCCGAGGCGGGCGGATCACCTGAGGTCAGGAGGTCGAGACTAGCCCGGCCAACATGGTGAAACCCCACCTCTACTAAAACTACAAAAATTATCCGGGCGTGGTGGCGGGCACCTGTAATCTCAGCTACTCAGGAGGCTGAGGCAGGAGAATCACTTGAACCCAGGAGGCAGAGGTTGCAGTGAGCCGAGATCGTGCCACTGCCCTTCAGCCTGGGTGACAGAGATTCCATCTCCAAAACAAAAAACAAACAAACAACAAACAACAGAAAAAAAAAAAGAAAGAAAAGAAACCTGGGGTCCAGGACACTCTTAGGGATTGGTGATCCATGCTTTCAGGTATCCAAGGCATGTAGATTGGGATGGCTGACCCTGCCTCTGTCACATAGCAAAGTACCCCTTGTTAGGAAGACCTAGTGAGTTTCAGCTGGTCAGAGGGCCCAGGTCTGTTGCACACACTGAAATACACCTAGTCACATGGAATTAGTCGCATACCTTCAGTGATATCTGCTTAAATTTTATACTGACTGGTCAGATACACTCAGAAAGAAACAGGATCCTGGCATAGCCTTGGGCAGATCCACACAGATGCATGGTTAGATAGTCCTAGGCGGTTCCCTTCAGGCAGGTCTCCTGGTCACAGGTATCCTGCCAACTTCACCCAGGCACACCCTTAGGCAGACCATGTCAGAAGGACTCTGGGAGATGCTGCATGTCAGACACCCACAGCTGGGTGCCCTCAGGCAGAGCCATACCCTGAGATACATGTGGCCCCACACCCCAGTCACATTCACACGCTGAGATGCCCATAGTCAGTTCTGATCCTGCATACCCCGAATAGATATAAGTGATCCATTTCACCCAGGTAAGCCTGGCTTACATAGTGAGACCCCATCTCTACACAAAATAATAATAAATCAGCCAGATGTGGTGGCTTACTCCTGTAGTCCCAGCTAATCGGGAGGCTGAGGCCAGAGGATTGCTTGAGGTTTAGGTGGAGGCTGCAGCGAGCTGTGATTGCGCCTCTGCACTCCAGCCTGGGTGAGATAGAGTGAGAGCCTGTCTCAAAAAAAAAAAAAAAAAAAAATCAGCCAAGCAGAGTCATTTGATCTTCAGAAATATTTGGTCAGAGAGACCTGGGCATGTCCCCTCCCATTCCAGGTCCCACGCTGAGTCCCCCAGTTAGATGTCCTGGATCACATGTGCCTACCCAGAGACGCCCAAGTTGGCCTGAGCAGTTTTCCCACTCAGGGCCTCCCAAGACTGCGACTCAAACACCTACCTGGCTGATGCCCACCTTGTCCCCACAGCCTTCCAGTGCCCTGCCCACAGCCACTACGAGCTCTGCGGTGACTCCTGTCCTGGGAGCTGCCCGAGCCTGTCGGCACCCGAGGGCTGTGAGTCGGCCTGCCGTGAAGGCTGTGTCTGCGATGCTGGCTTCGTGCTCAGTGGTGACACGTGTGTACCTGTGGGCCAGTGTGGCTGCCTCCACGATGACCGCTACTACCCACTGGGCCAGACCTTCTACCCTGGCCCTGGGTGTGATTCCCTTTGCCGCTGCCGGGAGGGCGGTGAGGTGTCCTGTGAGCCCTCCAGCTGCGGCCCGCATGAGACCTGCCGGCCATCCGGTGGCAGCTTGGGCTGCGTGGCCGTGGGCTCTACCACCTGCCAGGCGTCGGGAGATCCCCACTACACCACCTTCGATGGCCGCCGCTTCGACTTCATGGGCACCTGCGTGTATGTGCTGGCTCAGACCTGCGGCACCCGGCCTGGCCTACATCGGTTTGCCGTCCTGCAGGAGAACGTGGCCTGGGGTAATGGGCGAGTCAGTGTGACCAGGGTGATCACGGTCCAGGTGGCAAACTTCACCCTGCGGCTGGAGCAGAGACAGTGGAAGGTCACGGTGAGAGCAGATGGGGAGCAGGGGGCGAGGGGCCTGTGGGTAGGTGGGGCACAGGCAGCGCTCAGCCCAGGAGTTGGGGGCACAAGAGATGAGAGTGCATGTGCGAGGCCTGGGGTCTCTGAGGACAGAAGATGCCAGTCAGAACCGAGTGGGAAGCCAATGAGGGAGGTGTCATCAGGGACTTGGGAGCTGCTCCCCCATCTCTGTCCCTCAGTCTCCACCCTCTCTTTACCTCCATGCATTGACTTTTCTCTCCAAATTTCTCCCACCCTCTCCTCCCTCCCACTCCATCCTCTCTCCACCTCAGTCCTGGATTCTGCCCTACTCACCTCCCTAGTCTGCCACTTATTGGCAGGACGTGGTGCCATCAGAGGTTGAGAAAGTCCGAGTTTGGAGAAGCTTCATGGACAGAGGACAATCTGTGGGTGACACTCTCACCGCCTTAACAACAACAACAGCAGCTATAGTTTCTATACAGCTGACTGCACACCTTTTGGCTGCCAGGCACTTCACGTCCATGGTGTCTGTATGCTTGCAACAGGGACTGCAGGCACTATGACTTGCTTTATTTTTCAGAGTGGGATGGCCCATCACTGGCCCATAGTCCCCCAGCAAAGGTGGAGCTTGAACCCCGTGCTGCTCTGCAGTGCTTTTCTTACTGAGAAGATTTGGTCTCATGTGGAGACTGGCATCTGAGTTACAGTGGAGGGGTTTCCCCTGAGATCCCACTGAAACAGACACGCAGCTGTTTTTCTAGTGGCAGTATTGGCGAAGGTGCTGATCAATTACTGACTTAATCTGGCGAACTGGACAGGCGTGACTTTTTTTTTTTTTTTTTGGCACAGAGTCTGGCTTTGTCACCCAGGCTGGAGTGCAGTGGCGCGATCTCGGCTCACTGCAACCTCTGCCTCCCTGGTTCAAGTGATTCTCCTGCCTCAGCCTCCAGAGTAGCTGGGATTACAGGTGTGCAACACTATGCCCAGGAAATTTTTGTATTTTTAGTGGGGACGGGTTTCACCATGTTGGCCAGTCTGGTCTCCAACTCCTGAGCTCAGTGATCTGCCGGCCTCAGCCTCCCAAAGTGCTGGGAATAGAGGCATGAGCCACTGTGCCCGGCCGACATGCAGGACTTAATTGAATATATTCCCTAATGTTTCCCAAGCTCCTAGAATAGCCCCTGACATACAGCGCCTAAATACACAGGAGTTGTTGATGTTCTTGTTAGTTGCTTCTTACTGAAACCCCCAGCTTCCCTACAGATGTGGGAGCTCTTATTACCCCGCAGTTTACAGCTGAGGAAACTGAGGCAAGGCTAAGTCAGTTGCCCTTACCCACCGCCCAGCCCTGCTTGGGAAGTGTGGCAGTTGACCATCTTTTTAGGAGACTCAGCCAGGAGCATGTCTTTCTCCTGCCTTCTCCTCTGATTCTTCACATTTCCAAAAGAATCCGGTGTGCACTGTCTGTGATAAGGAAGGGTAAGAAAGCATGTTAATCAGGGGTTGATGTATTTATTTATTTTTTAGAGACAGGGTCTCGCTCTATCACCAAGGCTGGAGTGCAGTGGTGTGATCCTAGCTCACTGCAGCCTCAAACTCCTGCTCTCAAGCAATCCTACCACTTCAGCCTCCTGAGTGGCTGGGAGTACAGGCATGCACCACCATGCCCAGTTAATTTGTTTTCTTTTTTATTTTGTAGAGACAGGATCTCGATATATTGCTTAGGCTGACCTTGAACTCCTGGGCTCAAGTGATCTTCCCGCCTTGGCCTCTCAAAGTGCTGGGATTATAGACATGAGCCACTGTGCCCTGTCCAGGGGTGGATTTACCAGGCTTTGTTGGAGCCTAGTAAATCTTTAACTGAAACCACTGGTCCTCAGCTCATAGGTTTAAGTTCATTTCCCCAAGAATTTAGCCTAACTTTCCACTCGCTGATGCTTTAAAGCAAAAACCTGTGGTTCTGTTTACTCTTCAGAAGAAAAACCTCCACTCATAGCTGCTAATAACAGCAAATGCTCCTGAAGCATGCATGCTATGCCAGCCACGTTTCTCAGCACTTTACAGATACTAATTTATGTGATCCTGACAACAGTTCCATGGGGCAAACGCCTTATTCCCACTTGATAGATGAGGAAACAGAAACAGGGAGAGGTGACTCACTTGCCCAAGGTCACAAAGAGGGTAAGGGGGAAACTGTTTGAACTGGGGCAAGTGGCTCCGGGGGCGATCATTGCTTATTAATGGCTGCAGCAAGCGGTAAACAAAGGATAGCTGGAGGCTTGTTACTTCATCGAGACCTGTATTCGTTTCCCATGGCTGCCATAACAAATTACCACGAGCTTGGTGGCTTAAAACACTAGAAATGTATGTTCCACAGTCCTGGGTGCCAGAAGTTCAACATCAAGGTGTGGGCAGGGCTGCACCCCCTCCAAAGACACTGGTTGGGGGATCTTCCTTTCCCTTTCCAGCTCTGCAGACTCCAGGTTCTCTGGGCTTGTGACAACACCATTCTAATCCCTGCCTTCATCTTCATGTGGCCTTTTCTGTGTGTCTCTTTGCCTTTTTCTTTCTGGCTCTTATAAGGATACTAGTCATTGGATTTAAGGCCCAATTTAATCCAGGATAATCTCATGTTGAGATTATTACCCTGATTACATCTGCAAAGAACTTTATTCCGAGTAAGCTCACGCTATGGGATTCTGGGTGAATATGTCTTTTGGGGACCACCATTCAATCTACTATCAGGCCCTGTTATTATATCCATTTAATAAATAGGAAACTGAGGGCCTAAGGGGTGAGGTCACAAAGATCAGCATCAGGCATGGGCTTGAACTAGGGTCCCACCCTCACTCAAAGTATACTTTCTGAAGCGTGGCCTGCCTCTCTTCCCCTCCCAGGTGAACGGTGTGGACATGAAGCTGCCCGTGGTGCTGGCCAACGGCCAGATCCGTGCCTCCCAGCATGGTTCAGATGTTGTGATTGAGACCGACTTCGGCCTGCGTGTGGCCTACGACCTTGTGTACTATGTGCGGGTCACCGTCCCTGGAAACTACTACCAGCTGATGTGTGGCCTGTGTGGGAACTACAACGGCGACCCCAAGGATGACTTCCAGAAGCCCAATGGCTCGCAGGCAGGCAACGCCAATGAGTTCGGCAACTCCTGGGAGGAGGTGGTGCCCGACTCTCCCTGCCTGCCGCCGCCCACCTGCCCGCCGGGGAGCGAGGGCTGTATCCCCAGCGAGGAGTGTCCTCCCGAGCTGGAGAAGAAGTATCAGAAGGAGGAGTTCTGTGGGCTCCTCTCCAGCCCCACAGGGCCACTGTCCTCTTGCCACAAGCTGGTGGATCCCCAGGGTCCCTTGAAAGATTGCATCTTTGATCTCTGCCTGGGTGGTGGGAACCTGAGCATTCTCTGCAGCAACATCCATGCCTACGTGAGTGCTTGCCAGGCAGCTGGAGGCCAGGTGGAGCCCTGGAGGAATGAAACTTTCTGTCGTGAGTGAGGGAGAGCCGGAGGGGCAGGGAGGGGAGAGCTTGAGGCACAGAAGGGGTAGACCCTGGGCCTTGCAGCCCCTCCCTCCCCAGGGCTCTGATCGGCACCCCCTCCTTGCAGCCATGGAATGCCCTCAGAACAGTCACTACGAGCTCTGTGCGGACACCTGCTCCCTGGGCTGCTCGGCTCTCAGTGCCCCTCTGCAGTGCCCAGATGGGTGTGCTGAGGGCTGCCAGTGTGACTCCGGCTTCCTCTACAACGGCCAAGCCTGCGTGCCCATCCAGCAATGTGGCTGCTACCACAATGGTGCCTACTATGAGGTAGGAACCTAGTCATCTGGGGCAGAATATGGGGTCTCACCCCTCCCACTGCTCATCAGCCCCACGGCCTGTCTACTTAGCCTCTTATTTATTTCTTTTAGAGTCAGGGTCTCACTCTTGTCACCCAGACTGGAGTGCAGTGGTACCATCATAGTTCACTGCAGCCCCAAATTCCTTGGCTCAAGCAATCCTTCACCTCACCTCCCAAGTACCTGGGACTATAGGTGCGCACCACCAAGCCCAGCGAATTTTTAATTTTCCTGTGGACACATAGAGATGGGGGCGTCTCACTATGTTGCTCAGGCTGGTCGTGAACTCCAGGCCTCAAGCCATCGTCCCCCCTTGGCCACCCAAAGTGCTGGGATTAATGGCATGAGCCACCATGCCCGACCCACTGAGCCTCTTTTTTTTTTTTTTTTTAAAGATATAGTCTTGCTCTGTTGCCCAGGCTGGAGTGCAACCTCTGCCTCTCGGGTTCAAGCTCACTGCAACCTCAGCATCCCAGGTTGAAGCAATTCTCTTGTCTCAGCCTCCCGAGTAGCTAGGAGTACAGGCACGTGCCACCACACTCGGTTAATTTTTTGTATTTTGGTAGAGGTGGAGTTTTGCCATATTGGCCAGGCTGCTCTCGAACTCCTGACTTCAAGTGATCCTCCTGCCTTGGCCTCCCAAAGTGCGAGCATTACAGGCGTGAGCCACCACAGCTAGTCCACTCAGTCTCTTCAGTGTCTCTTGTACCCACTCCTTTCCCCGTCCCCATGGCCCTCCCTTGGTCCAGCTGGTCCTCTCCCACCTGGGTCCCTCCCAGCTCCTACCTTTGCTCCCTCTGGTCCACCCTCCACGTGGCAGTGGTAAAGAGCTTTCTAAATATGACCACGGGCTCTGAAGCTTTAAACCCTCCCCTGACTCCCCAGGTCAAGTTGTGGCTTTGCCTTCCAGGTCTGGACGAAGGGAGCCTTTCTGACCACAAAGACAAGATTTTCATGTGTTATACCAGCTGCTAACACCCTCTACTTCCCTCTCCCACTCTGTCCCCATTGGTCCTTTTTCTTTGACTGGAGCATGTGTTTGTCTAATGTCCATCTCCCTTGGGGACTGTGAGCTCTCCTAGGGGTGGAACCCTCTCTCTGTTGTTCTCCTCACATAAATAATATTAATAATAACAGAAAATGTGTAGATAGTGCTTACTATGTATCTGGTACCGTTTTAAGTGCTATGTGTGCATATTTTTATATATGCATTACATATCTAAAAACTTTTTATTCTGAAAACGTTCAAACATGCAAAAATTAAGAGAATAGTGGAATGACTGTCCATGTACTTACCCATCACTTAGCTTCAAAAATAAGCCATATTCTCCCGATCTTGTTTGATGTCTACCCCACGTATCTCTCCTATCTGAATGTTTTAAAGGAAACCCTTTTCTGTTTTTGTTTTTTTTTTCCCTTGAGTTGGAGTCTCGCTCTGTCACTCAGGCTGGAGTGCAGTGGCGCAGTTTTGCCTCACTGCAAGCTCCGCCTCCCGAGTTCACACCATTCTCCTGCCTCAGCCTCCCGAGTAGCTGGGACTATAGGCGCCCGCCACCACGCCCGACTAATTTTTTGTATTTTTAGTAGAGACGGGGTTTCACCGTGTTAGCCAGGATGGTCTCAATCTTCTGACCTCGTGATCCACCCGCCTCGGCTTCCCAAAGTGCTGGGATTACAAGCATGTGCCACCGCGCCCGGCCTACCCTTTTCATTTTATCTGAATTTTACATGTCTGAATATAACTTGGTTATTATCTGAATATAACTCAGTTATATTTCCAAAGGCAGGCGCTACTATCATCTGCAATCTGCAGATCATGAAACTGAGCCATAAAGAGGTGAAGTAACTGCCCAGAGTCACACACTTTGGAAACAGCAGAAATGGGCTCCAAGCCCAGGCGATCTGCCCTTAGTTACTGTGTCACACCATTTCTCCTACAGCAGACGTTGAGTGGATATTTTGGAATGAATGAGTAAATGAAGAAAAGTGAATGAACCAATGAATGATGGCCCCAAAGCCATGCTGTGCCTCATCTTCACAGACAACGGGCCATCCTGCTGAGAGATGTCCCTTGTCTGTGATGTCTGCCAAACCCCTCTGTGCCAGAACGCCAGAGATGTGAGAGTCGGCTCCCACCCGTGGTGTCCCTGATGGCCGTTCCCTCTCTCCCCACAGCCGGAGCAGACAGTCCTCATTGACAACTGTCGGCAGCAGTGCACGTGCCATGTGGGTAAAGTCGTGGTGTGCCAGGAACACAGCTGCAAGCCGGGGCAGGTGTGCCAGCCCTCCGGAGGCATCCTGAGCTGCGTCAACAAAGGTGCTGGGCTGGGCTGGGCTGGGACTGGGGCTGATGGGACTAGGGATGGAGGATGGGGACTCTGGGGCTGCGGGTAGTGTAACTGGGGTGTCCATGGCGGGAGGTGCACAGGACTAATGATTGAGGTTGCAGACCTGGGGAACCCTAGACCAGGTTTCACAGGGCCAGGGCCACCTACTTTGGGAGGTAGGGACCCTTAGGGAAAATCCAGGCTGTGGGGACCCTCAGAGGTAGTTTTCTCAGGGTGGATGTCAGAGACCCTCGGTATAAGGCAGGGACAGGCGCGCCTTTGCTCTAATGTGCTACATGGTAAATGTTTAAGCTCGCAGGCTGTAGGTTCTCGTTCCAGCTACTCACTCTGCCACTGTGGCATGAAAGCAGCCGTAGACTATGTAAGTGAAGAGGTCAGGTTCCTATAAGACTTTAGAATACAAGAGCAGCAGCCTAGGGTTCCATCATGAGCGGAACACTGATGTGTGGGATCGGGCTTGGGGTTCAGACACTAGCACCAAAGGGCAGGGGAGAGACTGGGATCCCAGGGGCAGGGACAGAGAGCAGAGTTCTGAGTCTCACGCACGGAGACCTCACCAAGGCAGGACATTGGATATGGGGACCCCTCTTAACTGGAAGATCAGGATTTCTAGGGGTATAGTCTCTGATGTGGGAATCCCCCAGACTTTACAAATAAATAAATAAACATAAATAAGAAACGGTAAAGAGAGCACTAAAGAATACCACCAAAGCACACACAGGAAGTAGCCGCCACTCTAGGGCTAAGGTAAAAGCCTCATGGAAGGGAGAAATTGGCCCCTTCTCTTCAAGGAGGGGAGAATCAGCCCCAAGGCTGAGTCCAGTCTCACTGCAGCTGTAGCCCACTGGGTGGCACAGAGGTTTCTGCAGGCTGGACTTGGCAAGAAGGGAACCCCTCACTGGGAAGCCAGCTGCGGCCAGTGGCACTCGCTGAATGTGGCCCCGCACCCTGGCCAGAGCTGGAAGGACCAAACTGGCTAGAAGCCAGAACAGGAGCCCCTCCCTCCTTCAGTGACTCTCCAGCGCCCTCTGTTGACAAAGCTTAACTCCGCGGGTGTATTTGAAGCTGAGAGGCGGTACATAGATAATGGACACAGGAGGAAGGAGACGTTTGAAGGCTGGCCTCTCCCACACAGGGGTTCCGCAAGCTGGGGTCACAGATGTAGTAACTGTACGAACAGGGTCTCGGACACAGAAACCCCCCAGGACAGGGCCTCAGCAGTGAGACACGATCAAGGCTACTGTCTTGAATACAGCAACCCTCAGGGATGGAGTCTTGCACTGAGGGAGCCCAGCCCATGAGACTTAGCTAGTTAGGGTCTCAAACATTTCAAATCCTGCTGAGACCCTGGCACTGGGCTCTTGCCAGAAGATCACCCCAGGGCCCTAGTCTTGGGCACAGAGGCCTCCAGGACCTAGAGAAATTGGAGACCAATTTCTATCAAATGTGGAGATGTCCAGGGGGCTGAGGTCTCAGGCATGGGGGACCCTGAGACCTAGATCTTTTTTTTTTTTTTGAGCTAAGGTCTCACTCTGTGGCCCAGGCTAGAGTGTAGTGTAGCTTACTGCAGCCTCGATTTCCTGGGCTCAAACAATCCTCCCGCCTCAGCCTCCCGAGTAGTGGGGGACTACAGGCACACACCACCACGCCTGGCTAATTTATTAATCTTTCTGTAGAAATGGGGTCTTACTATGTTGCCCAGGCTAGTCTCAAACTCCAGGGCTCAAGCTATCCTCCCACCTCAGCCTCTTAAAGTGCTGGGATTACAGGCCTGAGCCACCACACCTGGCCTGGGGCCCAGGTCTTGAACACAGAGAACCCTGGGGCTGGGATCTCAGACATGGATGCTCTCAGGGCTGGCATCGCAGACACAAGGACCCCTGGGGCACAGATCTCAACTGGGGTCAAGTGCACCTTTTCTCTAAAGGGCTAGATGGTAAGTGTTTAAGCTTGCAGGCTATACCTTCTGGATCACAACTACTCACTCTGCCACTGTGGTGTGAAAGCAGCCGTAGCCTATGTAAGTGAAGACGGTGAGGTTCCTATAAAACTTAAAATACAAGAACAGGGTGAAATCTCAAGCAAGGGCACCATGGAAAGTGCACCTTAAACACAGACCCAGAGCCTTGGTCTTTACCTTGGTCTTAGGTGCGTGGACTCCAGGATCTCAGTCTCACACAGCAAATGGCAGGGCCTCAGTCTCAGAAGTAGGGGAACTCTAGGTACTGGGTCTTGGCTGTACAGACCTCTGGGGCCCAGGTCTCAGGTATGGGACCTTTGACAGCCGAGACTTAGACACAGTCCCCCATGGGGCCTCAGTGTCAGCTGTGTGGGACTCCCAGGGGCTGGTCTTGAAAATAGCAGGCTGGGCATGATGGCTCATGCCTGTAATCCCAACACTCTGGGAGGCCAAGGTTGGCTGATCACTTGATGTCAGGAGCCCGAGACCAGCCTGGCCAACATGGTGAAACCCTGTCTCTACTAAAAATACAAAAATCAGCCAAGCATGCTGGTGGGCACCTATAATCCCAGCCACTCAGGAGGCTGAGTCAGGAGAATCACTGGAGCCCAGGAGGCAGAGGTTGCAGTGAGCCGAGATTGTACCATTGCTCTCCAGCCTGGGTGACAGAGAAAGACTCCATCTCAAAAAAACAACAAAACAAAAGAAAATGTAAAAGCAAACTATAGGAAGTGGGTCCTAGACATGAGGACTCTGTAATGTGGTCTTGCCTGCAGTAACCCTCAGATCCCTGGCACAGACTGGGTAGATGTGGAGGGAGCGGCCATGCTTTACAATGGGCAGCCCCTCAAGGTCCTCCTCCCTCTTCTGTCCCCAGACCCGTGCCACGGCGTGACATGCCGGCCACAGGAGACATGCAAGGAGCAGGGTGGCCAGGGCGTGTGCCTGCCCAACTATGAGGCCACGTGCTGGCTGTGGGGCGACCCACACTACCACTCCTTCGATGGCCGGAAGTTTGACTTCCAGGGCACCTGTAACTATGTGCTGGCAACAACTGGCTGCCCGGGGGTCAGCACCCAGGGCCTGACACCCTTCACCGTCACCACCAAGAACCAGAACCGGGGCAACCCTGCTGTGTCCTACGTGAGAGTCGTCACCGTGGCTGCCCTCGGCACCAACATCTCCATCCACAAGGACGAGATCGGCAAAGTCCGGGTATGTGTGGCAGGATGGTCCCCTGAGGTCCCCGGGAGGGCAGGAGGGATCCTGACGACCACAGTTAGCAGCTCAAGGCTCTTTGTCTTCACCTGGGCCTGAAACAAACTGTCAACAAAGAGAATAATTGCAACAAAAATATCACCCTGTTACTGGGAATTAAATGAGCCTAGCCCCTGGCAAAGGGCTTTAACATAGGACCTCAGCATTTGCCTTTTTTATAGACCTGGGTTTCAATCCAGCCTCTCCTCCTTATGAGCTATGTGATGCTGGGCAGTTCACTTGGTAGGCCTCAGTTTCCTCATCTGTGAAGTGGGCATCGTATCAGGGCCTCCCCCACAGCAAGGCCGTGCATGTCACATGCTGAGCTCAGAGTCTAGTCCAGGTGAACAGTCGTTTGAGTGTCGGTGAGGGAAAAGTGAGAGGCCCAGAGACCAGGACATGGAGAGAAATACAGGGAGACTGGGCTGGGCCCGGTGGCTCACGCCTGTAATCCCAGCACTCTGGGAGACCGAGGCCGATGGATCATCTGAGGTCAGGAGTTCGAGACAAGCCTGGCTAACATGGTGAAATTCCGTCTCTACTAAAAATACAAAAATTAGCTGGGTGTGGTGATGCTCCTGAATTCTCAGCTACTCAGGACACTGAGGCAGGAGAATTGCTTGAACCTGGGAGGCAGAGGTTACAAGAGCCGAGACTGCAACACTGCACACAAGCCTCGGTGACATAGTGAGACTCCGTCTGAAAAATAAAAAAAGTAATCAAGAAAAAGAAATATAGGGAGATGGGGGAGAGGAATGGGCTATCCTTTCTGCCCAAGGAAATGGAGATGTAGCTTGATGGCAGCTCACATGGAGAGACTGAGGGATGCAGCAGAGTAGGCACTGAATAAATGATGGTGAGTGAGTGGAAGAGATGCACAAAGAATGAGGGAGGTAGGGAGGAAGGGAAAAGGGTGAGACAGAGACAGAGAGACAGAAAGAGAGAGAGAGAGACAGAGACAGAGAGAGAGAAGACCCAGAGGCATAGCCTTAGGTGAAGACAGAGGGAGAGAGACACAGAGAGAGAGACAGAGACAGGGGAGGGAGATAGAGATGAAGGGAGAAGATCTAGAAAAAGTAAAGTGAGGTTTCGTTCCCCAAGACCTGGGCTAGAACAACTGTCCACAGTGTGTCAGATGACAATCCAACTCTCGGGGGAAGGCCCTGGCCTCTCCCAGCCCCCGGTGGGATGAGAGAGAGGGAGGCAGAGGGCCAGAGCTGGGGCCGTAAAACCTCCAGTGACCCGTTTGCCTTCCCTCCTTCCCCCAGGTGAACGGTGTGCTCACAGCCTTGCCTGTCTCTGTGGCCGACGGGCGGATTTCAGTGACCCAGGGTGCATCGAAGGCACTGCTGGTGGCTGACTTTGGACTGCAAGTCAGCTATGACTGGAACTGGCGGGTAGACGTGACGCTGCCCAGCAGCTATCATGGCGCAGTGTGCGGGCTCTGCGGTAACATGGACCGCAACCCCAACAATGACCAGGTCTTCCCTAATGGCACACTGGCTCCCTCCATACCCATCTGGGGCGGCAGCTGGCGAGCCCCAGGCTGGGACCCACTGTGTTGGGACGAATGTCGGGGGTCCTGCCCAACGTGCCCTGAGGACCGGTTGGAGCAGTACGAGGGCCCTGGCTTCTGCGGACCCCTGGCCCCCGGCACAGGGGGCCCTTTCACCACCTGCCATGCTCATGTGCCACCTGAGAGCTTCTTCAAGGGCTGTGTTCTGGACGTCTGCATGGGTGGTGGGGACCGTGACATTCTTTGCAAGGCTCTGGCTTCCTATGTGGCCGCCTGCCAGGCTGCTGGGGTTGTCATCGAAGACTGGCGGGCACAGGTTGGCTGTGGTGAGTGTTGGGGGAGCAGAGGCGGGGCTGGGGGCGGGGTCCCATCTCTTCGGGGCTGGTTTGGTTTCACTCTGGTCCTTCTGGGTCTCTTTGTTTTCTTTTTTCTCTGTTTGTCTCTCTGTTTCTTGGTGCTCGTCTCTGGGCCTCGCTTTGCTTGTCTCTATCTGTCTGTTTCTCATTCTCTAGCTCCCTCAGTTTCTGCTTGGGTCTCCTGGTGTCTCGCCCTCTCCCATTTCTTTCTCTGTGTCCTCTCTCTGTGTCTTGTTTTCTGTCTCCCCCTTTCTCTGTCTGCTCCCTAGTGTCTCTCTCTGTCTCCTCCCACCCTGTTCTGGGACCCCACCCCTAACACCCTTCTTTCTGTTTCTCTCCTTCCTGCTCCTTCATCTGCCCACAGAGATCACCTGCCCAGAAAACAGCCACTATGAGGTCTGTGGCCCACCCTGCCCGGCCAGCTGTCCGTCCCCTGCACCCCTTACGACGCCAGCCGTATGTGAGGGCCCCTGTGTGGAGGGCTGCCAGTGCGACGCGGGTTTCGTGTTAAGTGCTGACCGCTGTGTTCCCCTCAACAACGGCTGCGGCTGCTGGGCCAATGGCACCTACCACGAGGCGGGCAGTGAGTTTTGGGCTGATGGCACCTGCTCCCAGTGGTGTCGCTGCGGGCCTGGGGGTGGCTCGCTGGTCTGCACACCTGCCAGCTGTGGGCTGGGTGAAGTGTGTGGCCTCCTGCCATCCGGCCAGCACGGCTGCCAGCCCGTCAGCACAGCTGAGTGCCAGGCGTGGGGTGACCCCCATTACGTCACTCTGGATGGGCACCGATTCGATTTCCAAGGCACCTGCGAGTACCTGCTGAGTGCACCCTGCCACGGACCACCCTTGGGGGCTGAGAACTTCACTGTCACTGTAGCCAATGAGCACCGGGGCAGCCAGGCTGTCAGCTACACCCGCAGTGTCACCCTGCAAATCTACAACCACAGCCTGACACTGAGTGCCCGCTGGCCCCGGAAGCTACAGGTGAGGAGGGCTGTGGGCCAGACAGGAGCAAGTGCCAGCTCTGGGGTTGCCTGAGATGGTAAGGGCTTCACCATTCCCCTGGGCCCCTTTCACAGCTTAGCTGGGGCATGATGGAAGGGTCAGAGTGTACGCCTAGGAGCCTGATGGCTTGGCACAGCAGCTTCTTCCTCTGTGAGCCTAGTGTATTCCTCTGTAAACTGGTCTAGGAAAAGTACCTGTTTTCGAGAAGGATAAGGAGTCAGTGACATGAGCCAGTAGAGGCTCTTTGTTTTTCTTTTCTTTTTTTCTTTCTTGCTTTTCTTTCTTTCTTTCTTTCTTTTCTTAGCCTGACTCTGTTGCCCAGGCTGGAGCGCAGTGACAGGATTAGGGCTCACTGCAGCCTGGAACTCGTGGGCTGAATCGATCCTCCCGCCTTGGCCTCCACCTCCCAAGTATCTGTGACTAAAGGCACACGCCACCACGCTGGCTAATTTTTCATTTTTTTGTAGAGATGGGGGTCTCACTATGTTGCCCAGGCTGATCTGAACTTCTGGCGTCAAGCGATCCTCCCATCTCGGCCTTCCAAAGTCCTGGGATTGCAGGCTTTGCCACCAGGCCCGGCCTATAGATGCTCATTATTATTTTCAGCGGGAGGTGACATGCTCTGGGTCCCACAGCTAGTAGGTAGTGGGGCCAGGATTCAAACCCGTGTTTGCTCCGTTCACCGCTCCCCCACTGCCCACAGGTGGACGGCGTGTTCGTCACTCTGCCCTTCCAGCTGGACTCGCTCCTGCACGCACACCTGAGCGGCGCCGACGTGGTGGTGACCACAACCTCAGGGCTCTCGCTGGCTTTCGATGGGGACAGCTTCGTGCGCCTGCGCGTGCCGGCGGCGTACGCGGGCTCTCTCTGTGGCTTATGCGGGAACTACAACCAGGACCCCGCAGACGACCTGAAGGCGGTGGGCGGGAAGCCCGCCGGATGGCAGGTGGGCGGCGCCCAGGGCTGCGGGGAATGTGTGTCCAAGCCATGCCCGTCGCCGTGCACCCCAGAGCAGCAAGAGTCCTTCGGCGGCCCGGACGCCTGCGGCGTGATCTCCGCCACCGACGGCCCGCTGGCGCCCTGCCACGGCCTTGTGCCGCCCGCGCAGTACTTCCAGGGCTGCTTGCTGGACGCCTGCCAAGTTCAGGGCCATCCTGGAGGCCTCTGTCCTGCAGTGGCCACCTACGTGGCAGCCTGTCAGGCCGCTGGGGCCCAGCTCCGCGAGTGGAGGCGGCCGGACTTCTGTCGTGAGTACTGCTCCATGCATGGTCCACATGGTTGGGTCTCTCCCTGCCCTTCCCAGGACTGTAGGACAGCAGCCCCTTCCTCCTCCATGGGGCTCAGGGGCCACTTTCCTTCCCGAGCTCGGTATCTACTGTCAGGAAACACCTTGGCACTGACACACTGAAATGCCCCAAGTCAGGTACTGCAGTGAGAGAGAGTCAGTTAGAAACACCTAGTCAGAGTGTGGGCGCGGTGGCTCACGCCTGTAATCCCAGCAATTTGGGAGGCCGAGGCGGGCGGATCACCTGAGGTCAGGAGGTCGAGACTAGCCCGGCCAACATGGTGAAACCCCACCTCTACTAAAACTACAAAAATTATCCGGGCGTGGTGGCGGGCACCTGTAATCTCAGCTACTCAGGAGGCTGAGGCAGGAGAATCACTTGAACCCAGGAGGCAGAGGTTGCAGTGAGCCGAGATCGTGCCACTGCCCTTCAGCCTGGGTGACAGAGATTCCATCTCCAAAACAAAAAACAAACAAACAACAAACAACAGAAAAAAAAAAAGAAAGAAAAGAAACCTGGGGTCCAGGACACTCTTAGGGATTGGTGATCCATGCTTTCAGGTATCCAAGGCATGTAGATTGGGATGGCTGACCCTGCCTCTGTCACATAGCAAAGTACCCCTTGTTAGGAAGACCTAGTGAGTTTCAGCTGGTCAGAGGGCCCAGGTCTGTTGCACACACTGAAATACACCTAGTCACATGGAATTAGTCGCATACCTTCAGTGATATCTGCTTAAATTTTATACTGACTGGTCAGATACACTCAGAAAGAAACAGGATCCTGGCATAGCCTTGGGCAGATCCACACAGATGCATAGTTAGATAGTCCTAGGCGGTTCCCTTCAGGCAGGTCTCCTGGTCACAGGTATCCTGCCAACTTCACCCAGGCACAGCCTTAGGCAGACCATGTCAGAAGGACTCTGGGAGATGCTGCATGTCAGACACCCACAGCTGGGTGCCCTCAGGCAGAGCCATACCCTGAGATACATGTGGCCCCACACCCCAGTCACATTCACACGCTGAGATGCCCATAGTCAGTTCTGATCCTGCATACCCCGAATAGATATAAGTGATCCATTTCACCCAGGTAAGCCTGGCTTACATAGTGAGACCCCATCTCTACAGAAAATAATAATAAATCAGCCAGATGTGGTGGCTTACTCCTGTAGTCCCAGCTAATCGGGAGGCTGAGGCCAGAGGATTGCTTGAGGTTTAGGTGGAGGCTGCAGCGAGCTGTGATTGCGCCTCTGCACTCCAGCCTGGGTGAGATAGAGTGAGAGCCTGTCTCAAAAAAAAAAAAAAAAAAAATATCAGCCAAGCAGAGTCATTTGATCTTCAGAAATATTTGGTCAGAGAGACCTGGGCATGTCCCCTCCCATTCCAGGTCCCACGCTGAGTCCCCCAGTTAGATGTCCTGGATCACATGTGCATGCCCAGAGACGCCCAAGTTGGCCTGAGCAGTTTTCCCACTCAGGGCCTCCCAAGACTGCGACTCAAACACCTACCTGGCTGATGCCCACCTTGTCCCCACAGCCTTCCAGTGCCCTGCCCACAGCCACTACGAGCTCTGCGGTGACTCCTGTCCTGGGAGCTGCCCGAGCCTGTCGGCACCCGAGGGCTGTGAGTCGGCCTGCCGTGAAGGCTGTGTCTGCGATGCTGGCTTCGTGCTCAGTGGTGACACGTGTGTACCTGTGGGCCAGTGTGGCTGCCTCCACGATGACCGCTACTACCCACTGGGCCAGACCTTCTACCCTGGCCCTGGGTGTGATTCCCTTTGCCGCTGCCGGGAGGGCGGTGAGGTGTCCTGTGAGCCCTCCAGCTGCGGCCCGCATGAGACCTGCCGGCCATCCGGTGGCAGCTTGGGCTGCGTGGCCGTGGGCTCTACCACCTGCCAGGCGTCGGGAGATCCCCACTACACCACCTTCGATGGCCACCGCTTCGACTTCATGGGCACCTGCGTGTATGTGCTGGCTCAGACCTGCGGCACCCGGCCTGGCCTGCATCGGTTTGCCGTCCTGCAGGAGAACGTGGCCTGGGGTAATGGGCGAGTCAGTGTGACCAGGGTGATCACGGTCCAGGTGGCAAACTTCACCCTGCGGCTGGAGCAGAGACAGTGGAAGGTCACGGTGAGAGCAGATGGGGAGCAGGGGGCGAGGGGCCTGTGGGTAGGTGGGGCACAGGCAGCGCTCAGCCCAGGAGTTGGGGGCACAAGAGATGAGAGTGCATGTGCGAGGCCTGGGGTCTCTGAGGACAGAAGATGCCAGTCAGAACCGAGTGGGAAGCCAATGAGGGAGGTGTCATCAGGGACTTGGGAGCTGCTCCCCCATCTCTGTCCCTCAGTCTCCACCCTCTCTTTACCTCCATGCATTGACTTTTCTCTCCAAATTTCTCCCACCCTCTCCTCCCTCCCACTCCATCCTCTCTCCACCTCAGTCCTGGATTCTGCCCTACTCACCTCCCTAGTCTGCCACTTATTGGCAGGACGTGGTGCCATCAGAGGTTGAGAAAGTCCGAGTTTGAGAAGCTTCATGGACAGAGGACAATCTGTGGGTGACACTCTCACCGCCTTAACAACAACAACAGCAGCTATAGTTTCTATACAGCTGACTGCACACCTTTTGGCTGCCAGGCACTTCACGTCCATGGTGTCTGTATGCTTGCAACAGGGACTGCAGGCACTATGACTTGCTTTATTTTTCAGAGTGGGATGGCCCATCACTGGCCCATAGTCCCCCAGCAAAGGTGGAGCTTGAACCCCGTGCTGCTCTGCAGTGCTTTTCTTACTGAGAAGATTTGGTCTCATGTGGAGACTGGCATCTGAGTTACAGTGGAGGGGTTTCCCCTGAGATCCCACTGAAACAGACACGCAGCTGTTTTTCTAGTGGCAGTATTGGCGAAGGTGCTGATCAATTACTGACTTAATCTGGCGAACTGGACAGGCGTGACTTTTTTTTTTTTTTTTTTGGCACAGAGTCTGGCTTTGTCACCCAGGCTGGAGTGCAGTGGCGCGATCTCGGCTCACTGCAACCTCTGCCTCCCTGGTTCAAGTGATTCTCCTGCCTCAGCCTCCAGAGTAGCTGGGATTACAGGTGTGCAACACTATGCCCAGGAAATTTTTGTATTTTTAGTGGGGACGGGTTTCACCATGTTGGCCAGTCTGGTCTCCAACTCCTGAGCTCAGTGATCTGCCGGCCTCAGCCTCCCAAAGTGCTGGGAATAGAGGCATGAGCCACTGTGCCCGGCCGACATGCAGGACTTAATTGAATATATTCCCTAATGTTTCCCAAGCTCCTAGAATAGCCCCTGACATACAGCGCCTAAATACACAGGAGTTGTTGATGTTCTTGTTAGTTGCTTCTTACTGAAACCCCCAGCTTCCCTACAGATGTGGGAGCTCTTATTACCCCGCAGTTTACAGCTGAGGAAACTGAGGCAAGGCTAAGTCAGTTGCCCTTACCCACCGCCCAGCCCTGCTTGGGAAGTGTGGCAGTTGACCATCTTTTTAGGAGACTCAGCCAGGAGCATGTCTTTCTCCTGCCTTCTCCTCTGATTCTTCACATTTCCAAAAGAATCCGGTGTGCACTGTCTGTGATAAGGAAGGGTAAGAAAGCATGTTAATCAGGGGTTGATGTATTTATTTATTTTTTAGAGACAGGGTCTTGCTCTATCACCAAGGCTGGAGTGCAGTGGTGTGATCCTAGCTCACTGCAGCCTCAAACTCCTGCTCTCAAGCAATCCTACCACTTCAGCCTCCTGAGTGGCTGGGAGTACAGGCATGCACCACCATGCCCAGTTAATTTGTTTTCTTTTTTATTTTGTAGAGACAGGATCTCGATATATTGCTTAGGCTGACCTTGAACTCCTGGGCTCAAGTGATCTTCCCGCCTTGGCCTCTCAAAGTGCTGGGATTATAGACATGAGCCACTGTGCCCTGTCCAGGGGTGGATTTACCAGGCTTTGTTGGAGCCTAGTAAATCTTTAACTGAAACCACTGGTCCTCAGCTCATAGGTTTAAGTTCATTTCCCCAAGAATTTAGCCTAACTTTCCACTCGCTGATGCTTTAAAGCAAAAACCTGTGGTTCTGTTTACTCTTCAGAAGAAAAACTTCCACTCATAGCTGCTAATAACAGCAAATGCTCCTGAAGCATGCATGCTATGCCAGCCACGTTTCTCAGCACTTTACAGATACTAATTTATGTGATCCTGACAACAGTTCCATGGGGCAAACGCCTTATTCCCACTTGATAGATGAGGAAACAGAAACAGGGAGAGGTGACTCACTTGCCCAAGGTCACAAAGAGGGTAAGGGGGAAACTGTTTGAACTCGGGCAAGTGGCTCCGGGGGCGATCATTGCTTATTAATGGCTGCAGCAAGCGGTAAACAAAGGATAGCTGGAGGCTTGTTACTTCATCGAGACCTGTATTCGTTTCCCATGGCTGCCATAACAAATTACCACGAGCTTGGTGGCTTAAAACACTAGAAATGTATGTTCCACAGTCCTGGGTGCCAGAAGTTCAACATCAAGGTGTGGGCAGGGCTGCACCCCCTCCAAAGACACTGGTTGGGGGATCTTCCTTTCCCTTTCCAGCTCTGCAGACTCCAGGTTCTCTGGGCTTGTGACAACACCATTCTAATCCCTGCCTTCATCTTCATGTGGCCTTTTCTGTGTGTCTCTTTGCCTTTTTCTTTCTGGCTCTTATAAGGATACTAGTCATTGGATTTAAGGCCCAATTTAATCCAGGATAATCTCATGTTGAGATTATTACCCTGATTACATCTGCAAAGAACTTTATTCCGAGTAAGCTCACGCTATGGGATTCTGTGTGAATATGTCTTTTGGGGACCACCATTCAATCTACTATCAGGCCCTGTTATTATATCCATTTAATAAATAGGAAACTGAGGGCCTAAGAGGTGAGGTCACAAAGATCAGCATCAGGCATGGGCTTGAACTAGGGTCCCACCCTCACTCAAAGTATACTTTCTGAAGCGTGGCCTGCCTCTCTTCCCCTCCCAGGTGAACGGTGTGGACATGAAGCTGCCCGTGGTGCTGGCCAACGGCCAGATCCGTGCCTCCCAGCATGGTTCAGATGTTGTGATTGAGACCGACTTCGGCCTGCGTGTGGCCTACGACCTTGTGTACTATGTGCGGGTCACCGTCCCTGGAAACTACTACCAGCTGATGTGTGGCCTGTGTGGGAACTACAACGGCGACCCCAAGGATGACTTCCAGAAGCCCAATGGCTCGCAGGCAGGCAACGCCAATGAGTTCGGCAACTCCTGGGAGGAGGTGGTGCCCGACTCTCCCTGCCTGCCGCCGCCCACCTGCCCGCCGGGGAGCGCGGGCTGTATCCCCAGCGACAAGTGTCCTCCCGAGCTGGAGAAGAAGTATCAGAAGGAGGAGTTCTGTGGGCTCCTCTCCAGCCCCACAGGGCCACTGTCCTCCTGCCACAAGCTGGTGGATCCCCAGGGTCCCTTGAAAGATTGCATCTTTGATCTCTGCCTGGGTGGTGGGAACCTGAGCATTCTCTGCAGCAACATCCATGCCTACGTGAGTGCTTGCCAGGCGGCTGGAGGCC
Organism: Homo sapiens; assembly: GCF_000001405.40. NCBI lineage: Eukaryota > Metazoa > Chordata > Mammalia > Primates > Hominidae > Homo > Homo sapiens. The sequence goes on along the minus strand of NW_009646206.1, from coordinate 145,899 downwards.
ACGTGGAGCCCTGGAGGAATGAAACTTTCTGTCGTGAGTGAGGGAGAGCCGGAGGGGCAGGGAGGGGAGAGCTTGAGGCACAGAAGGGGTAGACCCTGGGCTTTGCAGCCCCTCCCTCCCCAGGGCTCTGATCGGCACCCCCTCCTTGCAGCCATGGAATGCCCTCAGAACAGTCACTACGAGCTCTGTGCGGACACCTGCTCCCTGGGCTGCTCGGCTCTCAGTGCCCCTCTGCAGTGCCCAGATGGGTGTGCTGAGGGCTGCCAGTGTGACTCCGGCTTCCTCTACAACGGCCAAGCCTGCGTGCCCATCCAGCAATGTGGCTGCTACCACAATGGTGTCTACTATGAGGTAGGAACCTAGTCATCTGGGGCAGAATATGGGGTCTCACCCCTCCCACTGTTCATCAGCCCCACGGCCTGTCTACTTAGCCTCTTATTTATTTCTTTTAGAGTCAGGGTCTCACTCTTGTCACCCAGGCTGGAGTGCAGTGGTACCATCATAGTTCACTGCAGCCCCAAATTCCTTGGCTCAAGCAATCCTTCACCTCACCTCCCAAGTACCTGGGACTATAGGTGCGCACCACCAAGCCCAGCGAATTTTTAATTTTCCTGTGGACACATAGAGATGGGGGCGTCTCACTATGTTGCTCAGGCTGGTCGTGAACTCCAGGCCTCAAGCCATCGTCCCGCCTTGGCCACCCAAAGTGCTGGGATTAATGGCATGAGCCACCATGCCCGACCCACTGAGCCTCTTTTTTTTTTTTTTTTAAAGATATAGTCTTGCTCTGTTGCCCAGGCTGGAGTGCAACCTCCGCCTCTCGGGTTCAAGCTCACTGCAACCTCAGCATCCCAGGTTGAAGCAATTCTCTTGTCTCGGCCTCCCGAGTAGCTAGGAGTACAGGCACGTGCCACCACACACGGTTAATTTTTTTGTATTTTGGTAGAGGTGGAGTTTTGCCATATTGGCCAGGCTGCTCTCGAACTCCTGACTTCAAGTGATCCTCCTGCCTTGGCCTCCCAAAGTGCGAGCATTACAGGCGGGAGCCACCACAGCTAGTCCACTCAGTCTCTTCAGTGTCTCTTGTACCCACTCCTTTCCCCGTCCCCATGGCCCTCCCTTGGTCCAGCTGGTCCTCTCCTACCTGGGTCCCTCCCAGCTCCTACCTCTGCTCCCTCTGGTCCACCCTCCACGTGGCAGTGGTAAAGATCTTTCTAAATATGACCACGGGCTCTGAAGCTTTAAACCCTCCCCTGACTCCCCAGGTCAAGTTGTGGCTTTGCCTTCCAGGTCTGGACGAAGGGAGCCTTTCTGACCACAAAGACAAGATTTCCATGTGTTATACCAGCTGCTAACACCCTCTACTTCCCTCTCCCACTCTGTCCCCGTAGGTCCTTTTTCTTTGACTGGAGCATGTGTTTGTCTAATGTCCATCTCCCTTGGGGACTGTGAGCTCTCCTAGGGGTGGAACCCTCTCTCTGTTGTTCTCCTCACATAAATAATATTAATAATAACAGAAAATGTGTAGATAGTGCTTACTATGTATCTGGTACCGTTTTAAGTGCTATGTGTGCATATTTTTATATATGCATTACATATCTAAAAACTTTTTATTCTGAAAACGTTCAAACATGCAAAAATTAAGAGAATAGTGGAATGACTGTCCATGTACTTACCCATCACTTAGCTTCAAAAATAAGCCATATTCTCCCGATCTTGTTTGATGTCTACCCCACGTATCTCTCCTATCTGAATGTTTTAAAGGAAACCCTTTTCTGTTTTTGTTTTTGTTTTTCCTTGAGATGGGGTCTCGCTCTGTCACTCAGGCTGGAGTGCAGTGGCGCAGTTTTGCCTCACTGCAAGCTCCGCCTCCCGAGTTCACACCATTCTCCTGCCTCAGCCTCCCGAGTAGCTGGGACTATAGGCGCCCGCCACCACGCCCGACTAATTTTTTGTATTTTTAGTAGAGACGGGGTTTCACCGTGTTAGCCAGGATGGTCTCAATCTTCTGACCTCGTGATCCACCCGCCTCGGCTTCCCAAAGTGCTGGGATTACAAGCATGTGCCACCGCGCCCGGCCTACCCTTTTCATTTTATCTAAATTTTACATGTCTGAATATAACTTGGTTATTATCTGAATATAACTTGGTTATTATCTGAATATAACTCAGTTATATTTCCAAAGGCAGGCGCTACTATCATCTGCAATCTGCAGATCATGAAACTGAGCCATAAAGAGGTGAAGTAACTGCCCAGAGTCACACACTTTGGAAACAGCAGAAACGGGCTTCAAGCCCAGGCGATCTGCCCTTAGTTACTGTGTCACACCATTTCTCCTACAGCAGACGTTGAGTGGATATTTTGGAATGAATGAGTAAATGAAGAAAAGTGAATGAACCAATGAATGATGGCCCCAAAGCCATGCTGTGCCTCAGCTTCACAGACAAGGGGCCATCCTGCTGAGAGATGTCCCTTGTCTGTGATGTCTGCCAAACCCCTCTGTGCCAGAACGCCAGAGATGTGAGAGTCGGCTCCCACCCGTGGTGTCCCTGATGGCCGTTCCCTCTCTCCCCACAGCCGGAGCAGACAGTCCTCATTGACAACTGTCGGCAGCAGTGCACGTGCCATGTGGGTAAAGTCGTGGTGTGCCAGGAACACAGCTGCAAGCCGGGGCAGGTGTGCCAGCCCTCCGGAGGCATCCTGAGCTGCGTCACCAAAGGTGCTGGGCTGGGCTGGGCTGGGACTGGGGCTGATGGGACTAGGGATGGAGGATGGGGACTCTGGGGCTGAGGGTAGTGTAACTGGGGTGTCCATGGCGGGAGGTGTACAGGACTAATGATTGAGGTTGCAGACCTGGGGAACCCTAGACCAGGTTTCACAGGGCCAGGGCCACCTACTTTGGGAGGTAGGGACCCTTAGGGAAAATCCAGGCTGTGGGGACCCTCAGAGATAGTTTTCTCAGGGTGGATGTCAGAGACCCTCGGTATAAGGCAGGGACAGGCGCGCCTTTGCTCTAATGTGCTACATGGTAAATGTTTAAGCTCGCAGGCTGTAGGTTCTCGTTCCAGCTACTCACTCTGCCACTGTGGCATGAAAGCAGCCGTAGACTATGTAAGTGAAGAGGTCAGGTTCCTATAAGACTTTAGAATACAAGAGCAGCAGCCTAGGGTTCCATCATGAGCGGAACACTGATGTGTGGGATCGGGCTTGGGGTTCAGACACTAGCACCAAAGGGCAGGGGAGAGATTGGGATCCCAGGGGCAGGGACAGAGAGCAGAGTTCTGAGTCTCACGCACGGAGACCTCACCAAGGCAGGACATTGGATATGGGGACCCCTCTTAACTGGAAGATCAGGATTTCTAGGGGTATAGTCTCTGATGTGGGAATCCCCCAGACTAAATCTGGGACACAGCCACCCCCAGGGCTCATTTCTTAGGGTGAAGAGCAGAGAACTCTCCTCCCCCTAAGGATAAGAGAATGGGAGCTCCAGCACCAAGGAGTGGGGGCTAAGACTCTCAGGGCTGATGAGCAGGATAATGGGGACTCCCAGGAATGGGGGGTATATCACTCAGCATCTAGTCGAGAGACAGAAAGCGTATGGCCATTTGAATGAGGAAAGTTTAATTAAAGAATCACTTACTTATTAATAGGAGATTAACTATTAAGGGTAAAGAGGGTCTGGTGCCGTGGCTCACACACCCAGAACTTTGGGAGGATCACTTGAGGCCAGGAGTTCGAGACCAGCCTGGGCAACATAGCGAGACCCCTGTCTCCACAAAAAATTGAAAATTAGCCAGGTGTGGTGATGCGTGCCTGTGGTCCCAGCTATTTAGGATGCTGAGGTAGGAGGATCAGTTGACCCCAGGATTTCGAGGCTGCAGTGAGCTATATGATTGCACCACTGCTCTCTAGCGTGGGCAAGACAGCAAGACCTTGTCTCTTTACAAACAAACAAATAAACAGAAATAAGAAACGGTAAAGAGAGCACTAAAGAATACCACCAAAGCACACACAGGAAGTAGCCGCCACTCTAGGGCTAAGTTAAAAGCCTCATGGAAGGGAGAAATTGGTCCCTCCTCTTCAAGGAGGGGAGAATCAGCCCCAAGGCTGAGTCCAGTCTCACTGCAGCTGTAGCCCACTGGGTGGCACAGAGGTTTCTGCAGGCTGGACTTGGCAAGAAGGGAACCCCTCACTGGGAAGCCAGCTGCGGCCAGTGGCACTCGCTGAATGTGGCCCCGCACCCTGGCCAGAGCTGAAAGGACCAAACTGGCTAGAAGCCAGACCCGGAGACCCTCCCTCCTGCAGTGACTCTCCGGCGCCCTCTGTTGACAAAGCTTAACTCCGTGGGTGTATTTGAAGCTGAGAGGCGGTACATTGATAATGGACACAGGAGGAAGGAGACGTTTGAAGGCTGGCCTCTCCCACACAGGGGTTCCGCAAGCTGGGGTCACAGATGTAGTAACTGTACGAACAGGGTCTCGGACACAGAAACCCCCCAGGACAGGGCCTCAGCAGTGAGACACGATGAAGGCTACTGTCTTGAATACAGCAACCCTCAGGGATGGAGTCTTGCACTGAGGGAGCCCAGCCCATGAGACTTAGCTAGTTAGGGTCTCAAACATTTCAAATCCTGCTGAGACCCTGGCACTGGGCTCTTGCCAGAAGATCACCCCAGGGCCCTAGTCTTGGGCATAGAGGCCTCCAGGACCTAGAGAAATTGGAGACCAATTTCTATCAAATGTGGAGATGTCCAGGGGGCTGAGGTCTCAGGCATGGGGGACCCTGAGACCTAGATCTTTTTTTTTTTTTTGAGCTAAGGTCTCACTCTGTGGCCCAGGCTAGAGTGTAGTGTAGCTTACTGCAGCCTCGATTTCCTGGGCTCAAACAATCCTCCCGCCTCAGCCTCCCGAGTAGTGGGGGACTACAGGCACACACCACCACGCCTGGCTAATTTATTAATCTTTCTGTAGAAATGGGGTCTTACTATGTTGCCCAGGCTAGTCTCAAACTCCAGGGCTCAAGCTATCCTCCCACCTCAGCCTCTTAAAGTGCTGGGATTACAGGCCTGAGCCACCACACCTGGCCTGGGGCCCAGGTCTTGAACACAGAGAACCCTGGGGCTGGGATCTCAGACATGGATGCTCTCAGGGCTGGCATCGCAGACACAAGGACCCCTGGGGCACAGATCTCAACTGGGGTCAAGTGCACCTTTTCTCTAAAGGGCTAGATGGTAAGTGTTTAAGCTTGCAGGCTATACCTTCTGGATCACAACTACTCACTCTGCCACTGTGGTGTGAAAGCAGCCGTAGCCTATGTAAGTGAAGACGGTGAGGTTCCTATAAAACTTAAAATACAAGAACAGGGTGAAATCTCAAGCAAGGGCACCATGGAAAGTGCACCTTAAACACAGACCCAGAGCCTTGGTCTTTGCCTTGGTCTTAGGTGCGTGGACTCCAGGATCTCAGTCTCACACAGCAAATGGCAGGGCCTCAGTCTCAGAGGTAGGGGAACTCTAGGTACTGGGTCTTGGCTGTACAGACCTCTGGGGCCCAGGTCTCCGGTATGGGACCTTTGACAGCCGAGACTTAGACACAGTCCCCCATGGGGCCTCAGTGTCAGCTGTGTGCGACTCCCAGGGGCTGGTCTTGAAAATAGCAGGCTGGGCATGATGGCTCATGCCTGTAATCCCAACACTCTGGGAGGCCAAGGTTGGCTGATCACTTGATGTCAGGAGCCCGAGACCAGCCTGGCCAACATGGTGAAACCCTGTCTCTACTAAAAATACAAAAATCAGCCAAGCATGCTGGTGGGCACCTATAATCCCAGCCACTCAGGAGGCTGAGTCAGGAGAATCACTGGAGCCCAGGAGGCAGAGGTTGCAGTGAGCCGAGATTGTACCATTGCTCTCCAGCCTGGGTGACAGAGAAAGACTCCATCTCAAAAAAACAACAAAACAAAAGAAAATATAAAAGCAAACTATAGGAAGTGGGTCCTAGACATGAGGACTCTGGAATGTGGTCTTGCCTGCAGTAACCCTCAGATCCCTGGCACAGACTGGGTAGATATGGAGGGAGCGGCCATGCTTTACAATGGGCAGCCCCTCAAGGTCCTCCTCCCTCTTCTGTCCCCAGACCCGTGCCACGGCGTGACATGCCGGCCACAGGAGACATGCAAGGAGCAGGGTGGCCAGGGCGTGTGCCTGCCCAACTATGAGGCCACGTGCTGGCTGTGGGGCGACCCACACTACCACTCCTTCGATGGCCGGAAGTTTGACTTCCAGGGCACCTGTAACTATGTGCTGGCAACAACTGGCTGCCCGGGGGTCAGCACCCAGGGCCTGACACCCTTCACCGTCACCACCAAGAACCAGAACCGGGGCAACCCTGCTGTGTCCTACGTGAGAGTCGTCACCGTGGCTGCCCTCGGCACCAACATCTCCATCCACAAGGACGAGATCGGCAAAGTCCGGGTATGTGTGGCAGGATGGTCCCCTGAGGTCCCCGGGAGGGCAGGAGGGATCCTGACGACCACAGTTAGCAGCTCAAGGCTCTTTGTCTTCACCTGGGCCTGAAACAAACTGTCAACAAAAAGAATAATTGCAGCAAAAATGTCACCCTGTTACTGGGAATTAAATGAGCCTAGCCCCTGGCAAAGGGCTTTAACATAGGACCTCAGCATTTGCCTTTTTTATAGACCTGGGTTTCAATCCAGCCTCTCCTCCTTATGAGCTATGTGATGCTGGGCAGTTCACTTGGTAGGCCTCAGTTTCCTCATCTGTGAAGTGGGCATCGTATCAGGGCCTCCCCCACAGCAAGGCCGTGCATGTCACATGCTGAGCTCAGAGTCTAGTCCAGGTGAACAGTCGTTTGAGTGTTTGTGAGGGAACAAGTGAGAGACCCAGAGACCAGGACACAGAGAGAAATACAGGGAGATCGGGCTAGGTGCGGTGGCTCACGCCTGTAATCCCAGCACTCTGGGAGGCCGAGGCGGGTGGATCACCTGAGGTTAGTAGTTCGAGACCAGCCTCGCCGATATGGTGAAACCCCCATCTCTACTAAAAATACAAAAATTAGCTGGGTGTGGTGGTGCTACTGTAATCCCAGCTACTCTGGAAACTGAGGCAGGAGAATCACTTGAACCTGGGAGGTGGAGGTTACAAGAGCCAAGATTTCGACACTGTACTGCAGCCTGGGTGACAGAGTGAGGATCTGTCTCAAAAAAAAAAAAAAAAAAAAAGAAAGAAAGAAAGAAATATAGGGAGATATGTAGGGAGATCAGAGGAGACAGATGGGCTATCCTTTCTGCCCAGGGAAATGGAGATAGAGCTTAATGGTAGCTCACAGAGAGAAAATGAGGGATGGAACAGAGTAGGCACTGGATAAATGATGGTGAGTGAGTGGAAGAGACACACAGAGAATGAGGGTAGGAGGGAGGAAGGGAAGAGGAGGGAGAGATAGACAGAGAGACAGAAAGAGAGAGAGAGAAGACCAAGTGATATAGACTTAGGTGAAGACAGAGGGAGAGAGACACAGAAAGACAGAGAGACAGAGAGACAGAAGAGGGAGATAGAGATGAAGGGAGAAGATCTAGAAAAAGTAAAGTGAGGTTTCGTTCCCCAAGACCTGGGCTAGAACAACTGTCCACAGTGTGTCAGATGACAATCCAACTCTCGGGGGAAGGCCCTGGCCTCTCCCAGCCCCCGGTGGGATGAGAGAGAGGGAGGCAGAGGGCCAGAGCTGGGGCCGTAAAACCTCCAGTGACCCGTTTGCCTTCCCTCCTTCCCCCAGGTGAACGGTGTGCTCACAGCCTTGCCTGTCTCCGTGGCCGACGGGCGGATTTCAGTGGCCCAGGGTGCATCGAAGGCACTGCTGGTGGCTGACTTTGGACTGCAAGTCAGCTATGACTGGAACTGGCGGGTAGACGTGACGCTCCCCAGCAGCTATCATGGCGCAGTGTGCGGGCTCTGCGGTAACATGGACCGCAACCCCAACAATGACCAGGTCTTCCCTAATGGCACACTGGCTCCCTCCATACCCATCTGGGGCGGCAGCTGGCGAGCCCCAGGCTGGGACCCACTGTGTTGGGACGAATGTCGGGGGTCCTGCCCAACGTGCCCTGAGGACCGGTTGGAGCAGTACGAGGGCCCTGGCTTCTGCGGACCCCTTTCATCTGGCACAGGGGGCCCCTTCACCACCTGCCATGCTCATGTGCCACCTGAGAGCTTCTTCAAGGGCTGTGTTCTGGACGTCTGCATGGGTGGTGGGGACCGTGACATTCTTTGCAAGGCTCTGGCTTCCTACGTGGCCGCCTGCCAGGCCGCTGGGGTTGTCATCGAAGACTGGCGGGCACAGGTTGGCTGTGGTGAGTGTTGGGGGAGCAGAGGTGGGGCGGGGGGCGGGGTCCCGTCTCTTCGGGGCTGGTTTGGTTTCACTCTGGTCCTTCTGGGTCTCTTTGTTTTCTTTTTTCTCTGTTTGTCTCTCTGTCTCTTGGTGCTCATCTCTGGGCCTCGCTTTGCTTGTGTCTATCTGTCTGTTTCTCATTCTCTAGCTCCCTCAGTTTCTGCTTGGGTCTCCTGGTGTCTCGCCCTCTCCCATTTCTTTCTCTGTGTCCTCTCTGTGTCTTGTTTTCTGTCTCTCCCTTTTTCTGTCTGCTCCCTAGTATCTCTGTCTCCTCCCACCCTGTCCTGGGACCCCACCCCTGACACCCTTCTCTCTATTTCTCTCCTTCCTGCTCCTTCGTCTGCCCACAGAGATCACCTGCCCAGAAAACAGCCACTATGAGGTCTGTGGCCCACCCTGCCCAGCCAGCTGTCCGTCCCCTGCACCCCTTACGACGCCAGCCGTATGTGAGGGCCCCTGTGTGGAGGGCTGCCAGTGCGACGCGGGTTTCGTGTTAAGTGCTGACCGCTGTGTTCCCCTCAACAACGGCTGCGGCTGCTGGGCCAATGGCACCTACCACGAGGCGGGCAGTGAGTTTTGGGCTGATGGCACCTGCTCCCAGTGGTGTCGCTGCGGGCCTGGGGGTGGCTCGCTGGTCTGCACACCTGCCAGCTGTGGGCTGGGTGAAGTGTGTGGCCTCCTGCCATCCGGCCAGCACGGCTGCCAGCCCGTCAGCACAGCTGAGTGCCAGGCGTGGGGTGACCCCCATTACGTCACTCTGGATGGGCACCGATTCGATTTCCAAGGCACCTGCGAGTACCTGCTGAGTGCACCCTGCCACGGACCACCCTTGGGGGCTGAGAACTTCACTGTCACTGTAGCCAATGAGCACCGGGGCAGCCAGGCTGTCAGCTACACCCGCAGTGTCACCCTGCAAATCTACAACCACAGCCTGACACTGAGTGCCCGCTGGCCCCGGAAGCTACAGGTGAGGAGGGCTGTGGGCCAGACAGGAGCAAGTGCCAGCTCTGGGGTTGCCTGAGATGGTAAGGGCTTCACCATTCCCCTGGGCCCCTTTCACAGCTTAGCTGGGGCATGATGGAAGGGTCAGAGTGTACGCCTAGGAGCCTGGTGGCTTGGCACAGCGGCTTCTTCCTCTCTGAGCCTAGTGTATTCCTCTGTAAACTGGTCTAAGAAAGTACCTGTTTTTGAGAAGGATGAGGAGTCAGTGACATGAGCCTATAGAGGCTCTTTGTTTTTTCTTTTCTGTTTTTCTTTCTTTCTTTCTTTTCTTAGCCTGACTCTGTTGCCCAGGCTGGAGTGCAGTGACAGGATTAGGGCTCACTGTAGCCTGGAACTGCTGGGCTCAATCCATCCTCCCGCCTTGGCCTCCGCCTCCCAAGTGGCTGGGACTAAAGGCGCAGGCCACCATGCTGGCTAATTTTTCATTTTTTTTGTAGAGATGGGGGTCTCACTATGTTGCCCAGGCGGGTCTGAACTTCTGACCTCAAGTGATCCTCCCATCTCGTCCTTCCAAAGTACTGGGATTGCAGGCTTTGCCACCAGGCCCGGCCTATAGATGCTCATTATTATTTTCAGAGGGGAGGTGACATGCTCTGGGTCCCACAGCTAGTAGGTGGTGGGGCCAGGATTCAAACCCGTGTTCTCTCCACTCACCGCGCCCCATCCCCCCGCCGCCATCCCCCGCCCGCAGGTCGACGGCGTGTTCGTGGCTCTGCCTTTCCAGCTGGACTCGCTCCTGCACGCACACCTGAGCGGCGCCGACGTGGTGGTGACCACAACCTCAGGGCTCTCGCTGGCTTTCGATGGGGACAGCTTCGTGCGCCTGCGCGTGCCGGCGGCGTACGCGGCCTCTCTCTGTGGCTTATGCGGGAACTACAACCAGGACCCCGCAGACGACCTCAAGGCTGTGGGCGGGAAGCCCGCTGGATGGCAGGTGGGCGGGGCCCAGGGCTGCGGGGAATGTGTGTCCAAGCCATGCCCGTCGCCGTGCACCCCAGAGCAGCAGGAGTCCTTCGGCGGCCCGGACGCCTGCGGCGTGATCTCCGCCACCGACGGCCCGCTGGCACCCTGCCACGGCCTTGTGCCGCCCGCGCAGTACTTCCAGGGCTGCTTGCTGGACGCCTGCCAAGTTCAGGGCCATCCTGGAGGCCTCTGTCCTGCAGTGGCTACCTACGTGGCAGCCTGTCAGGCCGCTGGGGCCCAGCTCGGCGAGTGGAGGCGGCCGGACTTCTGTCGTGAGTACTGCTCCATGCATGGTCCACATGGTTGGGTCTCTCCCTGCCCTTCCCAGGACTGTAGGACAGCAGCCCCTTCCTCCTCCATGGGGCTCAGGGGCCACTTTCCTTCCTCTGAGCTTGGTATCTCCTGTCACCAAACACCTTGGCACTCACACACTGAAATGCCCCAAGAAAGGTACTGCAGTGAGAGAGAGTTAGAAACACCTAGTCAGAGTGTGGGCGTGGTGGCTCACGCCTGTAATCCCAGCACTTTGGGAGGCCGAGGCAGGTGGATCACCTGAGGTCAGGAAGTTGAGACTAGCCCGGCCAACATGGTGAAATCCCTGTCCCTACTAAAAATACAAGATTTATCTGGGCGTGGTGGTGGGCACCTGTAATCCCAGCTAATCAGGAGGCTGAGGCACTTGAACCCAGGAGGCAGAGGTTGCAGTGAGCCATGATGTGACACTGCATTCCAGCCTGGGCAACAGAGTGAGACACCATCTCAAAAAAAAAAAAAGAAAGAAAGAAAAGAAACACCTAGTCAGAAACCTGGGGTCCAGGACACTGTTGAGGATTGGTGATCCATGCTCTCAGATATCCAAGGCATGTAGATTGGGATGGCTGACTCTGCCTCAGTCACACAGCAAGGTACCCCTGGTTAGGAAGACCTAGTGAGTTACAGCTGGTCAGAGGCCCTTGGTCTGTTGCACACACTGAAATACACCTAGTCACATAGAATAAGTCACATACCTTCAGTGGTATCTGCTCAGATTTTGTACTGAGACTAACTGGTTAGATACACTCAGATAGAATCAGGACTCTTACATAGCCCTGGGCAGATCCACACAGATGCATGGTTAGATAGTCCTAGGCGGTTCCCTTCAGGCAGGTCTCCTGGTCACAGGTATCCTGCCAACTTCACCCAGGCACACCCTTAGGCAGACCATGTCAGAAGGACTCTGGGAGATGCTGCATGTCAGACACCCACAGCTGGGTGCCCTCAGGCAGAGCCATACCCTGAGATACATGTGGCCCCACACCCCAGTCACATTCACACGCTGAGGTACCCATAGTCAGTTCTGATCTTGCATACCCCGAATAGATATAAGTGATCCATTTCACCCAGGTAAGCCTGGCTTACATAGTGAGACCCCATCTCTACAGAAAACTACTAATAAATTAGCCAGATGTGGTGGCTCATACCTGTAGTCCCAGATACTCGGGGGGCTGAGGCAGGATGATCGCTTGAGCCCAGGAGGTGGAGGCTGCAGTAAGCGCGCCTCTGCACTCCAGCCTGGGTGAGATAGAGTGAGACCCTGTCTCAAAAAAATAAAAAATAAATAAATAAATAAATAAATAAAAATCAGGCAAGCAGAGTCATTTGATCTTCAGAAATATTTGGTCAGGCTAACACATAACCTGGTCAGAGAGACCAGGGCATGTCCCCTCCCATTCCAGGTCCCACACTGAGTCCCCCAGTTAGATGTCCTGGATCACATGTGCATACACAGAGACACTCAAGTTGGCCTGAGCAGTTTTCCCACTCAGGGCCTCCCAAGACCCCGACTCGAACACCTACCTGGCTCATGCCCACCTTGTCCCCACAGCCTTGCAGTGCCCTGCCCACAGCCACTATGAGCTCTGCGGTGACTCCTGCCCTGTGAGCTGCCCGAGCCTCTCAGCACCCGAGGGCTGTGAGTCGGCCTGCCGTGAAGGCTGTGTCTGCGATGCTGGCTTCGTACTCAGTGGTGACACCTGCGTACCCGTGGGCCAGTGTGGCTGCCTCCATGATGGCCGCTACTACCCACTGGGCGAGGTCTTCTACCCGGGCCCTGAGTGTGAGCGGCGCTGTGAGTGTGGGCCAGGTGGCCATGTCACCTGCCAGGAGGGCGCAGCCTGTGGGCCCCATGAGGAGTGCCGGTTAGAGGATGGTGTCCAGGCCTGTCATGCCACAGGCTGTGGCCGCTGCCTGGCCAACGGGGGCATCCACTACATCACCCTTGATGGCCGTGTCTACGACCTGCATGGCTCCTGCTCCTATGTCTTGGCCCAAGTCTGCCACCCAAAGCCTGGGGACGAGGACTTTTCCATCGTGCTTGAGAAGAATGCAGCTGGAGATCTCCAACGCCTCCTGGTTACTGTGGCTGGCCAGGTTGTGAGCCTAGCTCAGGGGCAGCAGGTGAGTCCATGTGAGCCTGCCCTGGGGGTCTGAAGGCAACACAGCCCCATCTAGGGGGTTCTGAGGGAGACACGACCCCACCCTGTAGGTATGAGAGGGACATTCCTCTAACATGGGAACTCTGGTACCTACCCTGGAAGGTTTGGTGAATGGTCCCACCGTGGGAGATTTTTGTGTTGTTTTGTGACAGGGTCTTGTTCTGTCACCCAGGCTGGAGTATATTGGCGTGATCACAGCTCACTGCAGGCTCAACCTGCTGGGCTCAAGCAATCCTCCCACCTCAGCCCCCCATGCCTAGCTAATTTTTTATTTTTGGTAGAGATGAGGTCTTGCTGTCACGGCCAGGCTGGTCTCGAACTCCTGGGCTCAAGTGATCCACCTGTCTGGGCCTCCCAAAGTGCTGGGATTATAGGTGTGAGTCACCACGCCAGGCCTGGGGCCCAAGAAGTTTAAGGGAAACATGACCTGACGTTAATGGGACTGAGGGAGATGCAGCTCTGGCCTGGGAGTGGGACAGGACAGCCTTGCCTGTGGTTCTGTGAGTTCCTGACCTACCCGACCCTTCCACCCAGGTCACCGTGGACGGCGAGGCTGTGGCCCTGCCTGTGGCTGTGGGCCGCGTGCGGGTGACCGCCGAGGGCCGAAACATGGTTCTGCAGACGACCAAGGGGCTGCGGCTTCTCTTTGATGGCGATGCCCACCTCCTCATGTCCATCCCCAGCCCCTTCCGTGGACGGCTCTGTGGCCTCTGTGGGAACTTCAATGGCAACTGGAGTGACGACTTTGTCCTGCCCAATGGCTCAGCAGCGTCCAGTGTGGAGACCTTCGGGGCTGCATGGCGGGCGCCCGGCTCCTCCAAGGGCTGTGGCGAGGGCTGCGGGCCCCAAGGCTGCCCAGTGTGCTTGGCAGAGGAGACTGCACCCTATGAGAGCAACGAGGCCTGCGGGCAGCTCCGGAACCCCCAGGGCCCCTTCGCGACCTGCCAGGCGGTGCTGAGTCCCTCTGAGTACTTCCGCCAATGCGTATACGACCTGTGCGCGCAAAAGGGTGACAAAGCCTTCCTGTGCCGCAGCCTGGCAGCCTACACGGCGGCCTGTCAGGCAGCTGGCGTGGCCGTGAAGCCCTGGAGGACAGACAGCTTCTGCCGTGAGTGTCCGTGGGTCCCTCGCAGGACTCTAGACCAGGTGTAGGGGCCCCTCCTGGCCCATTCCTTCTATTTGCATGTCGGAGTGGTTTCTCCCTGTAAAAGCGCTCCCTCCCCACCCCCTCCCACCCCACACCCACACAACTTCTTCTCCCACGGCATAGTCCACTGGCTTCCCTGCTATCCCTCTGACTGTTCCTTCTCAGCCTCCTGTCTGGGCCCACTCTGCTCAAACCTCAAATTCTCTTCTTCCCTAGTGTTCTATTCTGGACTCTTTCTGCAGTGACCTGAAAGGGAGAGTTGGATGGGTTGGGAGATCTGTGGCTCACACAGACCCTCCTTCTACCCCCGACAAGACCATATCCCCTCAGATCCCCCCAAGACAAGGCTGCAGGCTATTAAACACCCCGCTAAACTAGGACTGTACCTCTCATTCAATTCCCCATGGGAGGGACATCACCAGAGACTCTCAGGAAAAAGCAATGGCCCCTTCGGCTCCAGGTCAGAGCCAGGTCTCCCCTGGGCAGGACCTATACCCAGGGCGGTCATCCACACCCGCGGCCTTAGATTTGTTCTCATTGTTGACCATGGACCTGGTCTGTCTGTCTCAAGCCCTGAACTCTCTCCTGACTGTCAGCCCAGTGATCCTGATTTCTGACTTCTGGCCTTCAGAACTGTGGGAGAATGAATTTCCCCTGTTTAAGCTACAAAGTCTGTGGTAATTGTTAGGGTGTCCAAGACACCTTCCCCTGGGTGTCCTTACCGTCCCTCTTACCTGCTGTGTTCCCAAATAAAATCAGCATTTCACCCCCAGCCTGATGCTCCTTCCCCAAACCTGGTGGGCATTGCAGAACAGCCACACCTCCACCAATTGCTTAGCCAGAGACCAGGGACTTACCACAGATAATTCCCTTGGGTCCATATAGCCCCTGTCCCAACTCTGACCCCTCTGCCTGTGCCCCCCTATCCCAGCCCTGACCCCTTTGCCTGTGCCCCCCACACCCTGGCCCTGACCCCTCTGCCTGTGCCCCCTACCCAGCCCTGACCCCTCTGCCTGTGCCCCCTACCCCGGCCCTCAACCCTCTGTGTGTACCCTCCCCATCCCGGCCCTGACCCCTCTGCCTTTGCCCCCCCACCCCAGCCCTGACCCCTTTGCTTGTGCCCCCAACCCCAGCCCTCAACCCTCTGTTTGTGCCCTCCCCATCCTGGCGCTGACCCCTCTGCCTGTGTGCCCCCACTCTGGCCCCGACCTCTTTGCCTGTGCCCCCGACCCTGGTCCTGACCCCTCTGCCTGTGCCCCCTACCCTGGCCCTCAACCCTCTGTCTGTGCCCTCCCCATCCCAGCCCTGACCCTTCTGTCTGTAGCCCCCTACCCTGGCCCTGACCCCTCTGCCTTTGCCCCCTCATGCCTGCCCTGACCCCTCTGCCTGTGCCTCCCCACCCTGACCCTGACCTCTCTGTCTACACTCCCTGATGCAGCA
Organism: Homo sapiens; assembly: GCF_000001405.40. Classification (NCBI taxonomy): domain Eukaryota; kingdom Metazoa; phylum Chordata; class Mammalia; order Primates; family Hominidae; genus Homo; species Homo sapiens. The sequence goes on along the minus strand of NW_009646206.1, from coordinate 130,474 downwards.
TGTTCACTTTGGGCTCTTCCTGTCTGTCCCACTGGAAGTGAGCTCTGTAGGACTGGGGTTGAGACTTTTCTCAGTATTTGTGTCCTCAGCACCGCCTAAAACAGGGCTGGGTGTGCAGTAGGCCCCCTTGGTTATCCAGGACCCTTTGGAGGTGTGACTCAGCCCTGCCTCCTCTCTCTGCAGCGCTCCATTGCCCCGCCCACAGCCACTACTCCATCTGCACTCGCACCTGCCAGGGATCCTGTGCGGCTCTCTCCGGCCTCACGGGCTGCACCACCCGCTGTTTTGAGGGCTGTGAGTGCGACGACCGCTTCCTGCTTTCCCAGGGTGTCTGCATCCCTGTCCAAGATTGTGGCTGCACCCATAATGGCCGATACTTGCCGGTGAGTAGGGGCTTGGGGTGGGCAGAGAGGGTAGAAGAGCTTGAGAGAGACCCAGAGATTCTGTGCTGACCTCTTCAAGGCTGGGGACAGAGGAGGTACCGCCATATCCCAGCTATGTGACTTGATGCAGGCAACCTCCCCCTATTAGTCTCCTGCAGCTTCTGTAACCAATTACCGCAGACATGGTAGCTTAAACAGGAGAAATTCATTCTCCCACAGTTCTGAAGGCCAAAAGTCAGAAATCAGGAATACTGGGCTGACATCAAGGTGTTGGCAAGGTGGCACTCCCTCCAGAGAAATCTAGGGGAGGCCATGCCCAGTGGCTCATACTTGCAGTCCCAGCCCTTTGGGAGGCCAAGGCGGGAGGATCACTTGAGCCCAGGAATTCAAAACCAGCTTGGGCAACATACAATTGTTTTTTTAATTAGCTGGGCATGGTGGTGCACACCTATAGTCCCAGCTACTCAAGAGGCTGAGGTGGGACAATGGCGTGACCCCAGGAGTTGGAGGCTGCAGTGAGCTATGATCACGCTGCCGCACTCCAGCCTGGGTGACAGAGCAAGACCTTACCTCTAAAGAAAAAAGGAAAAGAGCCAGGCACGGTGGCTCACACCTGTAATCCCAGCACTTTGGGAGACTGAGGCGGGCGGATCACGAGGTCAGAAGTTCAAGACCAGCCTGACCAACATGGTGAAACCCTGTCTCTACTAAAAATACAAAAATTAGCCGGGCATGGTGGTGCGTGCATGTAATCCCAGCTACTCAGGAGGCTGAGGCAGGAGAATCACTTGAACCCAGGAGGCGGAGGTGGCAGTGAGCCGAGATTGCGCCACTACACTCCAGCCTGGGTGACAGACCGAGACTCCATGTCAAAAAAAAAAAAAAAAGAAAAGAAAAGAAAAGAAAAAAGAAATCTAGGGGAAAATCTGTTTGTTGCCTCTTCCAGTTGCTGGTTGCTGCAGGTTTTCCTTGGTTGTGGCCACATCACACCAACCTCTGCCTCCTCTTCTGAGTGTGTCATAACACCTCCCTCTGCTTCTCTCTTATAAGGATACACGTGATTGCATCTAAGGCTCACTCAGATAATCCAGGAGAAATTTTCCATCTTCAGATCCTTAATTCAATCACATCTGCAAACACACTTTTCCCATATAAGGTGACATTTACTCATTACAGGGATTAGGACCTGATATCTTGGGGCGGGGGCATCATTTGGCCCCTCCTTGAACTGCATTTTCTTCACCTGTAAAATGGGACTAATCACCATCTTTGTACCATAGGTATCTGAGGATCAGGCCCGATTATACAGGAAAGATACCCACTGAGCACTGGGCCTTGCCCTGCATGTTCATCACACTCAGTAAAAAGAAAGAGCAGTTTACAGCGGGGCGCAGTGGCTCACACCTGTAATCCCAGCACTTTAGGAGGCCAAGGCGGGCGGATCAAAAGGTCAGGAGTTCGAGACCAGCCTGGCCAATATGGTGAAACCCCGTCTCTACTAAAAATACAAAAATTAGCTGGGTGTGGTGGTGGACACCTGTAGTCCTAGCTACTCGGGAGGCTGAGGAAGGAGAATCCCGTGAACCCGGGAAGTGGAAGTTGCAGCGAGCCGAGATTGTGCCACAGCACTGTAGCATGAGCAACAGACCGAGACTCCATGTCAAAAAGAAAAAAAAAGAAATAGCAGTTTACAACAGTGCAAATAGGTAGCCCAGCTAATAATTGTTTAATAATATGAATTAAATTGAAGAATTGATTTATTCTTGTTAATAATTTTTTTGAGCTCTTACTATGCACCATGTTTGTTATGGGTGTTATTATTTATTTATTTATTTATTGAGATAGGATTGCACTCTGTCTTTCAGGCAGGAGTGCGGTGGCATGATCACGGCTTACTACAGCCTCAAACTCCTGGGCTCAAGCGATCTTTCTGTCTCAGCTTCCTGAGTAGCTGGGACCACAGGCTCACACTGCCATCCCTGGCTGACTATTTAATTTTTATGTAGAAATGGGATCTCGCTATGTTGTCCAGGCTGGTCTCAAACTCCTGGGCTCAAGCAATCCTCCTGCCTTGGCCTCCTAAAGTGCTGGGATTACAGGGATGAGCCACCTCTCCCGGCCATGTTCTGGATGTTAATTCATTTAATAATCACAACAATCCTATGCAATAGATACTATGACTATTTTCCCCATTTTACAGATGAAGAAATTGTGACATAGAGAAGTCAGCCCGAGGCTAGCCATTAACATGCAGCACTAACTTGCATTGCTTGCAAATGGAGCCAAATTTTGCTCTTTCCTTGAGGTCTCACTGCCTACTGGAAGCCATCCTTGATCCCCTAGGCTGGGTTAGGTGCCTCCTCTGAACCCCTCAGCTCCCTATGCTTCCCCATCTCTGCCCTGACCCCTCTGCCTATGCCCGAAGTCTTGGATTTGTGAGTCTGGCCTTCATGGGAGAGGTCTGGCCTAGAGATGTGGAAATCATCATTGTAGAGATGGCATTTATTTTGTTAATTACATTTCTTCATTTCTTACCTGTATCAGTTAGCTTTTGCTGGGTTACAGATCACTCCAAAACGTTGTGGCTTAAAACAATTATTCATTTAGTTTGCAATTTTGTGACTGCAGTTTAGGCTGGACTTGGCTGGGTGGTTCTTCTGCTATCCTCTGGGCTTACTCATGTATAATATCTGTAGTCAGCTGGTGGGTCAGCTGAAGGCTGCCTGGTCTAGGGTGGCCTGAGCTGGAAGAGTTATCTATGTTCCATGGGGTCACTCATCTTCTAGGGAGCTAGCCCAGGCTTGTTCTCATGGTGGCTGGGCAGGATTCTGTGTATGTGAGAGAGAGAGAAGGAAAGAGAAGCTGTGAGGTCTCTTGAGGTCTAGGCTTAAACCTGTTACAACATTGCTTCTTCTGTGTTTCATTGACCTAAATATAGTCTTACGGCCAACCCAGATTCATAGGGAGGGGGAAATAAACTCTATTTCTTAATGGGAGTCTGTAAAGTCACTCTGCATGGATACAGAGGGTTCAAGCAGTGTGGCCATTTTTGCGATCCATCCCACCACCATAACCTGGCCCCTTTCTGTGCACAGGTAAACTCCTCCCTGCTGACCTCAGACTGCAGCGAGCGCTGTTCCTGTTCCTCAAGCTCTGGCCTGACATGCCAGGCAGCTGGCTGCCCACCAGGCCGTGTATGTGAGGTCAAGGCTGAAGCCCGGAACTGCTGGGCCACCCGTGGTCTCTGTGTCCTGTCTGTGGGTGCCAACCTCACCACCTTTGATGGGGCCCGTGGTGCCACCACCTCTCCTGGTGTCTATGAGCTCTCTTCCCGCTGCCCAGGACTACAGAATACCATCCCCTGGTACCGTGTAGTTGCCGAAGTCCAGATCTGCCATGGCAAAACGGAGGCTGTGGGCCAGGTCCACATCTTCTTCCAGGATGGGATGGTGACGTTGACTCCAAACAAGGGTGTGTGGGTAAGTTTGTGAGTAGGGGGTAGGGAATGTCTCCCTGGGCTTTTGCTCTTCTGATTACAGTGTCCCCACATTCCTGGCTTCCTTTCTGTCTTGCGATCTGTTTTCTTTATCCAGGTCTCTGCGGTTTAGTCTCTGGATTTGTATTTATCTCAATATTTCAAACTTGGTCCCTCTGTTCTGGCTGAGTTCTAGAGGAGCAAAAACATACTCAAGCAACTTAATAGTTTTGACATTAGTATGAATCGAGACTCTATGGGTTGCAAGTGACTTAAAACCAAATTCAAACTGCCTTAAGCAAAATTGAATTTATTAGTCCATGTAGCTAGAAAATCCCAGGATAGAGCCTCAGGAATGGCTGGATCTAGGTGCCCTGGCAATATTATCAGAAATTTGTACTTCCGTCTTTGAGACTTGCTATTTGCCAAATCAGCTTTGTTCTCAAACAGGCTTTCCACTTACAGGTGTAAAGACGACCCCCGCCCAGCTGCCCAGGCCTACACCCCACCAGCTTATCTACCTTAACAGAAAATGGTTCAATAAAAGACCCAGGATTATATCTCACTGAGCCAGTTTGGGTCACATGCCCACCCCTGGAGCCAATCACTGTGACTTTAGGGAGGAAGTTCCGTGATTGGTCAAGGCTGGGGGTGGGGGGTCACATAATGTGTCAGGGTTTCCCATAACCTGGTTCAGTGATTCACTAGGACTCACAGGACTCAGCATATAGTTGTACTTAGGGCTAAGATGTATCATAGGGAAAAGATACGAAGTGAAATTGACACAGGGAAAAGGTGCATCGCACAAAGTCCAGGGGAAATCATGTGCAAGCTTCCGAGAGTCCTTTCTCGGTAGAGTCACACAGGATGTGCTTAATTCCTCCAGCAACAAAGTTGTGATGAAACATGAAATGTCATCTGCCAGGGAAATTCATAGAGTCTCAGTGCCTGGGGTTTTGGTATCCACCTACCAAAATTCCAGACTCCTAGAAGGAAACTCCCAGAAGATGCTCAGCATCTTTGTTCATCACTGGACTATAAGCCGCAGGTAGGCAGGGATCCTGTCCATCTTGGTCACCAGTTTGTTCCCAGTACCCAGATCAGGGCATGGCACCTAGAGGGTACTCAGTAAAAGGCTGGTTTTGTGAATAAACTCAGCCCTGCTCCTTTTGTGCCAGGCCATGTGCTGGGTAACAGAGATGACTCGGACTCAGTCGTTATACTTGGAAAGCTTGCACCCTACTGAGACTTTCCATCCACTAGTCTTCATCTGTCCTTCACTACACCCATCCTCCCTTTTCCCCTCCTTCCTTCCAGCATCTATTCTACCCCCTTCTCTTTTTCCTATTTCCTTCCTTCTAGTCTTTTTCCCTTCCTTCTTTCTTCCATCCACCCACCCATCTGTCCATCCATCCATCCACCCACCAATCCACCCATCCACCCATCCATCCCTCCATCCATCCACCCACCCACCCACCCACCCATCTGTCTTTTCAGATCTATCTACCTATCTCTCCAATCATCTGGCAGAGGAAAACTCAGATACAAAAGCATTTAGAGGGCTGGGCATGGTGGCTCATGCCTGTAATCCCAGCGCTTTGGGAGGCCGAGGCGGGCAGATCACTTGAAGTCAGGAGTTAGAGACCAGCCTGGCCAACACGGCAAAACCCTGTCACTACTAAAAATACAAAAATTAGCCGAGCATGGTGGCACATGCCTGTAGTCCCAGCTAAGGCAGGAGAATCACTTGGACCCGGGAGGCGGAGGTTGCAGTGAACTGAGATCGCGCTATTGCACTCCAGCCTGGGCGACAGAGCAAGACTCTATCTCAAAAAAAAAACTAAAACCAAAACCAAAAAACAAAACAACAACAACAACAACAAAAAACAAACAAACAAAAGAAGGATTTACAAAAAAAAAAAAAAAAAAGACAAGTCTTTTAAGGAAGTTTCTCTAGGGAATCTAACTTTAGAAGGGTTAATTCACCAACTAACATAGACAACAGTTATGTAAAGGAAAAACTCACAAAGTTACTGGATCTGCAGCCTATGATGAAGAAAAAGTAATTTTCTCACATGATTATTATATTTGCTAAAGTCATTACTTATCTTCAGACATCAGCATTGCAAAAATAAAGGATAACGTTGTTTTGGTTAGGGAACCAATAACTTACAGGATGTGCTCAAAGTTTGTTTTATTTTGCAAACTAGAACCAGGCTGAGGGAGGCAGATCACCTGAATCCAGGAGTTCAAGACCAGCCTAGACAACACAGTGAGACCCTATCTTTAGAAAAAAATACAAAAATTAGCCTGGTGTGGTGGCACACATCTGTAGTCCTGTAGTCTCAGCTACTCAGAAGGCTGAGGTGGGAGGATTGATTGAGTCTAGGAGGTCAGGGCTGCAGTGAGCTGTGATTGCACCACTGCACTCCAGCTGGGATGACAAAGCAAAACCCTATCTTAAAAAAAAAAAAAAGAAAAGAAAAAGAAAACTAGAACCATAAGGATGACCCTGGGGTTTGATTGTTTGTCTGTCTGTTTGCTTATCTGTCTGGTACAAAATGCTTCCCCCACCGACTTTGGGGTGTTGTGTAGATCCATGGGTACGTCTCTCCATCCCTCCACTCTCCATCCTTTTATCCGTCTATCCAGATCTCTAGCTATCTTCTCATGTATCCATTGCTCCAAATAGTGCAAACATCCAGGTCTTCATCTCTTTCAGCACCTGCCTCTTTGATTTAGCTCCATGAACTTATCTTGTTTGGGGTCTCCATCCTCCATCCTGGTAACACCCAGCTATTCTGGGGCTGTGGCCTCACCTCTGTGTTTGCTGGGCATCCCCCACCAGGTGAATGGTCTCCGAGTGGATCTCCCAGCTGAGAAGTTAGCATCTGTGTCCGTGAGTCGTACACCTGATGGCTCCCTGCTAGTCCGCCAGAAGGCAGGGGTCCAGGTGTGGCTTGGAGCCAATGGGAAGGTGGCTGTGATTGTCAGCAATGACCATGCTGGGAAACTGTGTGGGGCCTGTGGAAACTTTGACGGGGACCAGACCAATGATTGGCATGACTCCCAGGAGAAGCCAGCGATGGAGAAATGGAGAGCGCAGGACTTCTCCCCATGGTGAGGGATGTAGTATGGAAACCAGGCTTCTTGGGGCAAAGGCACCTGGATCCTCATGGGATGAGGGCAGTCAGGGTGGGTGTTTAGTCTGCAAGCGGAGGTGCTAAATGTCTGTGTCTTGCAGTTATGGCTGATCAGTCATCCACCAGGAACGAAGATTTCCTGAAGAAGACCTGGTCCCTCTGGAGGTTGCAGTGGCTGAAGGATGCATCATGTGCTCCTACCCTGCTCTACCGCTTTTCTGGGTCACAGAGGCCAAATGTGAGAGCATTGAATAAATATCTTAAGCTAAGCTGCATGTCATTGTGTCTGTCTCATGCCTTCTCATCCCTGACTTTCCTCCTGCACAGCAGGTATCAGGTGCCTGGGGAATCTGGCACGTGATGAATATTTATTGGGGGCTGGGAGGATGGATGGATGATTGCATGGATGGATGAAGAGATGGATGGGTGAATTGAGAAAATGGTGTGTGGGGAACTAGGAAGATGAGGCAATAGGTGATTAGAAGAGTGGATGGATGAGAAGATAAATGGCCAGGCACGGTGGCTCACGCTTGTAATCCCAGCACTTTGGGAGGCTGGGGCAAGAGGATTGCTTGAGCCTAGGGGTTTGAGATCAGCCTGGGCAACATAGTGAGACCCCATCACTACAAAAAATATAAAAATTAGCTGGGCGTGGTGGCACTTGCCTGTATTCCCAGCTACTTGGGAGGCTAAGGTGGGAGGATGACTGGAGCCTGAGAGGTCGAGGCTGCAGTGAGCCATGATCATTCCACTGCACTTCAGCCTGGTCAACAGAGTGAGACCCTGTCTCAATAAAAAGAGAAGATAAATGATTGGATGGAGGGAAGGAGTGGAAAATGGAGAAAGATCAATAGATTCTGGCTTTATCATTTATAACCCTAGCAAGTTACTTAATTTCTCTCTGGATTAGTTTTCTCATCTTTAAAGTAGAGTTAATGATAGTACTTATAGAGCTGGAGTGAAGATTTAATGTGTTAATGCAACCAACAAGTAAAACACTGAAGTCTTTGTTTCCTTTCAAATCTGTCCCCTTCCCATGAGGGTCTTCCCTACCTCCTTAAATAGCACAATTACCACCCAGTAAGTTCAGCAGCAAGAAAATAGGGGAATTATTATTATTATTATTATTATTGTTATTATTTTTGAGATGGAGTCTCGCTCTGTCACCAGGCTGGAGTGCAGCAGCACAATCCTGGCTCACTGCAACCTCTGCCTCCCGGGTTCAAGCGATTCTCCTGCCTCAGCCTCCCAAGTAGCTGGGATTACAGGCGTGCGCCACTACGCCCAGCTAATTTTTGTACTTTTAATAGAGACGGGGTTTCACCATGTTGGCCAGGATGGTCTTGATCTCTTGACCTTGTGATCCACCCGCCTCGGCCTCCCAAAGTGCTGGGATTACAGGCGTGAGGCACCGTGCCCGGCCAGGGGAATTATTTTTTATTTCTTCCTCTCCTTTGTCCTCCACTCAGTTCCTTAACAAATCATGTTGAACTGTTTCAAAACATACCCAAGGCCCCATGGTGGCTCACGCCTGTAATCCCAGCATTTTGGGAAGCTCAGGTGGTCAGATCATGAGGTCAGGAGTTCGAGACCAGCCTGGCCAACATGGTGAAACCCTGTCTCTACTAAAAATACAAAAATTAGCCGGGCATGGTGACGGGTGCCTGTAATCACAGTTAGGAGGCCGAGGCAGGAGAATTGCTTGAGCCTGGGAGGCGGAGGTTGCAGTGAGCCAAGATTGTGCCACTGCACTCCAGCCTGGGCAACAGAGCAAGATTCTATCTCGACAAAAAAAACAAAAAACATACCTGAAATCTACCTTTCTTATTATGCCCACTGTCACCATCTGGTACAAGCCATTATCCTAACTTCTGTCAACAACATGGTAGCCTACTGTCCGCTCTTTCTCTTCTGTAATCCATTGTCACAGCTGCCATGAGAATCTTCCTTAAAATAGAAACAGGTCACTTGGGGCCAGGAGTTCAAGACCAGCCGGGCAACATAACAAGACCTTGTCTCTACAAAAAATTTAAAAATTAGCCAAGCGTGGTGGTGCAGGCCTGTAGTCCCAGCTACTGAGGAGGCTGAGGTGGGAGGATTGCTTAAGCCCAGGAGTTTGAGGTTACAGTGAGCTATGATTGTGCCATGCATTCCAGCTTGGGTGACAGAGCAAGATCCTGTCCTTTAAAAAAATAATAATAATGATTATATACATAAATATATATTATATAATATATAATAATTATATACATAAATATATATTATATAATATATAATAATTATATACATAAATATATATTATATAATATATAATAATTATATACATAAATATATATATTATATAATATATATAATAATTATATACATTTATAATAAAGTCAAATTTCTTCACCTTGTCCTGTGAGGCCCCTGCCAACCTCTTGACTCATCTCCTATCACTATTCTCCCTGCCAATTATGATTTGGGAATGTGATCTTTCAATTTATTGAATGTGCCACATTTTGCCACTTCAGTCCTTTATAATATGCTTGTCCCTCCATTCATGACATGACTGGCTTTTTCTCATCCTTCAATGTCATCTTCAATGTTAATAACTTAGGCCTTTCATGACCACCCCACCAAAAGTGGATCCCCTTCTGTCCCACCCTTTTGCTAAATTCCTTCTTAGCCTTTGTCACACTTTATAATTAATTTTGTTTGATTTTCTCTCCAATTAGAAATAACTTAAGGGCAGAGACAGTATCTGCTTCTTTCACTACTTTATTTGCAGCTCCTAGCACAGTCTCTGTCACATAGTAGGTGCTCAGTACACCTACTGATGAATGAATAAATAAGTAAAAACAAACTTGCAGGAAAGCTTTGCAACAAACCTAACAAAGGATTAATATCCACAATATGCAAAGAGATCCTTCAATAAGAAAGACAAGAACCCAGTTAGAAAAAACTGGGTTGGCCAGGTGCGGTGGCTCACACCTGTAATCCCAGCACTTTGGGTGGCCGAGGCAGGCAGATTACCTGAGGTCAGGAGTTCGAGACCAGCCTTGCCAGCATGGTGACACCCCCATTTCTACTAAAAAATACAAAAATTAGCTGGGCGTGGTGGTATGTGCCTGTAATTCCAGCTACTCTGGAGGCTGAGGCAGGAGAATCCCTTGAACTTCGGGAGGCAGAGGTTGCAGTGAGCCAAGATCACACCACTGCACTCCAGCCTGGGCAGCAGAGCAAGACTCTGTCTCAAAAAAAAAAAAAAAAAAGAAAAAAGAAAAGAAAAACATGGGTTGAGGATATAAACAGGCAATTGGGAGGAATCTAAACATGTTGAATGCATACAATGTGTCATGTTCTTTGTGTACAGTATTTCTGAACTTCATAATTACTCTGTGAAACGGGAATAGACAAAGAAATAGGCTCAGTGAAGTTAAATAACTTGCCCAAGGGCAAACGGTTTGTAAATAATGGAGGCCAGATTTGAATCCAGATGTGTCCTCTACCATAGCCAGTGCTTTCTATTTAATTTTGCTGTCAACCATTGCTGGGGATCAATTTCCCTTCGAGAGAAAGAATTAAGAGGTCCTAAAAATAAAGAATAAAAAGCAACATTTCAGTAGAAAAATATGCAAACGATTGGAATAGTTCATAGAAAAGGAAATACAAATTGCCTTAAAACCTAAGGAGGTGGCTGGGCACTGTGACTCATGCCTGTAATCCCAGCGCTTTGGAAGGCTGAGGTGGGCGGATTACCTGAGGTCACGAGTTCGAGACCAGCCTGCCCAACATGGTGAAAATACAAAAATTAGCCAAGCTTGCTGGCACACGCCTGTAATCTCAGCTACTCGGGAGGCTGAGGCAGGAGAATTGCTTGAGTCGGGGAGACAGAGGTTGCAGTGAGCCAAGATCGTGCCACTGCATTCCAGCCTGGGCAACAGAGCAAGACTCTGTCTCAACAACAAAAAACAAACAAACAAAACCTAAGAAATGTCCAATTCTGCTCATATAAAGAGAAATGCAAATTAAACTACCCTGCGATACTACTTCTCACCCATTAGCAAAGTCACAAAAATTAGACAATATAATTTATTGACAAGACTATGAGAAAAAGAACACTCTTCTGTGTTACCAGTGGGAATGCACAACGTGTAAGTCCAAGGTGTAAGGGACATTTGGCAGTGTCTAACAAGATTGCAGGTGCATTTAAAAAAAAATTTTTTTTTTTTTGAGATGGAGTCCATTTTGTTAGCCAGGCTGGAGTGTGGTAGCGGGATCTCGACTCACTGCAACCTCCACCTCCCGGGTTCAAGCGATTCTCCTGCCTCAGCCTCCCAAGTACCTGGGATTACAGACATGCGCCACCATGCCCAGCTAATTTTGTATTTTTAGTAGAGACGGGGTTTCACCATGTTGGCCAGGCTGGTCTTGAACTTCTGACCTCAAGTGATCCACCCGCCTCAGCCTCCCAAAGTGCCGGGATTACAGGCGTGAGCAGTCCCCCCCGCTCGGCTGCATTTATCTTTTGATCTGATCTCACTGCTAGGAATCCAACTTAAAGATACATTGGCAATAAAAGGATGTAAGCTGAGGCAGGAGAATAGTCTAGAGGCAGGAAACCTAAGGCTGATTTGCACTGACTTCCTAGAACGGAATCAAAAGGAAAATCCCAACTTTCCACACCCAAGTAACAAAAGGATCAGAGGCTACTCCCTTCGCAACCCCCGACCCCGGCGGGCTTCCCCTCCCCTCCCCTCCCCGCGTGGCCGATGAAAGATGGAAAGTGCCTCTGATTGGTAGTCTCCCACAACCAATCAGACTGGTCATGGGCCTAGTCTTCATTTGCATAGGGGTGTAACTCTGTAACTTCACTTCAGCCTCTGATTGGTCCCCTCCCGCGACCCATCAGACGTTTGCATAGGGTGTAACTTTGTACCTTCACTTCAGCCTCTGATTGGTTGCTTCCTGGTCTGTGGAGTGTGTCTGTTCAGCCTGCTCCCACCCTGTGGAGTGTACTTTTCATTTCAATAAATGTATGCTTTCTTTGCTTCATTCTTTTGTTGGTTGTTTCGTTGGTGCGTTTTGTCCAGTTCTTTGTTCAAAACGCCCAGAACCTGGACACCTTCCACCGGCAACGAGCCCAGGTTGCTCACTGCAACACTCTTTGTAAGGAAAAAAGACTGGAAACAACTAAGTCAATTTTCTATTGGTAGACTGGTTGACTAAACGACGTTTCATCTACACACCAGACTACTATCCAGATAAATGAAATATAAGAAAGATCTCTATAAGCTGTTCTGGGGGTGATCTTCATAATATATTATGGAGTGAAGGAAGCAAGGTTAGAACAGTGTACACATGAAAAGACCCCTAAGAGTAGAGCCAAAAGGGGAATTTGGGGGTACTGGTCATGTTCTCTTTATTGACCTGAGTGGCGGTTATGTGGTTTCTTCCCTTTGTGATACTTCATAAAACCATAGTTACATGTACTTTTCTCTTAGCATGTTGTACTCCCCCCAAATAAGATCTAAAGTAAATAAATTATAGCCTGGCATTTCTCATGCCTGTCTGTATTCCCAGTGCTTTGGGAAGCCAGGTTGCATTGCTTGAGGCCAGGAGTTCAAGACCAGCCTAGGCAACATAGTGAGACCCTGTCTCTATGTAACAAATAAATAAATTATAATCTCTGAAGACTCTTGGCTAAAAAGCTTATATGTATGTGTGCGTGCAAGAGAGAGAACACACACCAAATGAAGGGACTTTGTTTTGATCCTGATTTAAACAAGCAGTAATTTTTTATTTATTTTTTAATTTTTGAGATGGAGTCTCACTCTGTCGCCCAGGCTAGAGTGCAATGGTGTGATCTCGGCTCACTGCAACCTCTGCCTCCCGGGTTAAAGTGATTCTCATGCGCCAACCTCCAGAGTAGCAGGGACTATAGGTGTGCGCCACCACACCTGGCTAATTTTTGTATTTTTAGTAGAGATGGGGTTTCACCATGTTGGCCAGCCTGGTCTCGAACTCCTGATCTCAAGTGATCTATCTGCCTTGGCCTCCCAAAGTGCTGGGATTATAGGCATGAGAGCCACCATGCCTAGCCAGCAGTACTGTTTAAATCATTTTTTCTTTTTTTTTTTTTTTGAGATGGAAGTTTGCTCTTTTCGCACAGGCTGGAGTGCAATAGTGCGATCTTGGCTCACTGCAACCTCTGCCTCCCAGGTTCAAGTGATTCTGCTGCCTCAGCCTCCCGAGTAGCTGGGATTACAGATGCCCACCACCATGCCCAGCTTATTTTTGTATTTTTAGTAGAGATGGGATTTAACCACGTTAGCCCGGCTGGTCTCGAACTCCTGACCTCAGGTGATCCATTCCCCCCTCAGCCTCCCAAAGTACTGGGATTACAGGTGTAAGCCACCGTGCCCAGCCTAAATCACATACTTTAAACCATTGAGGGAATATGGATATAGACTGGCTACTAGATTATAAAAAGGACTTCTTGTTAATTTTGTTAGGTGTGATAATGGAAGAAAATGTTCTCTTCTTTTTCTTAAGAGATGCATACTTAAGTACCTGGAAGTGAAATGGCATATTATCGAGGTTTGCTCTAAAATACTCCAGAAAAAAATAAAAAGATGGAGGGGCAATAGATAAAACAAGGCTGTTTTACATGTTAATAGTTGTTGAGGCCAGGTGGCGAATAAATGGGGACTTCTCATATTCTCTACTTTTTGTGAAAAGTTTAAAATTTTGTTACATAAGTTAAAAAGAAAATTCATCAAGTCATCAAGGTCCTAGTCATAACAGCCTCCGCAAAGTTTTGCACACTTGGTTCTAATTTGAGTTTTCGCTGACAGGTGTACTCAATGCTAGCTCTTATGACCCTGCTGTGGACATTCCTTCATTCATTCAATACATGTGTTTTTGCCAGGCACGATGGCCCACACCATAATCCCAGCACTTTGGGAGGATGAGGTGGGAGGATCCCTTGAGTCCGGGAGTTTGAGACCAGCCCGGAAAACATCTCTACAAAATAAAAAATAAAATAAATCAATGAATAAATAAATGTGTTTGAGCACCTACTATTAAGTTTGAGATGTTTTGTGGTAGGTTGAAAAATGCCCCCACCCCCGCAAAGATATCAGATCCTAATCTCTTGAACCTGCAAATATTGCCTTATGTGGGTAGGTGGTCTTTGCAGGTGTGATTAAGCTAAGGCTCTTGAGACAGGGAGATTATCCTGGATTGGATTATCTGGGTGAGCCCTAAATGTAATTACTTGTATCCTTTTTCTTTTTTCTTTTTTTTTTTTTTTGGAGATGGAGTTTAGCTCTTGTCACCCAGGCTGGAGTGCAATGGTGCGATCTCGGCTCACTGCAACCTCCACCTCCCAGGTTCAAGCAATTCTCCTGCCTCAGCCTTCCGAGTAGCTGGGATCACTTTAGGTGATCCACCCGCCTTGGCCTCCCAAAATGCTGGGATTACAGGCGTGAGCCACGTGCCTGGCCAATTTCGCGTATCCTTGTAAGAGGGAAGCAAGCACAGAGAAGGCAAAGTGAAGATGGAGACAGAGATTGCAGTGATGCCGCCACAAACCAAGGAATGTCAGCAGTCCCTAAGAGGTGGAAAAGGAAAGAAATGGATTTTCCCATCGAGCTTTTGAAGGCAGTGAGGCAGGGCCTCGCTGCCTTGACCTTGACTTTGGACTTCTTGCTTCCACAACTTTGAGAGAATAAATTTCTGTTGGTTTAAGACAGCAAATTTGTGGTTTAAACCACCAAGTGCATGCAAATTACATGCATTTGTTTTTTGTTTTGTTTTGTTTTTTTGAGATGGAGTCTTGCTCTGTCGCCTAGGCTGGAGTGCAATGGCGTGATCTTGGCTCACTGCAACCTTTGCCTCCCAGGTTCAAGTGATTCTCCCGCCTCAGCCTTCTGAGTAGCTGGGATTACAGGCACCCGCCATCGTGTCTGGCTAATTTTTGTATTTTTGTAGAGATGGGTTTTCACCATGCTGGTCAGCCTGGTCTCGAACTCCTGATCTCAGGGGATCCACCCGCCTCGGCCTCCCAAAGTGCTGGGATTACAGGCATGAGCCACCGCACCCGGCCTACATGCATTTGTTAATGCATGTCTACATCAGAGTAGAAATGTCAATTAGGCAGTTGGACATGTGAGTCTGGAGTTCAAGGAAGAAGTTTAGGCTTGAGAGATAAATGTGGGAGTTGCCAGTTTTTAATACAATGAAAAGAATGGTTGGATCATCAGAGGAGCAGCATGGATAGAAAAGAGAAGGAGGCTGAAGCATGAGCCCTGGGGCACCCTAAGGAAACAAGACCGGGAAGATGAGGGGAGCTAGTGAAGAAATAGAGAGGGTGGCTAGTGAGGTGGGAGGGCTCTAGGAAAAGGTGGCAGTCCTGAAAGCTAAGTGGAAAAAGCATATTAAGCAGGAGGCAGTGTCAAATGCCACTGATGGTCAAAGAAGATGAGGATAGGAAATTGATCACCAGCTTTAGCAATATGGAGGACCTTGGTGACCTTGAGAAAAGCTATTTTGGTGGAGTGATGGAGAGGAAAGCCTGACTGGAATGGGTCCAAGAGAAAAGATGAGGAGAAGTGAGGACAGTAAGTACAGAAAATTCTTTCAAGGAGTTTAGTTATAGAGAACCCAGAGAGGCCAGGTCGGGGGGCTCATGCCTGTAATCCCAGCACTTTGGGAGGCCAAGGCGGGTGGATCGCCTAAGGCCAGGACTTCGAGACCAGCCTGGCCAACATGGTGAAACCCCATCTCAACTAAAAATACAAAAATTAGTCGGGTGTGGTGTGTGGTGGCGGGCGCCTGTAATCCTAGCTACTCAGGAGGCTGAGGCAGGAGAATTGCTTGAATCCGGGAGGTGGAGGTTGCAGTGAGCCAAGATCGTGCTACTGCACTCCAGCCTGGGCAACAGAGTGAGACTCTGTCTCAAAAAAAAAAAAAAAAAAAAAGAACCCAGAGAGATGGAGGTGATGGCTAGAGGAGAATGTGAAGCCAAGAGAAGTTGTTCATGTTGTTTTCCAGTGGATTTTAATGTATTGTTTTTTTCCTAAGACAAGGTCTCATTCTGTTGTCCAGGCTGGAGTGCAGTGGTGCTATCACAGGTCACTGCAGCCTCAAACTCCTGAGCTCAAGCAATCCTCCCGCCTTGGTCATTGGTCATCCAAAGTGCTGGGATTACAGGTAGGAGTCACCATCCCTGGCCTTGAAGGTAAATTTTTATTTTAAAAATTTTTATTTATTTATATTTTTGAGACATGATCTCACTCTGTTGCCCAGTCTGGAGTGCTGTGGTGCCATCTCGGCTCACTGCAGCCTCAACTTCCTAGGCTCAATCAATCCTCCCACCTCAGCCTCCCGAGTTGCTGGGACTACAGGTGTGTGCTACAATGCCAGCTAATTTTTGTATTTTTGTAGAGACAGGGAGATTATTCCTGTCTTGCTATGTTGCCCAGGCTGGTCTTGGACTCCTGGGCTTAAGCAATCCTCCTCTCCTGGCCTCCCAAAGTGCTGGGATTACAGGCATGAGCTGTCACACCTGGCCAATTTTTAAAATAGACTTTTTTAAAGAGCAATTTTGTGTTCACAACAATAGTGAGTGGAACATATGGAGAGTTCCCCTAGATCTCCTGCCCCATACTATACACCCATGTACAGCCTCCCCTGCTATCAATATCAAGCACCAGAGTGTCACCTTTGTTATCATCAATGAACCCACATTGACAGTCTTCATCACCCAAAGTCCATAGCTTACATTAGGGTTCACTCTTGGTGGTGCATGTTCTGTGTCATGATATGCATGCTTTATTAGAGTGACATCCAGAATGGCTTCAATGCCCTAAAAGTTCTCTGTGTTGCATCTATTTAAATCCCTCTCTTCCCTTTTCTTTTCTTTTCTTTCTTTTTTTTTTTTTTTTGAGATGGAGTCTCGCTCTGTTGCCCAGGCTGGAGTGTAGTGGCGCAATGTTGGCTCACTGCAACCTCCGTCTCCCGGGTTCAAGCGATTCTTCTGCCTCAGCCTCCTGAGTAACTGGGATTATAGGCATGATCTCTGCTCACTGCAACCTCCGCCTCCCGGGTTCAAGTGATTCTCTTGCCTCAGCCTCCTGAGTAGCTGGGACTACAGGCACATGCCACCACGCCCGGCTAATTTTCTGCATTTTTAGTAGAGACAGGGTTTCACCGTGTTAGCCAGGATGGTCTCAATCTCCTGACCTCGTGATCCGCCCGCCTCAGACTCCCAAAGGGCTGGGATTACAGGTGTGAGCCACCATGCCCGGCCCTCTCCTCCCTTTTCAAACATGCAGAAAGTTTGAAGAAATATACAGTCAGCACTCCTGGTATGGTCTGAAAGTGTCCCTCAAAATTCATGTGTTGGAAACTTAACCCCCAGTGCAACCGTCTTGGGAGGTGGGGCCTAACAGGAGGTGTTTAAGTCCTGAGGGCTCAGGCCGCATCCTTATGAGTGGATTAACACTGCTGTAATCCTTGGGATTGGATTTGCTCTCTTCTGATCTTCTGCCATGAGGTGACACAGTGTTCGTCCCTGCTTGCCCTTCTGCCTGCCGCCATGTAAGGACACAGCAAGAAGGGCCTCACCCAACACCAGATGCTGGTGCCTTCGTCTTAGGCTTCCCCGTCTCCAGAACTGTGAGAAATAAATTTCTCTTCCTTATAAATCACCCGGTCTCAGGAATTCTATTATGGCAGCACAAAACAAATGGAGACAACCCATCTACCCACCATGTAGAGTCTGTAATTAACATTTTGCTATACTGGTTTTATTATGTATCCATCCGTTGATCCATCCCTTCATGCAGCCTTTGATCCCTCTTTTAAAATACACTTTTCAGGCCAGGTGTGGTGACTCACGCCTGTAATCACAGCACGTTGGGAGGCCGAGGCAGGCGGATCACCTGAGGCCAGGTTTTCGAGACCAGCCTGGCCAACATGGTGAAACACCATCTCTACTAAAAATACAAACGTTAGCTGGGTGTGGTGGCGGGCGCCTGTAATCCCAGCTACTCAGGAGGCTGAGGCAGGAGGATTGCTTGAACCTGGGAGGCAGAGGTTGCAGTGAGCTGAGATCTCAGCATTGCACTCCTGCCTGGGCAACAAAAGCGAAACTTCATCTCAAAAAAAAAAAAAATATATATATATGTATATGTATATTTATACATGTATATATATTTATATATGTGTTCATATATTTGTATATATATATACACACACACACTTCAAAATAAGTCGCAGACATCATTATGCTTCCTTCTAAATACTTCAGCACACGTAGCATTAACTGGAGCTCAAGTTTGTGTACAGTTCCTTTTTGGGGGTAAAATTCACACACAGTGAAATGTACACATCTAAAGAATAAATTTGTTGTTTTGAAATGAACCCAAACCTCTGTCAAAATACAGAACGTTATGGCTGGGAGTGGTGGCTCATGCCTATAATGTGGCACTTTGGGAGGCTGAGGCCAGGAGTTAGAGACCAGCCTGGGCAACATAGTGAGTCTCCATTGCTACAAAAAAATTTTAAAAATTAGGCAGGCGTGGTGGCATGTGCCTGTGGTCCTAGCTACTCGGGAGGCTGAGGTAGGAGAATCACTTGAACCCAGGAGGCAGAGGTTGCAGTGAGCCGAGATCACGCCGCTGCATTCCAGCCTGGGCAACAGAGTAAGACTCCGTCTCAAAAAAAGAAAAAAGAAAAGAAAAGAAAACCGATCTATCAGGTACTATGCCTATTGCCTGGGTGACAAAATAGTCTGTATATCAAACCCGTGACACACAATTTACCTATATAAGGGGTACATGTGCAGATTTACCTATATAACAAACCTGCACACAGCTAGGCACTGCGATGGGTAACAGAGAGTCATCCACAGTCACACATGGGAAGCCAGCATACATGGTAACAGGTGCGGGGCGGCTGATAGGTATTGGGATAGAAGGATGTTGGGGTTCTCTTGTCATTGCTTCTATCTCCTTGGAAGCAAGACGAACAACAAAGAGTAAGAAGGGAGGAGAAAGTTTTAAGGTTTGAAGAAAGAGGAGAAAGTGTAAAATAATTCTTAAAAAAAAATGGGTCTGGGCTGGGTGCAGTGGTGCACGTCTGTAATTCCAGCACTTTGGGAGGCCAAGGCAGACAGATTGCTTAAGCTCAGGGGTTTGAGACCAGCTGGACAACATAGTGAGACACCTGTCTCTAGAAAGAACACAAAAATTAGCCAGGCCTGGTGGCGGGCACCTATAGTCCTAGCTACTCGGGAAGCTGAGGCAGGAGGATTGCTTGAGCCTTGGATATCAAGGCTGCAGTGAGCTATGATCACGCCGCTGCACTCCAGCCTGGGTGACAGAGCAAGACTCTGTCTCAAAAAAATAAAAAAAAGAAACTAAAAGAAATAAAATAGGCCCAATCACTTTGGAAAAAAGTGTTCCCATTTCTTCAAAAGGTAAACATGCTCAGCATATGACTCAGCCATTTTACTCCTAGGGCTTGTCCCAAGAAAAATTAGAGTAAATCTGCACAAATATTTGTACATGAATGTTCATGGCAGCATTATTCATAATAACCCAAACTGGAAACAACTCAAAAGCCCATCAACAGGTGAACAGACCAGTGAAATTCCAGAGAATGAAATACTCAGCCATAAAAAAGAAATTTGCAACAATGTGGAACATTATGCTAAGTCAAAAAAAAAAAAAAAGGCTACATATTGTATGATTCCATTTGTATGAAATGGGGTGTTGGCAGTTTTCTGAAATTGGATTGTGGTGATGGGTGCCCAACTGTAAATTTACCAGAATTAAACGAACAATAGAATTAAAATGGGTGAATTTTTTTTTTTTTTTGAGACAGAGTCTCACTCTGTCGCCAGGCTGGAGTGCAGTGACATGATCTTGGCTCACTGCAACCTCTGCCTCCCGGGTTCAAACGAGTCTTCTGCCTCAGCCTCTGAGTAGCTGGGACTACAGACATGCACCATCACACCCAGATAATTTTTGTATTTTCAGTAGAGATGGGGTTTCACCATGTTGGCCAGGATGGTCTCAAACTGCTGACCTCGTGATCCGCCTGCTTTGGCCTCCCAAAGTGTTGGGATTACAGGCATGAGCCACCGCGCCAAGCCAAAATGGGTGAATTTTATGGTATGTAAATTATACCTTAATAAAGTTTTAAAAATTAATACATGTGTGTTTGTTTGTGTGGGCTGTCTTAAAATACCATAGACTGAATGGTTCCAATAACAGAGATTTATTTCTTACAGCTCTGGAGGCTGGAAAGTCCAAGATCAAGGTGCTGATTGATGTGATTCTCTGTGAGGGCCCTCTTCCTGGGTTGCATCTCTCCCTCTCTCCCTCTTAAAAAGTCACTAATCCTGGCCGGGCACGGTGGCTCACACCTGTAATCCCAGCACTTTGGGAGGCCAAGGTGGGTGGATCACCTGAGGTCAGGAGTTCGAGACCAGCCTGACCAACATGGAGAAACCCCGTCTCTACTAAAAATACAAAATTAGCCGGGCGTGGTGGCTCATGCCTGTAATGCCAGCTACTCTGGAGGCTGAGGCAGGAGAATCGCTTGAACCTGGGAGGTGGAGGTTGCCGTGAGACGAGATCATGTCATTGCACTCCAGCCTGGGCAATAAGAGCAAAACTCTGTCTCAAAAATAATAATAATAATAATAAAGTCACTAATCCCATAATGAGGGTTTACACTCATGACCTCCTCCAACCCTAATCCCTCCCAATGCTGTCACTTCCAAATACCATAACAATGGGGGTGAGAACTTCAACAAGTGAATGTGTGGGGAGACAATTCAGCCCATGGCCATGTGTTATCTATACCATCAACAGGGTGGGAAAAAATGGAGAATGAATAGACTGGGGGCAAGTGATAGGATTGCTGGTCAGCATTAAGCATTTGGGTTTGTAGTCATGAATCAAAACCGAGACCAGCCAGGGTGATTCTGTATTTTTCTCCATCCACATTCAGCTGCCAGGGGTGCAGGTGCAGAATAAATGGAGGGTTGAATTCAGTTCATAGTTTGGAGGTATGCAAAGGTGTGGTAATAATGATGGTGGGGAATCTGGCTAGGTAGTTGAGAGTGGTGTGGCCATGATTGGGGGAGGGATAGCAACAAGTCAGACAGCTTAATGGATGGTTAGGGCTGAAGGCTCACTGGTGCAATCTTTAGAAGGAGTGAGCTGGAGAGACAGGAGGTGACGGGCAGAGCGTGAGATGCATGGAGCTGAGATTCTGTAGGGGCTGTGGTTATGCGGCTGTTGCCATCTAGAATGGGTCCTTCTCCCCCACCAGGCTGGGACCTCTGGGGCTGTCACAGTTATGTGTTGTTGTGTGTTCCCAGCACAAGGTCTAGGTGTGATCATGGGAAAGAAGGGTTGGGTGGAGGACAAGTGCAGTGGGGGAGAGGAGGTCAAGGCACCAAGAGGCCAGAGTGGTAAAAGGATCATTTACCTGAATTTGAAAATCACCAAGAATAATGACAGGAGTGGTGTGGGTGACAGTGAGCCTGAAGCTAAATGACGAGGTGAGCAGAGGTGACTTGGGAGTCAATGGGTCTAGCAGCACAAAGGGGAGCAGGTGCTACAGTGTGACTGTGTAAGCTTCAGACCTAGGGTTCAGGGAGGAGGCAGAGACAATGGTTTAGAAGTGCCAGTGAGGAGCAAGGACGCTCTTCTCCCATCTACAGATCCAGTGGACATGAAGGCCGAGAAGGAGAAAACAGCCCCGCTTGGAAAGGGAGGTCTTCAGGGCAGAGTCCTCCTTAGAGCAAGAAGGTCACAGGAAGGTTCAGAGGGAGTTGAGGAAATGGGGAATATTGGGAAAAGTCCTCAAGGGCTTCGCTATCCCTGCCCTGCCCTGCCTGCCAGTGTCTCCTCCATCCCCCTCCCACCTCTCTGCCTGGGCCTCCCCTATCCTGGCCCTGAGCCCCCTGCCTGGGGCTCCCCAGTCCCATTTCTGCCGGTGCTTCCCCCATTGCCCTCCTACCCCTCTGCCTGTCCCAGCCCTGACCCCTCTGGGCCAACACTGTTTGGGAACCTGTCTGTCTCTCCTATTGGACTGGCAGCTCCAGGAGGACAGGACCCGGGGCTGTTTTAGCCACCATTGTGTCCCCAGCACAAGACCAACAGGCACCTCCACCACTAATTACTTACCGATAGAGCCAATTTCAGGTCTTCAGAGCAAGCTAGCAGGCAAAGTATCTCAGAAGCAGGAGATGGTGCCAGGATTCCAAGAAATAGGGCTGGAATCCCCTAAATCTGCACTGCACTCTGAGTACTTTTGTCCTTTAGAAGAAAAATATTAATTAGAAGGCAAATAGTAAAATCCATGTGAAATAGGTAACATTATCCGGAATTGGACCCACTGGAATCATTGCACATCTAGAAATCCAGAATAGACTCAACTATTTCATCTCATAGTTTTTAAAAAGTTTTTTTTGTTTGGTTTTTGTTTTTGTTTTGGGACAGGGGTGTCGCTCTGTGACCCAGGCTGGAGTGTAGTGGTGCAGTCATGGCTCATTTCAGCCTAGACCTACTGGGCTCAAAGGATCCTCCTGCCTCAGCCTCTTGAGTAGCTGGGACTACAGGTGCAAGCAACCATACCCAGCTAATTTTTTATTTTTTGTAAAGATAAGGTCTCACTCTGTAGCCCAGGCTGGCCTTAAGCTCCTGGGCTCAAGCGATCCTCCTGCCTCGGCCTCCCAAAGTGCCTGGATTACAGGTGTGAGCCACTGCCCCGACCGGTTCTGAAAAGTTTAAGCAGATTTTCCATCATAATATCTAAACAATCTTTCAGGAATGTTTCTGTGCAAATTGGTGGCATTCCACAGCTGGAACACTGTACACAGAGAACTCACAACGGTATGAGGCCATCCATTCATTCAACAAACATTTACTGGGCACCCAGAGGGCTGTCCTAGGCCTAGAGTGATAGAGCAGTGAATGGAACAGAGTCAACATCTAGGCTCTGGACTGGTAGGTTCTTCTGGAGTTTTTCGGTAACTTCTCATAACAGCAGTTGTCTTGCTTTGCAGAATGAATATAGGGATGGATACTGATATTACACAATTACAAAGCCCAAAATTCTTAATACTTAAGCAGAATCTGTTGACCCCTGACGCCGCTCTCTGCCCCCACTCTGATCTGTCCATCCTTTTCTTCTGATTCACGGCAGCAGCCAGTCCTTGGTTTTCCTGCTTTCACCCTCACTCCTGCAGTCTGCTTCCCACATGCAGCCAGAGGGACCTGTGTCAGATCACATTCCTTCTCTGCTTGGAACCCTTCCATGGTTCCATCTTACTGCCTAAGTCCTCACTATGTCCCACAAAGCTCCGCACAATCTGCCCTTGTTAGCTACCCGCCCTTATCTCCTCTTACTCTCCACCTTGCTCACTTTGCCCCACCCACCCTCCTCATTGTCTCTCCAACTTCCCATATCTTTCCTTCCTCAGGGCCTCTGCATCTGCAGATCTTTTCCCTGCCTGGAACTCTCTTCCCCTAGATAGGTGCATGCCTCACTCCTCACTTCCTTCAGCCCTTTAGCTCAAAAGTCTCCTGATGCATTCCTTGACCACCGTGCCAAAAAAACAAAAATCATTTGCCCTCCAAAATCTCTATCCCCTTTCCCTGCTGTTATTTTCTCCAAAGCACTTATCGCTTTCAAACATTCAACATGTTTGGTGTCTATTTCCTCCATTAAAAAGATGAACTCCAGGAGAGTGGAGATTTTTATGTCTCGTACACCGCTGTATTCCCAGCTCCTAGAACAGCACCTGGTACACACGAGGTGCACTGTAAATGTTTTTCGGATGTTTGAATGGAAGCCCAGAGTCGGTCACTGTTCTTGGGGCTGGAAATGTATTGGGGAAGCCTTTTTGGGTGTACAGGGGCCAGAGGGATTTAGCTAGGAATACAAAAGAGGGCACAGCCCGTGCGAAGGCTATGAGCCCTGATTATTGGGGTGCTCGCATTGGGGAAGAGGAAACCGGAAGCGAGTTTAGGGCGACCGCTGCACAGGCAAAGGCTGGGAAGGCAGAGAGCGAGGGCAGCGGGTTGCGTGTCGACAGGCTCGAGAATCCAGGCTCACTGCGCGTGCGCCGAGCTCCGGGCGGGGAAGGGGCCCGGGGGCGGGACTACGGGGTGGCGTCACGCAGCGCACGTCGCCGCGCGCCTGCGCTCTTTTCCACGTGCGAAAGCCCCGGACTCGTGGAGTTGTGAACGCCGCGGACTCCGGAGCCGCACAAACCAGGGCTCGCCATGAAGCCAGGTCAGGCTGGGGTGAGGGTCCGGGGTCAGGGACGGAGGCCGGGCGGGAATCCGGGTGCCAGGCCAGAATCGGAGGGGTGGGGCCTTGGCCTGGGGGCAGGGGTTCTGAGCACGGGTTCCAGTCTCCTGTGGGAAGGGGGATTCTGATTCCAGCAGGTCTAGGGGTTTGTGACTGGCTTCAGAGGTCACGGTCGTGAGTCGAAGAAGGCCGTGGGCCTGGCATTGGGGGTGTTGACGTGGGGTTCGTCTCATTGAGGCCGTCTAATAGGGATTTTGGATATTGGGCAGGAGGCGGCACTCAAGGGTCTTGGGCTAGAGTTTGGATTCAGGCATCTGGAGTCTTGGATCGCTGGGCGTGTTTTGGGAATCAGGCTTGGGTCGGAGATGGAGAGTTCCTGACCTTGGGTCCTGGAGCTGTGTGTGGGAAGCCCCCATTTGCCTTCCCTGTCGCTGCCACCACCACCATCCCCTTATCCCGCATCCCAGCTTTTCCGAGTGGGCCGGAGTGGATGAGGACTCCCCGGTTGGCCGTGTGCGGCGCTCTTCGGCTCACTTTCCCGCCTTCTGCACTTACAGTGGGGCGGATCCCCGGGGATGGAGTGGAGATTTGGGGATTAAGATTTCCACCTCCGGGACGAGACTTAACAAGCTCGGCATTAGTCTGGGGTGGTGGGGCGGGTGGTTGTCACAGGAGGTAAGTAGTTTTATTCTTAAGATTTTCCACTAGATTCTGCTGAAACCACTCCCTTCATGGTGGAATGATGAGGGGGTCCTGGCTTTGACAGCAGAAGGGCCTCAGTTCAGTGTGTCAGCTCTTGCTCAGCTTCTTAGCCTGCTGTGTGAACTTGGGCAAGTGGCTTTACCTCTCTGAGCCTCTGTTTTCTCATCAATAAAATGGCGCCAGTTAGGATTAAGCGACGTTAAAAAAAATAGCACAGTGCTTGACATATAATAGTATTAGCTCTAATTGTTACCTTTATCTTTCTCAAAGAGAACAACATTAGAATCCTTCTCGGTGGTGCCTGAGCACTTCCTCCATCTGGCCTGCCCAACCCGCACTCATCTGTGTGAGAACTTGCTTCATTGAGTTTGGAGAATTTCCACCATGGCCCAAAGGGTCTGTTTTCCTAGTACAGGCTTTCTTTTTCTTTTGTGTGTGTGTTTGTGTGGAGAGATGGGGGTCACCTGGCAGGAGATTTGTGGATCTGTGCCCTTCTCCCAAGTTCCCTTTCTCTTCCGTGTTTGGGGATCTCTTGATGAAGTGGGGTGGGGGATTGTAGGCCAGGTATGCTGAGATCCTGGCTTGCCTGCAGGCATTCTGGTCTGTGATTCCCTCATAAATGGAGGATACCCGTTCTTCCAACCTTCCTCCATGTGTGGTAGAATGTGAAGTTGTAAAAGTTGTCAGGTGTTAGCTCTTTAGTAAGGATTTTAGCCTGAGTGAGAAAAGAACCCTTTGGGAGATTTTTGAGCAGGGGCGTGGTGCAGTCTGACATTTTTAAAAGGGATTCTTTTTGCTTCGATGTGTGAAAGACCTCAGGGTGGCAAAAGTGGAAGCAGGCACATTGGTGGGAAGCTTGTTGCTGTAATCTAGGAGATGGTGTGGTGGACCAGGATGGGAGCAGTGGACATGCTGACAGTTTTACATGCTTTTGAAGACAGAACCAACAGATTGTATGTGGGTGTGTGATCGGAGTCAAGGATAACCAAGGGTTTGGGGGTGTGTAACTGGAAGGATGGAATTGCCATTTTTGAGATGGAGAAGGCTGTGGAAGGAGAGCAGATTTTAAATCAGGGGGTTTATGGACCCCCCTCCCCCCAAAAAAAGAACTTACTGGAAAAGTTTGTGTGAACATGTGTTTTTTCTGAGGACTGGGTACTTTTGGTACATTTTCCCCCAAAAGCTCCAGGACCTGAAACGGATTGAGATGTTTTGAGTATCTGGGATTGAAAGTTTACACTCATGCCCACTCCGCCCCAAGCACATGCCAGTACTTCCTTTCTGTTAGGCCTGGGTTGAGACTTTCATAAGCCTAGCTGTGGCATCTCCCCTAAATGAAGGTCTTGGCTTTGGAAAACTGTTGGAGGGCTTGGGCAAGAAAATTGAGATCTGAGTTGCTGTTTCAAAAACAGCACTTATTAGTTGCTGTGTGGAAAGTGGACTGTAGGGGGAGTAGAACATTAAAAAGTGAACAACTCTTAGTTATGTTCTAGAGTTTTGAAAAGGAAACTTCATTTTAAAAGATCAAATTAGGAGTAGCTATTAAAAGTTACATTTTCATCTTTAATAGAAAGATGAAAAAAGAACTAACTGGAAAAGTTTGTGTGAACATGTGTTTTTTCTGAGGAATGGGTACTTTTGGTACATGAGGAGGGAAGAGGAGACGCGTACCCCTGAGTTTGAATGATGATGTTCAAAGTAGGTGCCAGATAGTATATATGTGATGTGCTCTGTGGGTACAAGTCATTTAATCTTTACAACCCTATAGGATGAGCACTGCATTTTTTTTATTTTTATTTTTTTGATACAGAATCTCTCTCTGTCACCCAGGCTGGAGTGCAGTGGCACCATCTCAGCTCACTGCAACCTCCGCCTGTGTTCAATTGATGCTTGTGCCTCAGCCTTTTGAGTAGCTGGGATTACAGGCATGCGCCACCACGCCCAGCTAATTTTTTGTATTTTTAGTAGAGACAGGGTTTCACTATGTTGGCCAGGCTGGTCTTGAACTCCTGGCCTCAAACTGTCCGCCTGCCTGGGTCTCCCAAAGTGCTGGGATTACAGGCATGAGCTATGGCGCGTGGCCTGGCACTGTATTGTCTCCATGTCTTACAGATGAAGTTTTCAAGACCCCTATGAACCTTCCTTACTAGGGTCGAGAGTGGCAGCAACATTGCCTATCTCTCCATATGCGATACTTGAGGGGAGTGACCGGCACTTCCCTGGTCACCATCTGATGGATTGTGTGCTTTCTGAACAAATAGAGGGTGCTTTCTCCTTGAGGCAGGGCCCAGGGTTTAAGAGTCATCAGCTCAGTGCTCATTTAACATTTATTGAGCCCATACTTTGTGCCAGATGTTGTGCAGGGTTTTGGGGATGCGGTGGTGACCAAAACAGTTAAAAATCCCTGCCCATTTGGAGCTTGATCTTAGTGGGGGAGGCAGGTGGTAATAATATTAAAAATGCCATGTGTGATAATTGATTTGAAGGGAAATAAAGCAGGGTAAGGGTACTGTGGCCAAAGTAGGCCCTTCTGGGGAACTAACATTTTATCAGAGACCAGAATGCAGTGAAGGAGCGAGTGAGCCATGCACATGTCTGCAGGAGCCAGGCAGTGGGAACAGCACGTGGTAAAGATTTAGAAGCTGGACTGTGTATGCTTGGTGGGGAAGAGCATGGGGCCCAGCATAAAGAGAATGAAGTCAGGGAAGTCAGCACAGGCCAGATCCTTAGGATGATGATACTCAATGTGGGCTGCACCTTGGAGTCACCTGGAGAGCTTTAGGGGAAGACCTTGCGCCCAGAACAATGAAATCAGAATTTAAAGCCTAAAGATTTTAGGCTTTGATTTCAGGCTTTGTAAGCCAGGGAAAGGACTTTTTATTTCATTTTGGATGTGGTGGAAAACCATTGGAGGGATTTGGGCAAGGGCATGATGAGATCTTACTTGCTGTTTTAAAAATAGCATGTATTAGCTGCTGTGTGAAAAGTGGACTGTAGAGGGAGTAGAAGATTAAAAGTAAACAACTTTTGGTTGTTTGGGAGTTTTGAAAATGAAACCGTTCATTTTTAAAGATTAAATTAGGAATGGCTGTTAAAAGACACATTTTTTATCTTTAATACCATTAAGGTGCATGAAGGGTTCGTAGGACAAGATCATAATGTATCTTTACAAAAAACATGAGCAAGGCTGGGCGCGCTGGCTCACGCCTGTAATCCCAGCACTTTGGGAGGCTGAGGCGGGCGGATCAAGAGGTCAGGAGATTGAGACCATCCTGGCTAACACGGTGAAACCCCTTCTCTACTAAAAATACAAAAAAATTAGCCGGGCATGGTGGTGGGCGCCTGTAGTCCCAGCTACTGGGGAGGCTGAGGCAGGAGAAAGGCGTGAACCTGGGAGGTGGAGCTTGCAGTGAGCCGAGATCGTGTCACTGCACTCCAGCCTGGGTGACAGAGTGAGACTCCGTCTCAAAAAAAAAAAAAAGCAAGCTTATGATTGAATAGATTACATCATGTGAGAATGTGAGATAATTTTAAACCACTAGTTTTCCAACTATTTTTTTTAACTTGTGTGATTTAGTACTTCTGAGTTTTTGAAACCAAATCAGAGAAAATATTGAATCTGTTAGCACCAGAGTTCTGTTTTAAACGTTGTTTTGTGCTAATGGTGTTTGTTGTCCTGAACTGGTAAGAATAAAGCCTGTCTGAGTCTGTTATTTCTTAAACATTTCGATCTTACTGACAAGTCGCAAACTACTTGTAAAGTGCAGCCTATCCTTAAATGACAGTTTGTTCTGCTTTTTCTTGTTTTTCCCCTGAGCTGAGAGGGACTTCTTTAAGCTTGGAAGCAGGGAGATGAGTTAGGGCTGACATCATCCTGTATTCCCCTCTGTTTTGGGGCTGGGGTTGACACTTTTCTTCCAGCTCCAAGGTCAGGAGTGGGAGAGTATGAAGACGTTTGCAGAGTCTAGGGGGCCCTGTTGTCACAGCATGTGCTCGTATGCAGGGCTCACTCTTCACAGTAATTAATATTGACATGGAATGAATTCTGTGAATCTGCTATGCAACCAAGGAAACCAGGATATTAACAGTAACCTACATCTATTCATGTACTCCTCCCCTATCCCAACCCCATATTAATATCTCCTTCCCATTCACCAATATCATGAGTTTTACATTTCTCATTCCCTTGCTCCTTTTCTTGGGCAGTATGATTGTGGCTGGGTGTGGTGCCTGACACCTGTAATCCCAGCACTTCAGGAGGCCAAGGCAGGAGGATCACTTGAGCCAGGAGCTGGAGACTAGCCTGGGCAACATAGTGAGACCCCCATCTCTACACTATGGGAGTAGTGGCACACACCTGTAATCTAGCTACTTCAGAGACCGAGGCAGGAGAATTGCTTGAGCCCAGGAGTTCGAGGCTGCGGTGAGCTGTGATTGTGCCATTGCTCTCCAACCTGGGCGGCACAGCAAGACCCTGTCTCAAAAAAAAAGCACTAAGCAAAAAAAATTATTATGATTTTAACATTTATTAGTCTGTTGTGTATAACTGAAGGTCATTTTCATGATCTTGATTGTGAATGTCTTCTATTTTATTTGCCCATTCTATTGATGGACATTTGGGTTAGTCTTCACTTTTCTTTTGCTGTGGACATTCTTGGAAATGTGTCCTGCTGTACACGGGCACATGTATTTCAGGTTTCTCACCTGAGAGGTATTGCTGGGTACAAGGTGGTTTAACCTTTTAAGCTTCATTGCCCTGACTCCTGTTTTGTTTCCCCCACAGGATTCAGTCCCCGTGGGGGTGGCTTTGGCGGCCGAGGGGGCTTTGGTGACCGTGGTGGTCGTGGAGGCCGAGGGGGCTTTGGCGGGGGCCGAGGTCGAGGCGGAGGCTTTAGAGGTCGTGGACGAGGAGGAGGTGGAGGCGGCGGCGGCGGTGGAGGAGGAGGAAGAGGTGGTAAGATTGGCTAGGGGTTACAGAGGAGGCCTTCCTGAGGTGGGGAGTGGGGAGGGCGGAGATTCAGGATCTTTCTCTCCTGTTGTACCTCTCCTTTATAGGTGGAGGCTTCCATTCTGGTGGCAACCGGGGTCGTGGTCGGGGAGGAAAAAGAGGAAACCAGTCGGGGAAGAATGTGATGGTGGAGCCGCATCGGCATGAGGGTGAGTGAGGAAGGCAGGGAGCCGGCTGAGCTTCGGGGCAGGGAGAGGCTGGGGGTCCTCACCCCTGCTCTGATCCCCTCACCCAGGTGTCTTCATTTGTCGAGGAAAGGAAGATGCACTGGTCACCAAGAACCTGGTCCCTGGGGAATCAGTTTATGGAGAGAAGAGAGTCTCGATTTCGGTGAGAACTGGGCCCCTGTCCAAGCCACCAGGGTCGCAGCTGAGGGTGTAGCCAGTAGTCTGTGTCTGCCCTCACCATGTGTCCTGCACGTGACAGCTGGAGGATTGTCATAATATGTAAACCACACTGTCTGCTCCCTCATCCGCCTTCTGTGACTCCCCACGGCCTTCCAGTTAGACTCCTGAGTCTTCACTCAGGCCTCCAAGACCCTGTGCATTCCAGTTCCCCCTCCCTGCCCCCTGGCTTTGTCTCCTTCACTAACTCTCTGACCAAGTGTCCTCCAGCCACCCTGGCCTTGCTGTTCCCACTCCCAGCTCTGTGGGAGGCTGCGTCCTTATCATCTGCTTCTCCAGGCTGCGTCACACCACTCTGCGGGTCAAGGCATCCCTCACCGCCCTCCCCTGTCCTGTTATCCTGTGTCATTTTCTTTGAGGCCAGGGTGTGCCTGCCTTGGGGCCTTCCTAATCGCTCTCCCTCTCGTGGGAATGTCCTTCCTCAGATAACTTGAATGGCCCCTTGCCTCCTTCAGGTCTGATTTGGAATCTGCCTTTCAGCCCCTCCCTGGCCCCTTTTCCCATTTTCACCTGCTCCTTGCCCTGCTTCCCAAACTCCGTATCTTCTCTCCTGGCTTTGTCTTCTCTCCTTAACACCTGTCACCATCTCATATGCCATGTTGTATTTAGTTAGTTCGGTGAATACTTACACCTTCTGGGCAGGGATCCTTGTTTTGTATCCCCAGCGCCTAGAGCAGGGTCTGGCACACAGTAGGTGCTGGCACAGTGCATGTTTGTTGAACAAGTGCTGGTTTTACTGTTACTGTTTGTGTTTATTCTCTTTTGCTGCCCTTTGGGTCAGTCACCTCCATGAGAGGGCAGCGACTGCATGTGCATGGTCACTGCTCTTTACTCATGTTGAGTTCTTGTGCAGTGATAGGACAGCCCAGTTCCTTTCAAGGCTCCTAGGGTTAAAGGCAGTGAGGTCCTGCAGAAGAGCCTAGCACTGACTTCTGTCCCCATCTCTCATCTAGGAAGGAGATGACAAAATTGAGTACCGAGCCTGGAACCCCTTCCGCTCCAAGCTAGCAGCAGCAATCCTGGGTGGTGTGGACCAGATCCACATCAAACCGGGGGCTAAGGTTCTCTACCTCGGGGCTGCCTCGGGCACCACGGTCTCCCATGTCTCTGACATCGTTGGTCCGGTGAGTGAGTAGATGGAGAGTCAGGCAGGAGGTAAAGGCTGCCTCCCTTCTGCCAACCTGGAATATCAGGGTTTGACTGCTTGCCTGCGCTGTGTGACTTAGGGCCAGGCCCTTTTCTGTCACTGTGCCTGTGAGTAAAAGGAGTGGCTTGAACCAGATAATGTCATTCAACCTCACTCCTGGGTTCTTGGCCTCAAGGGAAGAGACGTGGGTGTGGGGTGACCAACCTTAGAGAGACAACGGGGAGTATAGATACCAGACTATTTGATTTGATGGGCCTCTTTAAAATTTTATGCTGCTAAAACCTGCTCTTCTGGTTTCTTTAGAAAGAACCAGGAGATCTTCATGGTTTCTGAGCCTGTATAGGCTTCCCATTTAGAGGGCCCCTGGCACCCACGTGTCCCACTCTGTTACCCTTTGTTACTTTATGTGTTTATAAGCTGTTAAGTGTAGTGCCTTAAAACCTCAGGCTTTGGCCAGACGAGGTGGCTCATGCCTTTAATCTCAACACTTTCGGAGGCCGAGGCAGGTGGATCACCTGAGGTCAGGAGTTCGAGACCAGCCTGACCAATATGGTAAAACCCCATCTCTACTAAAAATACAAAAATTAGCTGGGTGTGGTGACGTGTGCCTGTAGTCCCACCTACTTGGGAGGCTGAGACAGGAGAATTGCTTGAACCCAGGAGGCGGACGTTGCACTAAGCTGAGATCGCACAACTGCACTCCATCCTGGGCAACAGAGTGAGACTCAAAAAAAAAAAAAAAAAAAACCTCAGGCTTTAATCAGGCAAGTTACCTAACCCATCCAAGCCTCAGTTTACCTGTCTGGAACATAGACTTGTGAAGATTAAATGAGTTAATTTCTGAAAGGTGCTTAGAGCAGTGGTTGGCCCATTGTTACATCATCTCTGTGCCTTGGCTTCCTGGTTTTAAGCCTCTGTTGGGAACCTGGGCTCTCAGGCAGATGGGATTGGGTACTTTTGCTACTTGCTGAATAACTCTTGGCCAGTGACTTTATGTCTGGACCTCAGTTTATTCATGTGAAAAATGGACATGATAGCAATAGTCATTAGATGGTAGGGTTTTGATTTGGGGGTTGGAAGAGATGCTGTGTATAGTGTATGGGCCTAAAGTAGGCACTCCATGCATGAGAACTAGCATCACTGTTCATTAATTTTTAATTTATTTTAGGATGGTCTAGTCTATGCAGTCGAGTTCTCCCACCGCTCTGGCCGTGACCTCATTAACTTGGCCAAGAAGAGGACCAACATCATTCCTGTGATCGAGGATGCTCGACACCCACACAAATACCGCATGCTCATCGGTGAGGGGTCTGGGGGTGGCCCCGGTGGGGTAGGACAGGCCACCGCAGGCTTCTGGAAGAAGCCAGTGGATCTCTGATTCGGATGGAGTTGGAGTGGATGAGCAGACCTCTTGAGTCTGCAGGAATAGAAAGGGGTAAGGGGAGCTAGGTGAGGTTGTGGAGGTGGCAGCTTGGCTTCAGAGTCTTGGAAGCCACCCTTGGAGGGCCAACCTCTTCTCCTTCAGTCTCCTCCCCATCTCCTAGGTCTCCTGTACTTCCTGCCTCTTGTATTTATTACACTACCCCTCCATAAAAAGCCTCCTTTTGGGGGTCCTAATCATTGTCTGGTGAGAGCATATCCCAGAAAACTAAGCATGGCTTGATCTGGAGGGGCCCACTGTGAATATTAATTACTTTGTTTAAAAAAACATTCAAAGATATAATATAAAAGTTGAAAAGCCTTATAAACCACCGCCAGAAGTAACTGATGAGAACAATTTGATGTCTGCTTTTCCCAGGTTTTAAATAATCAGTTTTCATTATACCACCTTTTCATTTTTTGAAAAGTCACACTGGCTTAAAAACATTATTTTTCATTCTGCTCCTTTTTCTTTCTGTGTTTTATTTTTCCCATGCACTCATACCATCCCCTTTGTTCTGCAACTTGTTTTCATTTCACAGTCCTGCGGACACTCTTGCCTATAAGTGCTCACTCACTCTTACTTGTCTTTTTGATGACGTGTCTGTCTCCCCACCAGACCTGGGAGCGTCTCGAGGGCAGGGTCCGGGTCTGACTCGTCTCTATGTCCCCCACGCCCGGCCCAGGGCTGGCCACAGAGTAGGTGGCAACCATGGTTTACAAGAAGAGTGGATGAATGATGTGACTGTGGGTTTTGGACTCATCTTGGGACACTGGAGGGAGGGGGACCAGTGGAGGTGGGGAGTGAAACTGGAGGCAGGGAGAATCTCCCAGGAACCTGCTGGTGATGGGCATAGGCCCCATGGGAGGATCTGGGGTGATCCCTGTGACTCCAACTTTTAACTGCTGCTCCTTTCTCCTTAGCAATGGTGGATGTGATCTTTGCTGATGTGGCCCAGCCAGACCAGACCCGGATTGTGGCCCTGAATGCCCACACCTTCCTGCGTAATGGAGGACACTTTGTGATTTCCATTAAGGTGCGGGGTTTGGAAGAGTCTAAGATGGGGTGGCAGTGTTCTAGGGAGGTATCTTCTCTATCTGTATCTGTCAAATAGCCACCCAAAACAGAGGGGCCAAGTCTGCAAAACTATAGCTTTGGATTTAAAGAGGCAGGAGAGTGCAGCGGTCAAGTGCAAAATTGAGTCTGACCATCTGAGTTTAATCCCAGCCTGCTGTGTGACTGAGCAAGTTACTTAACCTATATGCCTCAGTTTCCTCACTTATGAAATAGAAATATTGTCTAGTCTTTTTCAGGGTAGATGACAGGATCAAATTAGTCAATATAATATGAAGTGTTTAGAAAAGATCCTGGCATAGAATAGATACTAGATAAAAGCTAGGTGCATCTTTCACAGCATTTTTATTTGGAAATAATGGAGAACTCTCCCATGCACCCTTCACAAGGTTCACCATTTGTTAGCCTTTTGCTACATTTGTTTTATTATTCTCAACTGCATTATTACTATTATTAAAGAAGAGGAAGTAGAAATAAGCCAAACAATTCCTGGGTATAAAATTTAAGCACTGGCTTTTAGATAAATAGGACTGTTTAAGGCTTCCTGCTTCAAATCCAAAACAAAACTAAAAACTTTTTTTTTTTTTAATTTGAGACAGAGTCTCGCTCTGTCACCAAGGCTGGCGTGAAGTGGTGCAATCTCAGCTCACTGCAACCTCTGCCTCCCAGGTTCAAGCAATTCTTCTGCCTCAGCCTCCTAAGTAGCTGGGACTACAGGCGTGTGCCACCACACCTGGCTAACTTTTATATTTTTAGTGGAGACGGGGTTTTGCCATGTTGCTCAGGCTGCTCTGGAGCTCCTGAGCTCAGGCAATCTGCCTGTCTCAGGCTCCCAAAGTGCTAGGATTACAGGCACGAGCCACTGCACCCAGCCAAAAACTTTCATTAAGCCTTTTATCACATTTCCTAAACCCGAGTGTC
This sequence comes from Homo sapiens, assembly GCF_000001405.40. Taxonomy (NCBI): domain Eukaryota; kingdom Metazoa; phylum Chordata; class Mammalia; order Primates; family Hominidae; genus Homo; species Homo sapiens. The sequence goes on along the minus strand of NW_009646206.1, from coordinate 95,472 downwards.
TTAGCCCATTTTATGCAGCTATCACAGAATGCTATAGACTGGGTAATTTATTTATTTTTATTTTTATTTTTATTTTTTTGAGATGGAGTCTTACTCTGTCACCAGGTTGGAGTGCAGTGGTACGATCTCGGCTCACTGCAACCTCCAGTTCCTGGGTTCAAGCGATTCTCCTGCGTCAGCTTCCCGAGTAGGTGGGACTACAGGTGTGCGCCACCACACCCGACTAATTTTTGTATTTTTAGTAGAGATAGGGTTTCACCGTGTTGGCCAGGATGGTCTCAATCTCCTGATTTCGTGATTGAGCCACCTCGGCCTCCCAAAGTGCTGGGATTACAGGCGTGAGCCACCACGCCCAGCCTTAGACTGGGTAATTTATAATGAATGGAAATTTATTTGGCTCCCAGTTCCAAAGGCTGGAAAGTCCAAGATTGGAGGTCTGAATCTGGCGAGGGCCTTCTTGCTGTCATCCATTGGCAGAAGGGTGAGAGCAAGATAGAAAGGGGGCATAATCATCCTTTTAATCAGCAACCCACTCTTGTGATAATAGCATTACTCTATTCAGGAAGGCAGAGGCCTCATGACCTGAATCATCTCTCGAAGGTCCCACCTCTCAACTCTTGCATTTAAGGGTTACGTTTCCAACACATGAACTTTGGGGGACACACTAGAACCATAGCACTGAGTTTTACTTGAATTAATAATGAAAACATCTGGTTTAAAGAGCACACAAGAGAAAAACAGCCCAAAGCCCTGTTGTAGACATTAGTCCTTTCTCCTCTTTAGGCCAACTGCATTGACTCCACAGCCTCAGCCGAGGCCGTGTTTGCCTCCGAAGTGAAAAAGATGCAACAGGAGAACATGAAGCCGCAGGAGCAGTTGACCCTTGAGCCATATGAAAGAGACCATGCCGTGGTCGTGGGAGTGTACAGGTGAGCAGGGGCCCAGCAATACACCAAGACAGACATCTCTGTCCCTTGCACCCCGAGTGCCATGATCCTGGGGACCCTCCTTCATCACCTATCTTCCTCTCACAGGCCACCCCCCAAGGTGAAGAACTGAAGTTCAGCGCTGTCAGGATTGCGAGAGATGTGTGTTGATACTGTTGCACGTGTGTTTTTCTATTAAAAGACTCATCCGTCTCCCATGTCTGCTGCTCATTCCTCCCCTTGACCTGCTGACACAGGGAGCACGCACCCTTGGTCAATTTTGCGGGGTTGGGTAAATTCTCACTCGGTCACAGAGCGCATGCTCCGTTTCTAGCTGCCTTTGCGCAGCGGCAGCCTGGATTTCGGTTCTTGGGTGGGATTGGTAGCTCGCTGCGCATGCGTGCAGGTAAGCGGCCATCTCGCGCAGGCGGAGTGTCAGTGTGGGTCACGTGAGGGGAGCGGAGAGGGAGGGATGGGGGCGGAGTCCAGGGCGTGGGGGGGCCGGTTTGTTGTGGTCGCCATTTTGCTGGTTGCATTACTGGGTAATCGGGGCCCTGGCTTGCCGCGTCCGCCGGATACCCTCAGCCAGTGGGCAGGTCTGAGCTCGGGCTCCCCGAGCAGTTTGAGTCCCCTTGCCCGCTCCTTCAGGTAACGGCGCGGGGACGGGTGGGGCGGCAAGCGGTCGCAGGGAGGTGGGCAGGACGGGATCCGCCCTGCTCCCGTCGCCGTGAGACTTAGCACGAGGCCAAGGGAGGAGAGGAGGGGGGTGGCAGGCAGGTGCGGGCCCTGCCTGGCTATTCATAGTTGAATTCCTGGAACCGGCCAAGCCCGAGGAAGCAGTTGCAGGAGGGAGGCTGGGAGGGGGTAGCCGGGCCCCACTCCCGCCCTTTGTTTGGGCTCAGCTCCGCGGGCCGCTTCTTCGTCGCCTAGCAACAGCTGCCCTAGGCTGTGATTGGCTGAGCTCTTGGCACCAGCGACCAATGGTACAGTTGTTGCCATGGCAGGTGCCGATTGCCAAGCTCAGTCGGGCCCCGCCTTCCGGTCTCAGCAGGCCCAGGAGGGCCTCCTGGGTGGGGGGCGGGACGCCGGGTCCCTAGGGGCTGGTGGTCACTCAGGGTGGGGCGTGTCGCCCCTCCCCCGTCCACCTGCTCTACTCTTCCCCCGCGTGCCCTGGGCTGACCCTTGTCCCCTCCTCTCCCCGCCCCCGGTGGCAGTGGCGGCTGCTGTTGTCACCCACCGGGCCTCCTGTCCCGCTTGCCCTCCCCGCCGCGGGGCCGGCCGGGCCAGAGACAGGCGGTCGCCTTTTCAGCGCCGCCACCGCCGCCATGCTGGCCGCTCGCCCACCCCACTGGGGGCCCCACCGCGCCCCAGCCCCCCGTGGGCCCCGCGCCAGCCCTGACCCGGGTAGGGGGTGGGGGCTGGGAGAGATGATCCTGGTGTGGGAGGGCCCCGGAGAAGAGGTGGTTTTTTGGGGGAAGCTCCAAGGGTGGAGGAGTCGTGGAGTGGCAAGGCATGGAATAGGAGAAAGGGATTTGACATGGGGGAGAGAGTGGCCCATGGGGAGAAGATTTTTGCTGTAGCTGACAACTCTGGGAGGAGAGAACCCTATGTGATAACTTGGGGATTTGACTTTGAGGCCCTCTAGGAGTGGACACAGTTGTGGAATGACCCTGGTATAAAGAGGGGTGCCTGGAGAAAGGTCTGTGGTAGGAATATTAGGGTGTGTGTGTGTGTGTAGGGGGGCAAGGAAGCAGTGTAGGGGAGAAAAGGATGATCACTCTAAACTGTGGGAAGAGACACCTCCTCCTTCTCCCATCAGGAGGAGTGGGCCTTGATTGGGATGGGATATTGGAGTAATATGGGGAAGAACCCTGTTGTGGTAGGGGGAATTGGGATATGGTACAGGGAGACTACCTGGAAGGCTGGTTCCTAATATGGAGGACCTGAAATAGGGAAGCGGTCTTGGCATGATATGGAGAGGGTCCCCTAGGAAAATCGTGCCCTGGTGGATGAGAATGCTGTAGAGATAGGACTCTGTTCTATAGAGGTTCTCAGATAACTTTGGTGTGGTTGGGAGGTCCCCAAGGACGCTGATGTGGTTTTAGGGCTGCAGAGGACTCTGCTGTGGTTTGGGAGGGGAAGACTCATGTGGTTTGGGAATCCTAGAGTTCTCTGGGTTGAGGGAATCTACTGAGAAGGATAGATCTTAAAGTATTGGCCCTGGCTGTGCTACGGGCTGAGATCCTGATGTTCAGGGAAGACTACAGAAAGTGGCATCTTGTGTTAGGGGCCCTGGGGAGGGCCACGAGTAGTGAGAAAAGAATGAAGCCTACTCCTCTGCATACTGTCTGTGGTTTCTTTTTTCTTTTCCTCCTCTGAATTATTGGTGTCTTCCTGTCCTCCTTTCCCTGTGATGGCTCATATCGACCCCTGCTTGGCCCCCAATCATTGTCTTTTATGTGTTCTCTTTGTGCTGCCTTAATCATTTACTTGATCATTATTTGTCGAGGGACTGCTGTGCCATCCCCCCCCACCTGGCTACCACTTCTCTGCCCCTTCTCTTCATTGCTATCTGCTGCTCCGTTGTGCCCTTTTCCTCTTCTCTCTGTGCCCTGTCTTTCTCATGTCCACTCTTCCCCGCCTGGCACTATTCACATATCCCCTTGTTCCATGTTGTTTTCCCACTTCCTGTCTGCTCTCAGGTCTCAGCGGCGGTGGCAGCCGAGGTGCAGGATGCAAGAAGGCGCCCCCCGGCCGGGCTCCCGCTCCAGGCCTCGCTCCCCTGCGGCCCTCTGAGCCCACCATGGCCGTCCCACCGGGCCATGGTCCCTTCTCTGGCTTCCCAGGGCCCCAGGAGCACACGCAGGTACGCGTTCAGCTGGCTCCTCACCTGCGTGGTGGTAGGGGGAGGCTGGGGATAGAAAGGTCTCCAGACCAAAAGGTAGTGTGGTTGCCCAAGACATTCTTCTGGGCACATAATGGGTCCCATGGGATTGGAAAATAACAGAGGAGTTTTCAGGCAGAGTCAGGGTTTGGAGAGGCTGGGTTCAAATCCTGACCCAGTGGTTAAATTCCTTAGGTTCTCCATACTTGAGTTGGAGAACTCAACTCATTCTGTGAAATGGGGCCAATAATGATACCTACTTCACAGGGTTGTTGTGAGGATTAAATGAGTTAATGGTATGCATGTAAAACACTTAGAATGGTGCCTGGCACATAGTAAATACCCAATAAATGCTACTAAGAAAAGTTCAGAGTGAAAGATCTGGATTGGGTGAATTTGGAGGGGGGTTGAGTCTAAAGGGTCTTGAGGCCAACAGGCATGGGTGGTGAGGGCAAAGCTCTCCCAAGGCTAGAGGCAGTGAAGGCAGTGACATGCAGAGCTTGAAGCAGGATGAAGTGGGAGGTCCAGGGGCCAGATCCAGATCCAAGAGCCTTGGGGTGAAAGAACTGTGCAAAGAGTTGGTGGGAGTATGGGTTGAGGCCCAAGGGATGAGGGTAAATTGAGATAGAGGTACTTCAGAGGGTACCCAAAATGGCTGGCTTCAAAGTGAAGAATGGGGAGGAACAGAGCCCAGGTTTTCCATATGATCTCTCCCTCTGAGGTTCAGAAAGGAGTAAAGGTGAGGGGTGAAAGGTCAGAGTTCACTCATTCACACCACAGATCTCTAAGAGCATCCATTGTGTGCCAGGCCCTGCTGTAGGCACTGGAGGTATAGTAAGAACAAGAGAAAGTCTCAGCCCTGGGGGAGTTTCTTTCCTAGACAGGTGGAACAAATACAGACAGCAACCAAATACATGATGTGCCAGCAGCCCTTACAGTTCTTCCTCTTGAGGTCGGAGGTGAAGGCACGTCCTCAGTGCCCACCCCTCACCCTGCCCTGCAGGTATTGCCTGATGTGCGGCTACTGCCTCGGAGGCTGCCCCTGGCCTTCCGGGATGCAACCTCAGCCCCGCTGCGTAAGCTCTCTGTGGACCTCATCAAGACCTACAAGCACATCAATGAGGTGGGCAGGGGCTGGGGGATCCTGGGCTGGGTGCCGAGGGTCTTGTCTGCTGGCATGAGTCACTCACCAGTCCCCATCTCCTGGCTGGCTGGCTGGGCAGGTATACTATGCGAAGAAGAAGCGGCGGGCCCAGCAGGCGCCACCCCAGGATTCGAGCAACAAGAAGGAGAAGAAGGTCCTGAACCATGGTTATGATGACGACAACCATGACTACATCGTGCGCAGTGGCGAGCGCTGGCTGGAGCGCTACGAAATTGACTCGCTCATTGGCAAAGGCTCCTTTGGCCAGGTGTGGGACACCCCCCACCACCCTGATCCAAGGCCCCACTAACATTGATCACACACCCAGTGGTTCAGTGGCTTCAAGTCCCATGCTGGGCCACTCACCCTAGCCCACTTAGTTTCCCTGTGCCTCAGTCGCCTTTTCTGTAAAACAGTTTAAATAACAAGACTCAACATAAGGTCGTTATGTTATTTCACATCCAGTGTTTACACCAGCGCCTGACTAATGGTGCGCACTCAGCTGCGAAGTATGCATAGTGTTCTTGGTGGGTCTCCTTGCCTGGAGGGAGAAGAATGGTGCCTGGCTCTGCCCTGCTCCCACCCCTTTCTTCGTGACATGCCCTGCCCCAACAGGTGGTGAAAGCCTATGATCATCAGACCCAGGAGCTTGTGGCCATCAAGATCATCAAGAACAAAAAGGCTTTCCTGAACCAGGCCCAGATTGAGCTGCGGCTGCTGGAGCTGATGAACCAGCATGACACGGAGATGAAGTACTATATAGGTGAGGCCTGGGACTGGCAGGGCTGTGGGCACCTGGGATAGCGGGAGCTGGAGCCAGTAGGGATGGGTCACACCCCCGCCCTACTCTCAGGAGGAGGCTGATGTCTTCAGAGCAGGGTTTGGTCTGTGCTTCTCTGACATCAGTGATTCTCCTGCTGCTTTTATGATTTTTGTCCTATTTTCTTGGTAATGGTCAGAGGTTACTGAGTGCTCACCAAGGGCCAGGCTCTCTTGGAAGCACTTGGAAGTTAACTCACCACAGCCCATAAGGGGAAGGGCATTATTAACAACATCTTGAAGATAAGAAACCTGGGCTTCCATCCTAGTTTCTTCTTCAATAAAACAAACAAAACGGGCTGGGCACAGTGGCTCACGCCTGTAATCCCAGCACTTTTGGAGGCCGAGGTGGGCGGATCATGATATCAAGAGATCGAGACCATCCTGGCCAACATGGTGAAACCCCGTCTCTACTAAAAATGTGAAAAAATTAGCTTGATGTGGTGGTGCGCGCCTGTAGTCCCAGCTACTCAGGAGGCTGAGGCAGGAGAATCGCTTGAACCTGGGAGGCGGAGGTTACAGTGAGCTGGGACCACGCCACTGCACTCCAGCCTGATGACAGAGCGAGACTCCATCTCAAAAAAAAAAAAACCCAAAACAAACAAAAAACCAAACCTAATAACAACAACAACAGTTACAACAACAACAAAAAAAAACGAAGAAAGGAAAAAAGAAACTCAGGCATTCAAGTGCTGTCACTTGCATGAGGTGGCAGTTTGTACTAATTGAGCTATAATTTGATGAGGTCGTGGACTCCAGAGCTGTTACTCTTAACATCTGTGCCAGTCTTTCTCCTCCCTTAAACTGATTCCTGCTCATGGACATAAACATCACAACATAATCATAAACAGCAAGTGGATTTTAAAATGGTTTCGTTTGAAAGGAAAACGTATATCCTTAAAGTAAACGGAAAACCAGTGTCCTTTGCCACAAAAATGAATACAAGGGAGATGAAAGCAGTGTTATGAAATTAAATGAGGAAGTGTAGAATGTGTTAGAGCTAGTAGTAACTAATGAAACTTTCTCTTTGGTTTAATTGGAGGGTTTGACAGAGACTTGGAAAGAGCATTAACTTCCTGTGTGAATCTAGTTGTTAGATAAAAAGATTTTGACTAGCAGATGGTACCCGTGGGGACAGCACAATGTGGCTAGTAATCAAAGAGCGTTGTATGACCCCAGGCCACCACCTGCCCTCTCTGAGCCGTTTCTTCTCTGGCCCATTTCCTCCCCTCCCCCGCAGTACACCTGAAGCGGCACTTCATGTTCCGGAACCACCTGTGCCTGGTATTTGAGCTGCTGTCCTACAACCTGTACGACCTCCTGCGCAACACCCACTTCCGCGGCGTCTCGCTGAACCTGACCCGGAAGCTGGCGCAGCAGCTCTGCACGGCACTGCTCTTTCTGGCCACGCCTGAGCTCAGCATCATTCACTGCGACCTCAAGCCCGAAAACATCTTGCTGTGCAACCCCAAGCGCAGCGCCATCAAGATTGTGGACTTCGGCAGCTCCTGCCAGCTTGGCCAGAGGGTAGGGGGCGGCCCGGTCCTGGGAGCACGGCTAGTAGTTTGGGTGGGGCAGAGCCAACGGGAGGCTTAGGGGCGGGGCTTGGCTGGGATGGGATTATTAGGAGCCGTGGGAACTGAGGGATAATGCTTGGGGTGGGGGTGTGAATATACTGCCCACTAGGATGGGAAGGGTGAAGCCTGAGGGGCAGGGCCCATTTTGAAGCTGCCAGATGTGAACAGGGTGAAGTTGGGTTGGGTTTGAGCCAGGGGTGCTGCCTCGCTAAGTTTTTGTCTTCTCTGTTCTTAAAGCTGAGGATGGAGGTGGAAGGCTTCAACTTTGCAGCTCTGTATGAGCTGCCACTAAAAGTGACGATGGTATAGGGCTTATGGAATGTCAGCCTCTGCCTGGTGACCCAGAAGGGCCCAGGATCCGGGTTGGGGGTGGAGATCAGGGTCTGTCTAGGCCAGCAGACTCCCCAGATTGATAAACAAGATGGCACCAGTGGCTCCCAGAAAATTGGTGCTGATAATGGCAGGATTTGGAGCCTCAGTCCCCATTTTGTCAGCAAGAAGCCTGTCCTCAGTTGGGTCCTCTTAGCTTTGGGGGTGTCAGTGGGACCAGTAGGGGAGGCTGGGTCCCTTGACGATTACCCTTTTCCCAGATCTACCAGTATATCCAGAGCCGCTTCTACCGCTCACCTGAGGTGCTCCTGGGCACACCCTACGACCTGGCCATTGACATGTGGTCCCTGGGCTGCATCCTTGTGGAGATGCACACCGGAGAGCCCCTCTTCAGTGGCTCCAATGAGGTGTGCCCCCAGGAAGGGGTGTGCTGGAGGTGGAGGGGGTGGAGCCTGGCTGGCCTGATGACCTTGACCCCTGCCTGCTCACAGGTCGACCAGATGAACCGCATTGTGGAGGTGCTGGGCATCCCACCGGCCGCCATGCTGGACCAGGCGCCCAAGGCTCGCAAGTACTTTGAACGGCTGCCTGGGGGTGGCTGGACCCTACGAAGGACGAAAGAACTCAGGAAGGTGCGGCCCCTGCCCCATGCCACTCCTCCCACCCCGTGGCCCCTCACTCACACTTGGGGCTCTCTCCCCCTGCTCCCTCTCCCTTGTGTCTTTCCCTTCCTTCCACTCCCCCTTGTCTGTCCTTTCCTTCCTCCCCTGCCCACCCCATCTCCCATCTCTCCTTCCCACCCCACAACTCTTCTTAGCTTTTCTTTCCACTTTCTCTCTTGTGCCTCTGTTTCCCCGTGTGTGTCTCCCTGCCCCTCCTGCCCACTGACGGCCACTCTCTTGCCCCCCCTCCCACCCCCTCCCTGCCAGGATTACCAGGGCCCCGGGACACGGCGGCTGCAGGAGGTGCTGGGCGTGCAGACGGGCGGGCCCGGGGGCCGGCGGGCGGGGGAGCCGGGCCACAGCCCCGCCGACTACCTCCGCTTCCAGGACCTGGTGCTGCGCATGCTGGAGTATGAGCCCGCCGCCCGCATCAGCCCCCTGGGGGCTCTGCAGCACGGCTTCTTCCGCCGCACGGCCGACGAGGCCACCAACACGGGCCCGGCAGGCAGCAGTGCCTCCACCTCGCCCGCGCCCCTCGACACCTGCCCCTCTTCCAGCACCGCCAGCTCCATCTCCAGTTCTGGTGGGTGCCCAGGTGCCCAAATGGGGTACAACGGGTGGGGGCTGCTCAGGTTTGGCCTGTCCTGGGGGACCTGGTTACTGGGTCTTCACACAAAGCGCCGAAACTGATCCTGAACTGTAAGATGACGTGTGGGATGGGAGAGCTCCAACTGGCCCTGACACAATCACTGAAATTGGGCTCAGAGCCCTGAAACTGGTTCTGACTCTAAAACCCAAAACTGAATTCCAACCCAGAATCTCAGAATTGGGCCCGGTGCTTCAGATGGGCTCTGCTCTTGAAGCCTGAACCTGAGCCTGGGCCGTGACCTTCCCTCAGCCATCCCAAAACCCACTCGCCACCTTCTCTCACCTTATGCCCCTTCACCTCTCCTCCCTGGCACTTCCAGGAGGCTCCAGTGGCTCCTCCAGTGACAACCGGACCTACCGCTACAGCAACCGATATTGTGGGGGCCCTGGGCCCCCTATCACAGACTGTGAGATGAACAGCCCCCAGGTAATGGGGCTTTGGGGGCTTTGGAGGTGGGTGGTGGTGCCTGGGGCTTAGAGACCAGGGTCTCCATCACCCATGGCTCCTTTGCTTTTTTAGGTCCCACCCTCCCAGCCGCTGCGGCCCTGGGCAGGGGGTGATGTGCCCCACAAGACACATCAAGCCCCTGCCTCTGCCTCGTCACTGCCTGGGACCGGGGCCCAGTTACCCCCCCAGCCCCGATACCTTGGTCGTCCCCCATCACCAACCTCACCACCACCCCCGGAGCTGATGGATGTGAGCCTGGTGGGCGGCCCTGCTGACTGCTCCCCACCTCACCCAGCGCCTGCCCCCCAGCACCCGGCTGCCTCAGCCCTCCGGACTCGGATGACTGGAGGTCGTCCACCCCTCCCGCCTCCTGATGACCCTGCCACTCTGGGGCCTCACCTGGGCCTCCGTGGTGTACCCCAGAGCACAGCAGCCAGCTCGTGACCCTGCCCCCTCCCTGGGGCCCCTCCTGAAGCCATACCCTCCCCCATCTGGGGGCCCTGGGCTCCCATCCTCATCTCTCTCCTTGACTGGAATTGCTGCTACCCAGCTGGGGTGGGTGAGGCCTGCACTGATTGGGGCCTGGGGCAGGGGGGTCAAGGAGAGGGTTTTGGCCGCTCCCTCCCCACTAAGGACTGGACCCTTGGGCCCCTCTCCCCCTTTTTTTCTATTTATTGTACCAAAGACAGTGGTGGTCCGGTGGAGGGAAGACCCCCCCTCACCCCAGGACCCTAGGAGGGGGTGGGGGCAGGTAGGGGGAGATGGCCTTGCTCCTCCTCGCTGTACCCCCAGTAAAGAGCTTTCTCACATGCCTGCCTGAGCGTTTGCAGGGCCTCGGCTCCCCTCACCCGACCCTCAGAGGCATGGTGGGGAAGGGGGTTTGCGGAGGGGGTGCTGGAGGAGCTCTGGTGTGGAGACGTCTCGTGGGGAAGCTGTGGCGCGTGTTGCAGGCATGAGTCTGCAGGTCTGGGGCATCAGCATTCTAGATAGATCGTGGACAGGATCCTGGCCTACATTTGCCTTTTCCTGGGTAAATAGACCCTGAAAGGGTAAAGGTTCAGCTCTGGCCTGTCTCTGGGAAACAGGTGCCCTAATAAGCCGGGGCGTCCGCAGACTTAGCACAAGAGTGGCTCCTCATGCCAAGCAGGCGTCCAGTAGCAGCTGAGTACACTTAGGAGGCTTTGTTGGTGCCATCTGGGGAACAGGCAGACAATAGGTACAGACTCTGTCCCCACGTGTACTGTCCAGCTCTTTGGAATCATCGCGAAACAAAGAGTTTTGAGATTCTGAGACAAAAAGATTTTCCCGGGGTTCCAGGTAAGTGGTCCTGTTTCCACGGTAATTTGGAAATGTACGTCTCCCAACCGGCCAATCAAGAGCCCAGTTCAAAGGGTACCGTCTGCCACCACTGGGGCTCGGCGCTTTGTGGGAAATGAAGTTCTACTTAGCAATCGCTTTCTGCGGTGTTCGTTGGGGAACTACAGCAACCAGAGTTCTTTTCTCTCAGGCTTGGGGGCGGGTTTTCAGGCAGCCAATGAGCAGTCTGAGGTCCCGGGGCCTGGATGTTCATGGTGTTTAGGAGAGGGAGAGAAGGCTGTGACTGGGTGGCTTTGGCGCAGGTGTTGAGGTCTCCGAGGTGTGCAGAAGGTGGGTGCGGCGCCGTCCCGGGAGAGAGTGCCGGTTGTCGCTCACAGTTCCAGAGCGGGCAGTAGACGCCGAGGCCTGAAGAGGCCCCAGCACGCGGACATCACTGGCCGCTGTGCCTGGCCCGGCTTGCGGGAAGCCCCGCTCAGTGGGAGAGACAGGCAAGACCCCGTTGCGGACCTATGTATGTTCACTAATGGAGGCGGCATGGAACGCGGTGGGAACCCGAGGAGACCTTGGTAGGAAGATCATCCCGGAAGACTAGGAGCTGTCTGAGCTGAGACCTGAAGACGGAAGGATGTTTTGGGGGTCGGGGGCGGTGTGGTGGAATGGTTTGCGCAAAGGCAGAGAGAAACAGCCTGTTGTGTGAACATGGACTGCAGGCGATCTGGTGTTGGTGATCATACTGAAAATTCTGTATGAATGAGATGTGGAAGATTTTCTTGATCATTTAGGGACCTTGGATTTTGTCCTGAGAGCAATGAAGAGCCATGGGAGGATTTTTAGTAGGGAAGGGGTACGGCCCAGTTTGCTGTGACATGAGAATAGATTAACGGGAAAGTGACTGGGGTCAGGAAACCCAGGGTGGCAGATGTGACAGATTCCTAGGCAAGAGGTGTTGGGAATGGATCAGGGCAGGGGCCACCGTAGGGAGGGCAAGAGGGGATGGGAGAGACGTCCAGAAGGTTGACAGGCTGTGTGGGAGGGGGAGGCGGAGAGGAGTGGAGAAGGGATATCTCCAGCGCGTAGAGCAGATGCTCAGTGGCTAATGTCTTGAATGAACAATCCTAGGAGGCAGGTGCTGATGTGATCTCCCATTTGTAAATGATACCTAGGACAGAAAAGTTTAGGTAACTTGACCATTATCAATACCTAGGAAGGGGAGGGCCCAGGATGTGTGTGTGTGTGTGTGTGTGTGTGTGTGTGTGTGTGTGCGCGCGTACCATTAACTTACCAAGGAGACATCAGCAGGGCCAGATCACGTAGGTCTTGTGAGGAATTTGGGAGAGGCATGGAAATGTATATGTCACTTTTTTTTTTTTTTTTTTTTTTTAGACGGAGTCTCACTCTGTCTCCAGGCTGTAGTGCAGTGGCGTGATCTCGGCTCACTGCAACCTCCGCCTCCCGGGTTCAAGCAATTCTCCTGCCTCAGCCTCCCGAGTAGCTGGGACTACAGGCACACGCCACCATGCCCAGCTAATTTTTGTATTTTTAGTGGAGACTGGATTTCACCATGTTGGCCAGGATGGTCTTGATCTCTTGACCTTGTGATCTGCCTGCCTCGGCCTCCCATTATGTGTCACATTTCTATGTCCATCCCAGAATCTCTCCCCTGAGCTCCTGACTGGCTGCCTTCCTCATAACCTGTTGGTAATCTAGAGGTATCTCCAGAGTAATTTTGATCAAATTGAGCTCCTGCTCCTTTCCCCAAAATTTTTTCCCTGCATGTTCATCTCAGTAAATGCTCCCCCCATCCTCTCCAGGCCCAAACCACTGGAATTGTCCTTTACTCCTCTTTCTGTCTTATATTCATGTCTGTCAGCTAATATACCTGACCACTTCTCCCCACCTTCACTCCTGTCCACCCTTATCTCCTTCACAGACCATTATGGCAGGCTCCTCAGTGATCTCTCTGCTCTCACCCCTGCCCCCAGAGTGTTCCTTACATGCAGCTGGAGGGATGCTGTGAGCACCTGTATCAGGTCATATCCCTCCCCCGCTCAGAACACTTCCAAGGCTACATCTTGCTCGGGGTAAAACCCAGAGTCCTCTGCAAGGCCCTGCATTGTCTGCCCTCATCACCTCTCTGACATCATCTACTCTTCTTACTCCCTGTGCTCCAGCCACACTGGCCCGAGGGCCTTTGTGCTTGCTCTTTTCTTTGCCTAAAGAACTCATCTATCAAATAGCCCAGACTTGTTCCTTCCTCTTTAGGTCTCTCCTGAGATGTCACTGCCTTCCTGAGATCTTCCCTCACCACCCTTCTAAATTTGTGACTTATAGTCACATCTATCTTTGCTTCTTTAACTTTATCCTTAGCATTAATCATATTACTGTTTAACACTCTGTAGAATTTATCTGTGTTTATGGTCTGTCTCCCCTGACCCTTACCTCTAGGAGACTGTTGACTTCATCAGGGAAGGGGCTTTTGTCTACTTCCTCCGTTATCTCCAACACATAGAAAAGTGCTTGGCACACAGTTAGGGCTCAGTAACTACTTATCAAATAAACTATTGAAGAGCACATATCTGGATCCCAGCATGGCGGGGACTCTGCCGATCCCCTTTCTACAGAACTCCAAGGAGCTGCCTTAAAGTTTTCTGAGGGCTCAAGATATTCAACAAGTATTTCACCTTGCCTCTTCTTTCTCCTCAGCATTGGGAACACAGAAGAGAACAAAATATTCCCCTACCCCTATAGAACCTACAGTAATAGGGACAGTAATTTAGACTATCAAATAATCACACGTGTGAAATTACCAAGAAAGGTAGAGAGTGTTATAAGAATACTTGATAGGAAATCAAATCCGGATCCTAGGAAATGAGGTTTGAGGTGATGAAGGAGTAGGCATTAACTCCTTTAAGAGATAAGAGTTTGGGATGGTTGGAGCCTAGAGGCTGATGCAGAGCAAGAGGTCAGACCTTGTGTATGCCATAAGGAGTTTGGGTGTTTACCCCACATGTAGTGGGAAGTTGTAGAATTTTAAGCTGGGGACAGGAGCGTGGTCAGGTGTTTGTGTGTGTGTGTATGTGTGTGTGTGTGTTTCCTTCTAAAATTCTTCACACTAAAGTGTACTTTAAAAGACTCCTCTGGCTTCTGTGTGGGGAATTGACTATAAGGCATTAAGGATTAAAGTAGGGAGACCAGTGACAAGGCTGTTACTGTGGAATTAAAATAGCTGTGATTGAAGACAGCCACACATTCTTTGCTGTTTTTCCTATCAAGAGGTGGAGTCTCCTTCCTTCTCCTTATATCTGAGCTGGCCCTGAGATTTGTTTTGACCAATAGAATACAATGAAAGCAGGCTGGGTGCGGTGGCTCATGCCTGTAATCCCAGCACTTTGGGAGGCTGAGGCAGGTGAATCACTTGAGGAAAGGAGTTCGAGACCAGCCTGACCAACATGGAGAAACCCTATCTCTACTAAAAATACAAAAAAAAAAAAAAAAATAGCCAGGTGTGGTGCACTCCTGTAGTCCCACCTACTCTGGAGGCTGAGGCAGGAGAATCACTTGAACCCGGGAGGTGGAGGTTGCAGTGAACCAAGATCATACCACTGCACTCCAGCCTGGGTGACAGAGTGAGACTCTTTCTCAAAAAAAAAAAAAAAAAAATACAATGAAGATGATGCTGTACTAAATGGAGGCCTAGGCTTTAAGAGACCTGGCAGATTCTGCTTCTACTCTTGGAGCCCTGCCCTTTCTATAGATCTGCCCCAGCCCGCGGCTGTTCCAACTTTTAGCTGATGTGCAGGCGTGCAAGTGATGCCATCTTGGGATGGCCTAACTCCCATTCCAGTTGACACCATGTGGAGTAGGAATGAACCATCTCAAATCCCCTGACCCTTTGAGCCTTGTCCAAATTGCAGAATCATGAGCAAAGAAATGGTTGCTATTTTATGCCCCTGTGGCTTAGGATGCTTTGTTACACAGCAATAGCTAACTGAAACAAGCTAATATTTTTTTAAGATCTTACCATTTTATGTATTAGCTCATTTAATCCTCAGTCACCGTATGTGGTACTACTACTGTTCCCATTTTACAAACGAGGAAATGAAGGCACACAGAAGCTAATAAAGTACTAGTAAAGCGCCTGGCACAAAGCACTGAATATGTGATAGCTATTATTATCAGCATCATGTTCATCAGCATTACAATTTTCACAATTGTTGAAGAAGTGGCGGTCAGATGAATAAACACATTAGTAACCCACTTCCACTTCTTTTTCTTCTTCTTCTTCTTCTTTTTTTTTGTTTTTAAACAGGGCCTGACTCTGTCACCCTGGCTGGAGTCACTGCAGCCTAGACCTCTTGGGCTCAGGTGATCCTCCTGCCTCAGTCTCCTGAGTACTTGGGACCACAAGCATGCACCACCACACCTGGCTAATTTTTGTATTTTTTGTAGAGATGGGGTTTCACCATGTTTCCTAGAGTGCTCTCGAACTCCTGGGCTCAAGTGATCCACCAACCTTGGCCTCCCAAAGTGCTGAGATTACAGGCGTGAGCCACTGCGTCCAGCCAACCCACTTCTTAGTGATGTGATTTTAGCCATTTTCTTGGAAGGACTAGTAGAGAGATGGAAAGACATCGAGTCTTTGGTGATGTTGTTGAAGTGCTGGATCAGGCCTCACTTGGAGTGAGTTACCTCTAGACTTTCTCATTAGGGAATTCAACATATCTCTATCGTTTAAGCCAACTATATTGTTGAATTGAGTTTTCTATTACTTAGAATCAACAATATCCTAACTGATTCCAGGGTTTTCTTATTTGTTGAGTCATCAGATCTGGCTATTTACTACATGCCAAGCATTTTTAGGTGCTGGTATTATTAATAGTAGCAAACAAGACCCCCGAAAGCCCTGTCCTCCTGGAGCCTGCATTCCAGTGGGCAAGATGAATGCTAATATTAGTGAACAGAGCTGTAGAAGTTGAGGGTTGGAAGACTAGAGAGTGGGAAGAGGTGCTATTTTAGATAGAGGGGTTAAAGAAGACCTCTTTGAGAAAAACGTTAATGGACCTCACAGAAAGGGAGGACACCAGCTGGCTGTATGTATATTCTGGGAAGAAGGACATTCCAGGTAGAAAAAACCAGCAAATTCAAAGGCCCCGAGGCATGCTTGGTGTGCTGGAGGAGCAGAAAGGAGTGAACTGGACCTGACTGGACACAGTGGGAGGGAAGGAGACCAAGGCAAGGTCAGGTGGGACCGGGAGGCCATGGGAAGGACTTGAATTTGAAGCTGATGAGATGTGTGGCAGGGAGAGCATGGTGAGCTGAGGCGATGTGATCTACCACGGTAAGAGGGTTCCTCTGGCTCCCATGTGGCTACTAGGGTGGAAGCAGGATGCCAGTGAGGAGGCCACTGTGCAGTCCAGCTGAGATGATAGTGGCTTGGCCAGGGTGCTAACGGGGCGGTGGGGAGATGTGGTCAGATTTTGCATATAATTTGAAGGGAGAATCAGGTATGTAGGGTAAGAAAGAAGAGTCAAGGACCACACTATGGCGTTTAGTCTGCACAGAGGAAGGAGGGAGTGCCATTAACTGTATGGACAAGACTGAGAGAGAGTGTGGGCGTGTTTAGCCTCTGACTGGACCCACTGGCCAAACAGGAGCTTATACAAGACTGGCATTGAAGGGTGAGATCTGGGCTGGGAGTAGTTGGCATATTTATGGTATTAAAGCCCAGGATGGGATCACTAAGGGAGGGTGTATAGATGGAAGTGTGGGCTGAGAATGAGAGCAGGGAGGCCCGTGAGGAGGTTGCTGCAATAATCTAGGTGAGATGACAGTGGCCTGTACCAGGGCAGGGGCAGAATGAGTAGTCATTGGAGTCTGGGTGCATTTTGAAGGCAGAACTCACTGTGATTGGTTGTGGGTAGTGATGGAAAGAACCTGACAAGGGCTTCATGAGAACAGAATAGAAGCAGAAGTGAGACAGTGGTGTGACATTCCTCCTTTCCACTGGGCCCTGTGGTCTCTGCTTCTCTTTGCATTGGCTGCTTCCTGTTCTCAGGCAGCTGGGTTGGTCCTGGGTGGACTCTTGCCCCCACTCTATGTGATCTTCCAGCTCAGTTACCCGCAGCCCCTCAGTCTTCATTCCGAATTTCCCAGATAGGAATGGGATTTCCAGGGTCGGGTATCCAACCCTGCTCAACTCACTGGAGCTGGAGGGTTCCTATAGTGATGACTGTCTGCTCAGAAGGGCTGTGGACTGGGCAGGCCCCCCAAACATTCACAGTCACCATGTGTTTCTGACACTTGGTGTACAGGGCGGACATGTGGGTGGGCAGGTGTGGCAGGGGTTGGAGATGATTTGACCCTCTTTTGGCTGATGGGTGAGACAGACCATTTATATTGCCTCAGATGTGTCCTGGATTGAGCAAACAGGAAAGGGGATACCAGGAAGGTGGATCTGGCAGGCCTTGGGCTGTGAAGCGTTAAGGGTCAGTTGGGAGGATTCAGGCGCAGCTTCTGCCTGTTCATGGGTATTCCCAGAGGAGTCAGGGAGACACGCATTACTCTCAACTCAAGAGAGACACAGCAATGGCTGAGACACAGCAATGGCTGAGACAGCCTCCACCTTGCCCTCGCAAAGCTCACAGTCCAGTGGGGAAGACAACCCCAACGGCAGACAGTGACCAGGGCTGGGATGGGGAGGCAGAGGGGTTGGGGCCAGGATAGGGGAGCCACAGGGGGACTGTGGGAGCCAGAGGCAGCTCCTGACCCAGTCTGTGGTGTCAGGTGGGACTTCCTGGCGTGGGGAGCATGTAAGATGAGATCTGAAGGATGAGTCAAACAAAGCGTGCTTTGGAACTCCGCGGGGGACCACCTCGAGCCATATTGCAGAGGAGACTTAAAGTTTTGTGAACGTTTTAAAATTTAATAATTTTAGATTTACAGACAAGTTGCAAAGATGATACAGGGACTTCCCTATACCTACACCCAACTTCCACCTAGTGTTAGCATCTTACATAATTATTGTATATTTGTCAAAACTGAGAAATTAACATGGATTAATATTCTGTTAAACTCCAGACTTGAATCCTATTTCTCCTGTTTTTCCATTAATGTCCTTTTTCTGTTCCAGGATCCAATCCAGGATACCATGTTGCATTTGTTGGTCATTTCTCGTTGGCCTCCTCCAATCTGTGACAATTTCTCAGTCCTTCCTTGTTTTTCATGACCTTGACAGTTCTGAGGAGTACTGGTGAGATGTTTTTGTAGAATGGCCCTCAGTCTGAGGTTGTCTGACATTTTGCTCGTGGTTAGACTGGGATTTTAGGCTTTGGGAAGAATGCTCACTGAGGTGAGGTTAACCTGATCACTTCATGAAAGTGGTGTCTGCAGATTTCCCAACGATAATACCACTATTTTCCCTTTACTCATTTGTTAGAAGCAAGTCACTAAATCCAGCCCACACTCAGAGGAGAGCTAAGCCTGATTCCTGGAGGGAAATAGGGAGATACTTGGAGGCTGCACAAATATCCCATTTCTCCTTCAAGTTTACCCACACATTTTAGCATTCATCAGTGGACCCGGTCTGTAGCAGTTATTACCGTGATATTATAATGATGACTTTCTGTTTCCCTCATTTCTTTACATTTACTATTTAGAATTCCATATGGAAGATTTGTCCCTTCTATCATACTTCACTTATTTTATTTATACAATCATTAGTTTATTTCCGTGTGGACTCATGAATATTTATTAGTTGGGCATACCCCAACATTATTGTAATCAATTTTTTTTTTGCTCAAGTTGTTTTAGCCTTGGCCATCAGCGTTTATCTTTCAGGTTGGCTCCTGTGTTCTTTACTCTTTTTTTTTTCTCCAACACCTTCTTACTTTCTGGCACTGCAAGATATTCCAGGCTCATGTATTCTCCCTGCACCAGCCCTAGAATTAGCTCTTCCTCTAGAGTCACTGGTTCTTTTCATTGGAGAATGGTGTGTAAAAATAAGCATGAGTTCATACTGATACTCTGACACTAGTCTAGTACCAGAGGGTTCATTCTCACCATCCCCCCCTTGCTTTCTTTATAACTCCTTCCTCTGCCAGTGAGAAGCCTGGCTCAGTGGGCTCTTTTTGGTGCTCATCTTATTGGTCATCTTGGCAAAAATCGGCTGTGGTGACCCTGCCTGCCTTCTGTGAGCACACCCTCCCCTTAGTTTCTGTGAGTCTGCTATCCCCTGACATTTCCTCTACGTTTTGCTTCCTTGCGGGCTCCTCTGTTTTCACCAGTCTGTTAAATGTGGTGGGGCTATGTTCTCTCTTCTCACCTTGGGGCCACCTTACCCTCTTTCATGGTCTGTTTCCTATCTCTGTGCAGATGACACACTCTGTCCTTAGCCCTGACCTCTACTCTGAGCCCTAGACCTGGAGGATCCGGAGGCCTCATGGACAATCCCCCAATCCCAACTGGGCAATCCTTGGGCCCTTAACACTCACCATGTCCCAGATTCCAAACATGCTCTCTCAGCCTTTGTCTCAGGGGTGGCCCCTCCAGGCTCCAGGTTCTCAGAGGGAGCCATGGGCCTCATTCTGAATGCCTCCCTCCCATCCCTGCCCCCCGTCCAGCCCATCAGCTTCCAGGGCTTGTCCTCTGGGACTGCTGGACATCTCTCACATCTTCTCCCTTCTCCCATTTTCCACTCTGCCTTGGTCCAACCCGGTCCTCTCCCACCTTGTCTCTGCCTGTCCTCCTCCCTGGGCTCTTGGCCTCCCATCTCACCATTTAACGCAATTAAACCTGTTGTAGGGGGAAAAGTAAACAGGAAAATAAATCACATTATGTGTCAGCTTAAGATGAAAACAACTTTCAGGAATCACTTTATTACTTTAAAAAATCTACAGCAGTAGGAAGAAAACTGAGGCTCATTTCTCTTTACACTAGGGTTGTCACACCAGAGTGAAATTTTAAGGATCACTTGTAAGCTTCCTTTTGAGTCACATTGATTAAGAGAATCTTCTATATTAATTATCACAATTATCCTTATAAACATGACTTACAAGGTATCTAAAAAATGTCTCACAAGCATTTAGAACAACTGAATTGTATAAAAGGATTTTGTATGTGCAAGAGGGAAGTTAACTAGATTATTAATACTGGCATTGGGAGAATTCTTCCACTCTGATATCAGTGGCTGTTGGCACAGTGAGTTCAGTAAAGAGACTATTAGTGGGCTGGGAACGGTGGCTCATGCCTGTAATCCTAGCACTTTGGGAGGCCGAGGCAGGCGGATTGCTTGAGCTCAGGAGTTTGAGACCAGCCTGGGCAACATGGTGAAACCCCGTCTCTACTAAAATACAAAAGAAATTAGCCGGGCATGGTGGCGTGCACCTGTAGTCCCAGCTACTCAGGAGGCTGAGGCAGGAGAATTGCTTGAACTCGGGAGGTCAAGGTTGTAGTGAGCCGAGATCGCACCACTGCACTCCAGCACTCCAGCCTGGGTGACAGCAAGACTCTGTCTCTACAAAAAAAAAAAAAAAAAAAAAAGAAAGAGAGACTATTAGCGGATGTGCTTTGGGACATTTTGCAGTTCTAAGCCTGGCTAGCATAGGCTTTCACAGTAACTGCCCACATTTGTATGGTGCCTTCTTCATGCCAGGCACTCTTCTAAACCCCCAGCTTGCATACATCCAGTAATCCTCACATACCCCTTAGGAGGTAGCTACTGTTATTATCCCAGGTTTTCAGTGAGGCATTTAGAGTTTAAATCAGTTACTTCAGGTTCCATAGCTAGTAAGTGCCTGCAACAGGATTTGAACCTAGGAGTCTCAGTTCTATCATGTGTGCCTTTAACCACCTTCCTCCTTGACTCTATTCTGAAAGGAGAAACTCATATTTCTGATCTTACAGTTTCTTCCTTTGGAAGAGGGGCTTAAATTGCTTTCTTTTCCAGCGACTAGAAACCTTTCAACATCACCAATTATTTGTAAAGAAAAACATTTTTAAAATGCTGGGCACCATGACTCATTCCTGGAATCCCAGCACTTTGGGAGGTCAGGGCAGAAGGATTGCTTGGGGTCAGGAGTTAAGACTGGCCTGGGCAGCATAGTGAGACCCCTTTCTCTACAATAACTAAAAAAATTGCTGGGCATGGTGGTGCAAGCCTGTTGTCCCAGCTACTTGGGAGGCTGAGGCAGGAGGATCGCTTAAGCCCAGGAGGTTGAAGCTGCAGTGAACTAGGCAGTGATCGTGCCACTGCACTCCAGCCTGGGTGACAGAGCAAGACTCTATCTCTAAAAAGAAGAAGAAAAAGTAAAACACTTTTAACTTATTTTAAGGGAAAATTTCAAACATACATAAGAGCATAGAGAAGAGGCTGATGAACTCCTACGTTCTCATCACTAGCTTCTGCAGTTACCAGCATATGGCCACTGTTGCTTAATCCATACCTTGCACATCTTTTTCTGCTGCTCAGATTTATTTATTTATTTATTTATTTATTTATTTATTTATAGACAGAGTCTCACACTGTTGCCCGGGCTGGAGTGCAATGGCACGATTTCTGCTCACTGCAACCTCCGCCTCCCAGGTTCACACAATTCTCCTGCCTCCTGAGTAGCTGGGATTACAGGCGCACACCACCACACCTGGCTAATTTTTTTGTATTTTTAGTAGAGACAGTTTCACTATGTTGGCCAGACTAGTCTTGAACTCCTGACCTCATGATCCGCCTGCCTCAGCCTCCCAAAGTGCTGGGATTACAGTTGTGAGCCACCGTGCCCGGCCTCAGTTATTTTTAAAGCAAATCTAGATATGTTTTGTTAAGGGATTTTTAAATTTTCCTAAAAAAAGATAACCTGCAATTTCTTGCCCCAAGTCATTCCCTACTGACAAATTGCCCATCTTCCTGATTCTCTGATCCCCTCCTTTCTCCTCATTTTCCAAATTCAGACAAGTCTGTGCATGGGGTGATATCACCGCACCAGCTCTGTCCCTGGCTCATTTTCTGTAACCCTATACTCCAGGCGTTTCTCCACATTTCTCTGAAGCCTGAAAACGATCCTTCTTAATGACCATGAATGGGCTGGAGTTGCTTGGCAATCCTGTCCTCTGCAATAGGACATTTAATCTGCTTGTGGCCTTTCGCCATGGTGGTGGCCTCTTCCCTTATTTGGGTTATTTTTCTGGATCCCTTTCCACTCAAATCGGGTCAGACCTTCCCTGACACTCCTTGTACACTGCAAATTCACATTAAGCATATTATGTTTCACATAGTCCAAATGAAACAGTGATTTGGCTACTCATTTATTAACTGTCTGGGAGTTCCAGCAGGGTCAGAATCAGGTCTGTCTGTACCGTCGGTGAGTCCTCAACATCACCCAGCACAGGGCCTGGCACTCAGTAGGTGCTCAGTAACCATGCGCTGAATGAATGAGTAAATGAAGGAGTGAATGAATGATTGCCAACCTCAATAGCTGGACATTTATCATGAGGGCAGTAGGAAGCCACAGAAGTATTTTAGGCAGAACTGGACCCATTTCTCTCAAACTCTGATGTGCATCTGGGATTTTGAATGTAGATTCCGCTTCGGTGGGTTGAGGAAGGGGCCTGAGATTCTGCATTTCAAGCTCCCAAATGATGCCAAGGCTTTGAGTAGCAAAGGTGTTGCCCTGCTCTTCAGTACAGTACAGGAGCCACTGGCCACATGTGGCTCCTGGGCACTTGAAATGTGGCTCGTGTGACTTGAGATATATTTTAAGCATAAATACCCACCAGAGTTAAAGACTTGGTACAAAAAAAATGTTTTATATTGATCACATACTGATATGGTAATATTTTGGATATATTGAGTTAAATAAAATATATTATTAAAATTACAATTAATTTTATGGTTTTTTTAATTGGGCTATTAGAAAATGTTTAATTAGCTTTGCAGCTCACATGTATGGCTCGTGTTACTCTTCTGTTGGATCATGCTGGTCTAGAACACTCCCGACTCCCTGTCACCTGTGGGCATTTGTACGTGCTTCTCCCTCTTTTTGGAGCACCCTTCTTTCACCCACCTCCCCACAACTAATTCCATACACTGTTCAGGTCTCAGTAAAGGTGTCTCCTTTAGGAAGCCCCCTTGGTCCCCCAGGGTGGGTGGGGGGCCCGTTCTGAGCTTCCACAGCTCCTGGGGTTTCTCCCATCCCAGCCTTGACCCATCTGTCTGCCTCTCCCCTGTCCCACCTTGACCAGCTGTGATGTCAGCATCTCTGCGTCTGTCTCATCTTTGGACAATAAATCCATGAGCATGGGGGCAGAGTCTATCTTGGTTGCCACATTATCTGCAGAGCCTGGCACACAGTCAGTGAATATACTGCATTAATAAATGACACGTGAGATGTGGGTCGTGCACATTTCACAACTGGACTGTGAAGCCAGCCTCAGAGGCCTCATTTTGATGGCCCAGCCACCAGCACAGCATCTCCTGCTGCTTCGACTCCTGCTGGGCGTGCAGTAGCCATGCCATGGATCACATCTGCCTTCTGTAGAATTGCTCTGCCCACCTGTCTCTGAGCTACCCTGTAGCTCCTCTCAGGATTTGCCCTTTACCAATGGCACATTCCTGAACGGGGGCTTGGTCTTTTCTTTGTTAAGTTATATCAGTTTTGGGTACAACATAGATTGTGATAAAGAGATTTTTTTTTTCTCCAGAGATTTCTTTTATTTAAATTGCATAGAAACATTGCTTTAAATAAAGTAATTTTAAAAATAGTCTGTCGGTCTTTTCCTTTGAGATTCTTTGGTTGCTTCAGTAGTTTTGTAATTGACATGAAAAGATGTTCCAACTCATCCCTAATCAGAGCAAGACAAAGATCAGGAAACTGAAATCCACTTCCTCTCCTTCCAGCTTGCTTGTTCAAGTACCACCTCTGCTTCCAGCGCAACCTCCAGGCCACGTTCCCACACTCTCCCTGTCCATCATGGCTCTCCTTTTTCCATCCCACCCTGCCCACTGTCCCCTACCAATTATAGATTCATCATTACAGTCACCCTCTAAATTCCCTTCCTCCTCAATCGTTTGGTCCCAGCCATCTGACTAAAAGCCAGCCCCTAATTATATGGAACATCTAAAGAAAAAAAGGCCACACTAAAATTCTGTTTCACAGCCTCAAATTGACAAAAGTTAAGATGGCTGTAGGTGAGGATGGGGATTCACAGGACATCTCATATGTTGCTGATGGGAGTTCAAATTAGTACAACCCTCTGGGAAGTAGTTTGTTGTTATTTTGAAAAACTGAACCAAATTGAAAATCTGAATCCCATATGCTTGGCACTCCTAGGTCCTTACCCAAGAAGAGATATTTGACCACATGCATCGATTGAGATGTTAAAGTTCATAGTATCTCTTCTCAGCCTTTGGCTAAGATCAAGTATACAAAGTTCATCTGTCAACTTTTGTATGCTTTTGTAAAGCATTTATCTGATAGCAAAAAGAAACACATCTGATGTCCATTTAAAGGAGAATTGATAAATTTTAGTATATCTCACATGACGGACAATTACACAGCAGTGAAAATGAAGGAACAACAGATGTACAAGAAAAAGATGAATTTAGGCTGGGCATGGTGGCTCCTGCTTGTAATCCCAGCACTTTGGGAGGCTGAGACGGGAGGATTGCTTGAGGCCAGAAGTTCAAGACCAGCCTGGGGAACATGGTGAAACCCTATTTCTACAAAAAATGCAAAAATTAGCTGGGCTCAGTGGCGTGTGCTTGTAGCTCCAACTACTCGGGAGGCTGAAGTGGGAGGGTCGCTTGAGGCCTGGAGGTCGAGGATGCAGTGAGCTATGATCCTGGACACTGCACTCCAGCCTGGGCAAGAGGGTGAGAGTCTGTCTCAAAAAAAAAAAAAAAAGAAAAAAAAAAAAGAATTACAGAAACATAATGTGAATAAAACAAAAGACTCCATATAGGATGATACTATTTATAAAGCTCAAAGCCAAGCAAAAGGAAACATTTTTAAGCATACAAAAATATGTGATAAAACTGTATCTTAAAATCACAAGGGATGAGGGAAACTTTTGGGATTTATTGCATTTTATACTTAAAGTGGATATATTTTATTGCATGTAAATTATATCTCAATAAAGTTGAATCACAAAAAGAGAGAGAGGCTAGAGCAGACTCCCTGTTCTGTCCCTGGAAATGCCGTGTAAGCGGGTGATGCCGGGGCGGTGGCCACCATCTGGTGATGCAGGTGTCATGCTGAAGATGGCAGTGCAGAAAAGACAAAGGACCTAAGTTCTTGATAATGTCACTGAACCACCTAAGGGACTTTGCTTTCTTCTATGCTATATCTCCAGATCCTGGAACAGTGCCTGACAATGGGTTGGTACTCATGTATTTTTAAATAAAATTTTTACTGAAGTAGAACTAAAATGTTTGAATAGATAAATTAATGAATTTAACAACCCTGGAACCCACCTCTGCTTTTCTTGCTATGTGAAACAATGCAGTTCCTTTTTTGTTCAGCCCCTTTTGGTTTTTTTTTTTTTTTTTAGACGGAGTTTTGCTCTTGTTGCCCAGGCTGGAGTGCAGTGGCATGATCTTGGCTCACTGCAACCTCTGCCTCCTGGGTTCAAGCGATTCTCCTACCTCAGCCTCACGAGCAGCTGGGATTATAGGCATGCAACACCATGCCTGGCTAACTTTTTGTATTTTTTTTTTAAGTAGAGATGGGGTTTCCTCACGTTGGCCAGGCTGGTCTTGAACTCCGGACCTCAGGTGATCCACCCGCCTCGGCCTCCCAGAGTGTTGGGTTACAGGTGTGAGCCACTGCACTGCTGATTTGGGGCCATTTAGCTGCAGTCAAACACATGTTAACTAGTGATCCACATGATACACACGTTAAAACTAACATTTTAGGAGGCACCTACTATGCATCAGGACCTGCGTTGCAGGCTTTAACTGCATGAATCCTTACAACATCCCTGCGAGGTTGGTTCCAGGTCCCCCATTTTACCGAGTGGGCTCTAAAAGAGACCACAGATTATCATGCTTGGTCTTGCCATCCATTGGAAGCCTTCTGTGCCCAGACACACTGCTGTTTCCACCCATCACTTTTAAGAGATTTCCAACATTGCAGTCATACATTTAAGATCAGGAGAAAGTTGTCGATATTTACAGAAGCTGTTGGAGGCAGCCCACGGTTTAAGTTATCTACTGCTACACCAAATTTTGCTGTTGAAAACAACTTAATTATTATCACTCATGGTTCTCCAGGTTGACTAGGCTCAGCTGGGCGGTTCTCATGCCATTGCAGTTGGATATCAGCTGGGACCACAGTTATCTAAAGGCCCCACTCTGAAGGTCAAGATGGCTCACTCACATGGCTGGAAGCTGATGCTGGCTGTGGCCTGGAATGCCAGACATAACCTCTCCAGGTGACTTGGGCCTCTCACAGTGTGATGACTGGGTTCCGAGAGGGAGCATTCCAAGACTGAGCTTTCCAAAAAGCTCAATCAGAAGCCACACATCTTATGCTCTAGCCTCGGAAGTCCCAGAATGCCACTTCCTCTGAATTATATTGGTCAAGTAAGTCACTAAGGGCAACCTGGATTCAAGCCAAGGTATGCCAACCATCCCTTGATGGGAGGAGCAGTATGTGTGCCCCGCCAGGGATCTATTTTTTTTTTTTAACAGTCACTGCAACCTCCACCTCCTGGGTTCAAGCGATTCTCGTGTCTCAGCCTCCCAAGTAGCTGGGATTACAGGTGCCCGCCACCACACCCAGCTAATTTTTGTATTTTTAGTAGAGATAGGGTTTTACCATGTTGGTCAGGCTGGCCTCGAACTCCTGACCTCAGGTGATCCACCTGCCTTGGCCTCCCAAAGTGCTGGGATTAGAGGCATAAGCCACCGCGCCCGGCCTTCACCAAGTGTCTATTTACGCTGACTTTTTGCAGTCAGTTATGACTCATCACCAAGAACTACCTAGCACCAAACCCCTTCTTTTCTTGCTTCTCTTTCTCTCCACGGTGCCACCCCCTCTCCAGGGCTCTTGGCTGCAATCTTCATCTGGCATCAAGCTTTCTGATGGGAGGGCCAGAAGTGGCTTAAGTTTCATGTTTTTTTTTACTATATCCTGACTTTTTCTCTGATGTCCTCTAGCTTTGAAAATTTTACCTGTTTTTTTCTTAAGTAAGCTTTTCAAAATTATTTTTAATTTTTCCATTTTTGTGGGTACATAGTAGGTGTACATATTTTTGGGGTCCAGGAGATATTTTGGTATAGGTGTGTGTGTAATAATCACATCAGGGTACATGGGGCATCCATCACCTCAAGCATTCATCATTTCTTTGTGTTATGAACACTCCAATTGTACTCCCTCAGTTATTCTAAAATGTACAACAAATCAGTTCTGACTGTAGTCACCCTGTTGTGTTATCAAATACTAGATACTCATTTTGTCGAACTGTATTTTTGTACCCATTAACTATCTCCACTTCCTCTCCCCTCTACTACCTTTCCCAGCCTGTGGCAGCTATCCTTCTACTCTCTATCTCCATGAGTTCAGTTGTTACATTTTAGCTCCCACAAATGAGTTAAAATATGTCAAGTTTGCCTTTCTGTGCCTGGCTTCTGTCACTTAATATAATGTCCTCCAGTTCTATCCATGTCATTGCAAATGACAGGATCTCATTCTTGTTTATGGCTGAATAGTACTCCATTGTGTATATGCACCACGTTTTCTTTATCCATTCATCTGTTATGGACACTTAGGTTGATTCCAAATTTGGGCGCTTGTAAACAATGATGCAACAAACATGGGAGTGGAGATGTCTCTTCCATATACTGATTTTCTTTCTTGTGGATATATACCTAGCAGTGGGATTCTGCCAGGATCATATGGTAGTTCTATTTTCAGTTTTTCTTTTTCTTTTTCTTTTTTTTTTTTTTTTTGAGATGGAATCTCGCTCTGTTGCCTGGCTGTAGTGCCGTGGTGCGATCTCTGTTCACTGCAACTTCTATCTCCATGGTTCAAGCAATTCCCCTGCCTCAGCCCCCGGAGTAGCTGGGATTACAGGCACACACCACCATGCCCAGCTAATTTTTTTGTGTTTTTAGTAGAGACGGGGTTTCACCATGTTAGCCAGACTGGTCTTAAACTCCTGACCTCAGGCAACCCACTCGCCTCAGCCTCCCAAAGTGCTGGGATTACAGGCATGAGCCACTGCGCCCAGCTATTTTCACTTTTTCTGAGGAACGTCTATACTGTTCTCCGTAGTAGCTGTACTGATTTACATTCTCACCAACTGTGTACGAGGGTTCCTTTTTCTCCACCTCCTCACTAGCATTTGTTATTGCCTGTCTTTGGGATGAAAGCCATTTTACTTGGGGTGAGATGATATTGTAATTCTGATTTGCATTTCTCTGATGATCAGTTATGTTGAGCACCTTTTCATGTGCCTGTTTGCCATTTGTATGTCTTCTTTTGAGAAATGTCTATTCAGATCTTTTGGCCATTTTTAAATAAGTTTATAAGTTTTTTTTTCTTATTGAGTTGTTTGAGCTCCTTTTATATTCTGGTTATTAATCCCTTGTCAGATGGAGAGTTTGCAAATATTTTCTCCCATTCTGTAATACATGTTTGGTGTACAATTGAATACATTTTCACATCTCATTCAGTGGCTGGGATACTGAGGTGAGTAAGACAGATTGTTACCTGTCCTTGTGGAATTTGTGGTCATGGTAATAGTCTCTGAAGATGGTCCTGGTTTTCTGGGGGTTTTCAAGACAAACATTTTAGGTGCAGGAAAATATTAGAAAGTCTATTTACAACCACTTTTTTTTTTTTGATATGGAGTCTTACTCTGTTGCCCAGGCTGGAGTGCAGTGGCACCGTCTCGGCTCACTGCCACCTCCGCTTCCTGGGTTCAAGAGATTCTCCTGCATCAGCCTCCTGAGTAGCTGGGAATACAGCAGCGTGCCACCACAAGCGGCTAATTTTTTTTGTATTTTTAGTAGAGACAGGGTTTCACCATGTTGGTCAGGCTGGTCTCAGACTCCTGACCTCGTGATCTGTCCGCCTCGGCCTCCTAAAGTGCTGGGATTACAGGCGTGAGTACAACCAATTTTGTCTCATCCTTTAAGCATTTCTGTCTTAGCGCATGTTTTATATTGTGCCTATTAATACTGTACAGTTTGTAAATTACCACTGTATCTGTATATATGTACACGCACACATACATACAGCGGAGATGCAGCTCATGGATGTGATAAAAAATCTTTGAGGACGGCCGGGCGCGGTGACTCACGCCTGTAATCCCAGCATTTTGGGAGGCCGAGGCGGGCAGATCACCTGACGTTAGGAGTTCGAGAACAGCCATGGTCAACATGGTGAAACCCCGTCTCTACTAAAAATACAAAAAATTGGCCAGGTGTGTTGGTGGGCACCTGTAATCCCAGCTACTTGGGAAGGCTGAGGCAGGAGAATTGCTTGAGCCTGGGAGGCAGAGGTTGCAGTGAGCTGAGATCCGCCATTGCACTTCAGCCTGGGCAACAAGAGTGAAACTCTGCCTCAAAAAAAAAAAAAAAAAAAAATTGAGGACTTCTGTCCTAGAGTGGAGGGTAGACACATAACCTGGACAATTTAAGGTAAGGTAATATTTACTATAATAGAGGTATCACTAGGCCTCATGGAGCTGAGAGAGCAGAGGTTATTGAGGGAGTGTAGGATGTCATTAGTGGTTTTGTGAAGGAGAGGACAGTAAAGCTAAGATTTGAAGGAATTAATGGAAGTCTGGAACTCTGGAAATGACATTGTGGTGTAGTTTAAAAATTAGGCAACTGGGTTGGGCACAGTGGCTCACACCTGTAATCCCAACACTTTGGGAGGCCGAGGTGGGCAGATCACTTGAGGCCAGGAATTCGAGACCAGCTTGACCAACATGGTGAAACCCCCTCTTTACTAAAAATACAAAAGTTTGCCAGACGTGGTGGTGCACACCTGTAGTCCCAGCTACTCGGGAGGCTGAGGCACGAGAATGGCTTGAACCTGCGAGGCGGATGTTGCAGTGAGCTGAGATTGCACCACTGCACTCCAGCCTGGGCAACAGAGCAAGACCCTGTCTCAAAAAGAAAAAAATTATGCAACTGGCTGTGAGCAGCATGCAGATTTAAAAAACACAGCACTAATAGCCCCCCAGAATCCCCCGCATGCCTTCCTTCCAGTCATTGCCTCCCTGTGGCATATTATTTTACAAAAAGGACGGTGACAATCAATGTCTCCCATTCCCCCTGCTCTTCTGATCATGTACCACTCCCATTCCAAGAGCTGGAGTCTGTAACCACTCCTCTTGATCCTAGGCATCAAGACAACCAGGAGAGTATGGTAGAAATGACACTATGTGACTTCTGAGGCCAGGTCACAAAAAGGCAACACAGCTTCTGCCTGGTTCTCTTTCTTGAAATGCTCACCCTTGGAAACAAATTGGTATGGAAGGAAGCCCAGGCCGCATGGATGGTTCACATGAGTGTATTCTGGCCAGCAGCCAGCATCAACTGCCAGACATGTGTGTGAGGAAGCCTTCGAGATGACCCCAGCTCCCGTCACTATCTGACTATAGCCACGCGAGAGACCCCAAGAGAAAGCCTGAAGTGCAGTGACACTATCATAGCTCACTGCAGCCTCAAATTCCTTGGCTCAAGCAATCCTCCCACCTCAGCCTCCCTAGCAGCTGGGACTACAGGCATGTGCCACCACACCCGCTAAATTAAAAAAAAAAATTTTTTTTTTTTGAGACAGAGTTTCATTCTTGTGGCCCAGGGTGGAGTGCAGTGGCACAATCTCAGCTCACTACAACCTCTGTCTCCCAGGTTCAAGCAATTCTCCCACCTCAGCCTCCTGAGTAGCTGGGATTATAGGCACCTGCCACCACGCCCAGCTAATTTTTTATATTTTTAGTAGAGATGGGGTTTCACCATGTTGGCTAGGCTGGTCTCGAACTCCTGACCTCAAATGATCCACCTGCCTCGGCCTCCCAAAGTGCTGGGATTACAGGTGTGAGCCACCATGCCTGGCCTTTTTTTTTTTTTTTTTTTTTTTTTTTTGTAGAGACGGGGTCTCACTATGTTGCCCAGGCTGGTCTTGAACCTCAAGTGATCCTCCCACCTTGGGCTCCCAAAGTGCTGGGATTACAGGTGTGAGCCACAGCACCTGGCCTGGGTTTTCCCTTTGATCATGATCTCTGTGCTTGGGCCCATCCTTTGAGAGTTTAATGTTGAACACATTTTGTCCTTTGAGGATGGTGTAGTGGACATTGGTTATATTTGCCTGCTCAACATTCATTTCCTTTTTTGGCCCCAGCACCCGATTCTTCTACCCTACTCTTGATCTGTGTGCTTTTAGTGCAGCTCAGCCCACTTTCTGCTCTTTAGAGGTGAGCCCATAACCCAGGCCTAGCTAATAAGAACATTACATTTCCTTGACCACAATGATTGTTCAGAAATGCGCCTGTGATCCATGTCTGGCCAATGACAGCCAGCGTGTACTTCTGATGGGATAATAGGAAGGGGTACTTGGGGGTTTCTACCTGGTGGAATCTAAGGCCAGAGTTGCTGGGGGCCATTGTGAGGGGAGAATGAAGACAACAGAATGAAGGCAGAGAGGAAAGCTGAGCTGAGAGATGGAGAGAAAAAGAGGGAATCCTAACTGTTAATACCTCCTGGATCCTTAGGTCCAGCTGTGCCTAGAGGCAGACTTAGGCTGTTTCAAGTGGCCTATAGATACCATTTTTGCTTAAGACAATTAGAACAGGGTTTTCTGTCATTTGTAGCCAAAAGAGTCCCGGCAAGGGGCTCTGCACATGGATTTTCTCAAAAAGCCTCAATCAACATTTCCATTTGCTGGACTAAATCCTCAGGTGGGGAAGGTGGTAAAACATGGCACAATGGTTCTCCTAGAGTGAAATTGGACCAGGAGCCTCCGAATCATCTGGCCTTGTGAGAAATGCAAATTCTCAGCCCCAATTCTAGTGAATCACAGACTCTACCAAGGGGTTCCAGCAGGAGTGTTTTCAGAAGCCCCCCAGGAGTTGTGTGCTAAGGTCTGAGCAACACTGCAGTAGAGCCCAGTGGTGAAGGAAGAGCACATGCTCTTGAGGTTCAGATTGCATCTCTCCCTCTGTCTGGCTCTCTGATTTTAGGTAAGTTACATAAATTATCCTGTCTCACAGCTCCCATCTGTAAAATGGTTCACCTTCTATTTCATGATGCCATTATGTGGAATATTCAGTTAATAGAGGCAAACACTCAGAATAGCGCCTGGTACATAGTCCACGCTCAATTAAAGTTAGATTTATGGCTCTCAGAATTTATCCAACATTGGAAAAGCCACCTTGGAGGGCTTCTTAAAACAGGGATTACTGGTCCCTCCCTGTGCCTTAGAGTTTCTGATTCTTACCAAGGGGGGGCCTGAGAATGTGCACTTCTAACCAGCTCCCTGGTCAAGCTGATGCTGCTGGTCTGGGGATCTGGCTTTGAGAACCACTGAGTTAGATATTTCTGTTATTGATCTCCAACTCCTCTCTGGTGGTTCGTCAGTTACCTCAGGTGCTCTGGAATCGCTCTTTCCGCTGAGTCAGGCCTCTGTCTCCTCCTCTCCCTCCCCTCTGGCATCAGTTTTGATAGTTGGATTCCTCATGGCTGGTAATTGGAGCTCTGAGCCTGGCTTTCCGCTGAGAGTAGCCCCAGCCTCCACCTGTTCAGGGCACCTGATTGATGGTTCCTTCAGTTGCAAGTGTTCCTTTTTTGGCAGCCTTCAGAACTGTCTCCAGCTTTCTTATATAAGCAGATGTCTTTCCTCCTAAACTCTGGGAGGCTGCAGTTGCCACATCACTTCTGACACTGTGGCTGCTCATTCCAGTCCTCATGCAACCCCCATCGCAGGCATTTCTTTGCCTCACTAATACAAATGGTTTTAAATGCAGGGCCAATTAAACCTCCTCCAACAAACAGCTCTGTAACTTGGCACTGTTGGCTGGAGCAAAAAGGTCAGTGTGACTAGAGGTGACAGGAGAGAGGGAGAATGGCAGGAGATCAGGTCCAAGATAGGCAGAAGATGGTTTGTACAAGGCTTTATATATCATGGAACGAGCTAGGACTTTATCCTAATAGTGGTAAAAATTTTTTAATCATTTTAAAGAATTGTGAAATATAGCATATATGTGTATACCTATACACATACACACGTGCACATTTGTACATATAAATAGAGTCAAAAAATTATACAGTGAACACACATGTAGCCATCACATAGCTAAGAAATGGGACATTACCAGTCAAAGACATCTCTAGCATTTGTGGATCCTGGACAAAGAGTACAAATGGAGGCGCCCTATCTATAGCTTACTCCCTTCTCTTGCCTTCCTTGTTGATGTCCTGTACCCCTAAGGAGTTATTCATGCATGTATGTGGATACCAAGCCTGCACATTGGAGCTTGGTGCATGTACCCCACATCACCTCTTGCCTACCCCTTGGGTTTGGGGTGTGCGTACCAGCATGATCTGTTCTGGGTGTCAGGTAGAAGATGGACTAGGAAGAGGCCCAAACAGTTGCTGGAAGCAGGTTTGGGAACATTTGAGTAGGGAATTCTAAGGAATTGGTACTCTGAGCATGGCCTACAATTGCATTGTTCAAGAAGATAGCCACTTATCTTCTTGAAGTTAAATATGGCTATTTATGCTTAATCGAAATGAAATAAAATTTAAAATTCACTTTCTTAGTTACACTAGCCACATTGCAAGTGCTCAATAGCCACATGTGGCTAGTGGCTATTACATTGGACAGGGCAGATATAAACATTTCTATCACTACAGGTGTTTTACTGGACAATGCTAGTTAGGAAAGAGAAGTGCTATGGGTTCTGGAAGAAACGAAATGTTACCCTTACACTGGAAAAAAAGCGGGCAACAGAAACGTCCAGTGAAAGCAACCAGATGTCAGACTGAGCACACAAAGCCTTCAAAGTAGCCATTATAAATCTGTTCAAATAACTAAAGGAAACCCATTTTTTTAAAAAAGGAAAGGAAAGGTATGGTCAAATAAAAAATATCGCTAAAAAGTTAGACATTATAAAATAAAACCAAATGGAAATCGAGAGCTAAAAGTATAATAACCGAAATGAAAAAAATATACTAGAGAAGCTCAATAGTAGATTTGAATTGACAGAAGAATTAGCAAACTTGAAAGTAGAAATAAGGCTGGGTGTGGTGGCTCACGCCTGTAATCCCAGCACTTTGGGAGGCCAAAGCAGGCGGATCATGAGGTCTGGAGATCGAGGCCATCCTGGCTAACATGGTGAAACCCCACCTCTACTAAAAATACAAAACTTAGCCAGGCATGGTGGCACACGTGTAGTCCCAGCTACTCAGGGGGCTGAGGCAGGAGAATCACTTGAACGCAGTGAGCCGAGATTGCGCCACTGCACTCTAGCCTGGGTGACAGAGCGAGACTCCATCTCAAAAAAAAAAAAAAAAAAAAAAGAAAAAGAAAAGAAAATAGAAATAATGCAATCCAAAGAATGGGGGGAAAGAACAAAGATGAAAAAATAAGTAGAGCCCTAGAGAAATGTGGAACACCATTAAGCAAAACAATAGGAATGGCAGAAGGAGAGGAAAGAGAAAGAAACAGAAAAATTGTTCTAATAAACAGTGGCTTAAAACTTCCTAAGTTTATTGAAAAACAATAAAATACCTATCCAAGAAGCTGAATGAACTTCAAGTAGAATGAACACAGACACACACACACACAGACACATCTTGGTAAGAATACTGACAGCCAAGGACAAGGAAAAAAATTGAAAGCAGAAAAAAGAAAATGCCTTGTCACTTACAAGGGAACCCCCAGTAAGAGTAACAGCTTCTTCTCACGATAAAATTAACACGCTTGTAATAGGGCTGGCACTTTGGGAGGCTGAGGCAGGTGGATCACCTGAGGTTGGGAGTTCGAGACCAGCCTGACCAACATGGAGAAACCCCATCTCTACTAAAAATACAAAATTAGCTGGGCGTGGTGGCGCATGCCTGTAATCCCAGCTACGAGGGAGGCTGAGGCAGGAGAATCGCTTGAACTCGGGAGGCAGAGGTTGCAGTGAGCCGAGATCGCGCCATTGCGCTCCAGCCTGCGCAATAAGAGTGAAACTCGGTCTCAAAAAAAAAAAGTGTATAAAAAAATAATTAAAGCAGTGCATTCCTGGGTTTATAATGTTTGATGCAATATGTATAACATCTAACAAAAAGTGGGAAAAGGCAATAGAGCTTCATAGGAACAATGTTTCTATATCTCACTAGGATTAAGTTAGTATAAATCTGAAGCTCATTTTGATAAGATGTATATGATAAGCCGTAGAGCAACCACGGAGGAAATAATTCAGAAATTAGTGAAAAAATCAGTAAAGAAATTAAAATCCTATATTAGAAAACTTTCACTTAATATAAAAGAAAACATAAAGGAGGAATAGAAGAGCAAAAAAGACATAAGACATAGAAAAGAAAAAGTGAAATGGCAAATGTAAATCTAACTATATCATTAATAACTTTAAAAGTGAATGGATTGAATAAATCAAAAGGCAGAGACTTTCAGACTGTATTAAAAAACAATATCCAATGATATTCTGTGTACAGAAGACAAACTTTAGATTCAAAGATACAAAATATTGAAAGTAATAGAAAGAAAAAAGATATATCATGCAAACAGCAACCACAAGGAAGCTGGAACAGCGATACTAATAATGCAAAATAGACTTTAAAAAACGTTACCAGACATAAGAAATATGTTATGATCTACAGGTCACTGTATCAGGAAGATGTAACAATTATAAACACATAGGCATCCAACAACAGAGCCCCGACATGCATTAAATAAATACTGACAGAAATGAAGAAATACACAATAAGCAACAATATTTGGAGATTTTGATACCCAACTTTAAAAAAATGTTGTAACTATATGAGATGATGAATATATTAATTAGCTTAGTTGTGGTAATCATTTCACAATGTATATCAAAACATCACATTGTACATCTTAAATATATACAATTTTTATTTGTCAGTCATACCTCAAGTCAGGAAAAAAATAACGAATAGAACAATTGGGCAGAAAATCAATAAGGAAATAAAACACTTGAGCAACACTATAAACCAACTAGACCTAGCAGATATCTGTAGAACAGGAGAATTTGTATTCTTCTCAAGTGCACATGGAACACTCTCCAGGATAAACCACATGCTAGGCCATAAACCTTGATAAATTTAAAGGAGTAGAAATACAATGCATACTTTCTGATAACAACATAATGAAATTATATATAAATAAAAGACAGAAATCTGGGGAACTCACAAGTATGTGGAAATTAAACAATGCACTCTCTTTTAAATTTTAATTTAATTTAATTTTACGTTCTGGGATACATGTGCAGGATGTGCAGGTTTTTTACATAGGTAAACCTGAGCCAAGGTGGTTTGCTGCACCTGTTAGCCCATCACCTAGGTATTAAGCCCCGCATGCATTACATTTGCTATCCAACCTGATGCTCTCCCTTCACCCACCCCCAGGCCCCAATGTGTGTTGTTCCCCTCCCTGTGTCCATATGTTCTCATAAACAATGCACTTTTAAATAACCAAGAGGTCAAAGAAGAAATTAAAAGGGACTTAGAAAATACTTTGATATAAATGAAAATGAAGACATAATATACCTTATAACTTGTAGGATACAGCAAAAACAGTGCTTAAAAGAAATCTGATAGATGTATATGCCTATATTAAGGAAGTGATTGAAAATAACCTAAATTTTCACCTTAAGACACTGAAAAAGAAGAGCAAGCTACACATAAAGCAAGTAGAAAAAGAAAATAATAAAAGATTGGAGCAGAAATAAGTGAAATAGAGAATAGAAAAACAATAGAGAAAATCAACCAAACCAAGAGTTGACTCTTTTACAAACCAAAATATTGGCAAAACATTGGCTAGATATACCAGGAAAAAATAGCAGACTGGATTACTAGAATCAAAAATGAAAAAGGGACTTCGAAATGTACAATAAATTATTATTTATTATAATTACCATTTTATGCAATAGATTACTAAAGTTTATTCTTCCTGTCTAACTGAAACTGTACCTTTTGATCAACAGTTTCCCTTTCCCCATCCATCTTCCTCCCCAGCCTCTGGTAATCACCATTTTACTCTCCACTTCTGTGAGTTTGACTCTTTTAGATTCCATGTATCTCACATATATATGGAGTCTATTTGTCTTTCTGTGCCTGGCTTATTTCACTTATCATAAATGTCATCATGAAAAATAAGTATGTGAGGTGACAGATTTATTAATTAGTTTTATTTAACCATTTAACAATATAAACATAGCAAAACATCACATTGTACCCCATAAATATATATAATTACTATTTTTTCAATTAAAATAAAATTTAAATTTTTAAAAAAAGAAATGAAAGAGGAGACATTACTACCAACCTTATAGAAATAAATGCTGTGAGCAACTATTTGCTAATAAACTAGATACTTGAGATGAAAAACAAATTTCTAGAAAGACACAAACTACTGAAACTGAGTCTAAGAGAAATAGGACATCTACATAAATCTATAGCAAGCAAAGAAAGTGAATTAATAATATAAAAACTACCCACAAAGAAAACCCTAGGCCCTTCACCACTGACCCTACCAAACATTTGAAGAAGAATTAATATCAGTTCTTCACAAAGGTTTCCAATAAATAGAAGAGGGAACACTGCCCAACTCATTCTTAAGGCCAGTATTACCCTGGTACCAAGACCAAGCAAAGACACCACAAGAAACCTACAGCCCAATATCTTTTTACCAATACAGATGCAAAAATCCTCAAATAAATACTAGCAAATGGAATCCAGTAATATATAAAAAGAAGTACGTACCATGAAAAATGAGCTTTATCACAGGATGAATGCAAGATTGGTTTTACATCCCCAAATCAATTAATATAGTATATCCTATCAGTTGAATACAAAACAAAAACCACATGATCATCTCAATAGATACAAAACAAGCATTTAGCAAAATCCCATTCATGGTAAAAACTCTCAGGAAGTTAACAATAGAAGAGAACTTCCCCAACCTGACACTGGGGCCTCTACGAAGCACATCTAACATCATACTTAGTGAAAACAGACTGGATGCTTTCCCCCGAAGATCAGGAACAAGGCAAAGGTGTCTGCTTCCACCACTTCACCATTGTACTGGAGGTTCTAGTCAGGATAGGCATGAAAGGAAAAAAAAAAAAAAAAAGCATCCATCCAGATTGAAAGGAAGAAGTAAACTCTTTGCAGATGACATGATCTTGTATATAGAAAAATCCTAAGAAGTCCAGCAAATAACTGTTAGAACTATTGAACAAGTTCAGCAAGGTTGCAGGATACCAGGTCAATATATAAAAATCAATTGTATTTCCATATGCTTGCAATGAATAATCTGAAAACGAAATCAAGAAAACAATTCCATTTACAATAGCATCAAAACCAATAAAAAATTCGGAATAAATTTAGCAAAAGAAATGCAAAACTTATACTCTAAAAATGGTGAGATTTTGTTGAAAGAAATGAAAGAGGATTTAAATAAATGGAAAAAAAATCTCTCTTGTATATGGATCAGAAGCCTTGTATTGTTAAAATGGCAATACTCCCTAAATTGATCTACAGGTTCAGTGGAATCCCTGTCAGAATCTCAGCTGACTTTGTAGAAATTGGCAAGCTGAATGTACAATTCATATGGAATCGCAAGGGACCCAGAATAACCAATATAATCTTGAAAAAGAAAAGCAAAGTAGGACTGGCACTTCCCAACTTCAAAATTTACTGAAATTACTTTTGTACCA
Source organism: Homo sapiens (assembly GCF_000001405.40). Classification (NCBI taxonomy): domain Eukaryota; kingdom Metazoa; phylum Chordata; class Mammalia; order Primates; family Hominidae; genus Homo; species Homo sapiens. The sequence continues at coordinate 56,811 of NW_009646206.1, read as the reverse complement.
ACCTAAGGCAAAAGTAATCAAGACAGTGTGGTACAGACATGAAGACAGACATATAGATCAAAAGGATAGAAGTAGAATCTAGAAATAAAACCACGTGTCTACGGCCAACTGACTTTCCACTAGGTTGCCAAGATTACTCAGTGGGGAAGTGATAGTCCTGTTAACAAATGGTTCTGGGACAACTGGATGGCCACATACAAAAGAATAAAGTTGGGCTCTTATCTCAAGTTTGTGTCATTTTAAAAAAAACTTCATTGAGATGCAATTCACAAACCATAACATTTACCCATTTAGTATACAATTCAATAGTTTTTCATATATTCACAGATATGGACAACAATCACCATGATCAATTTTAGATTTTCATCCCCTCCAAAAGAAACCTTATGTCTTCAGCTATCATCCCCTGTCACTCCATCCTCCCCATCCCTAAGCCACCATCTACTTTCTCTCTATAGGGATGGGAGAGCTGCTGTCACAAACCAAGGAACACGTGGAGCCACCAGAAACTGGGGGAGGCAAGAAAGGATCCTCTCCTAGAGCCTTTAGAGGGGGTGCAGCCCTGCCAACACCTTGATTCCTGACTTCTACCCTCCCCTCCAGATTTGCAAGACAATAAATTTCTGTTGTTTAAACCACCCAGCTTGTGGTCCTGTAATTGCAGCAGCCCCAAGTTAACACAGTCACTTTCTACCCTCAGTTAGAAATCAGCTTGTTATGCCTCTTACCACAGGGGATACAAATTCAACCCATCAGTAGTCCTTCCTAGCTAATACCAGCTCTCTAAGGTACCTGTGTCTGAGCTACTAACACACACACCCCTAACCATTATGGTGAGTTTTCCTATAGCAATTCCTCGATCCTCTCATGAGAGCTGACCACTCTGGTTTAACAGAAATGTTTTAGAACTTTTGTATCTCAAAGTGAAGGAGTGTGGCTGTCAATCTGTTTACTCCCAGAATACCCACATCCCTTAAGATTTTCCCTTCCTGGGTTCTTAGCAATTGGGGTAAACACTTGCTTTACATGTGTGTGACTGAAGAGTTATTCTAGTGACTTTTTCAGAAGACAGAAGATCTGTTCCAAGAAGGCTAGTCATTTCTGCTATCCAGAAACAACTAGCTGGAATCCTTAACAATCTCTTTCCAATAAAGTAAAACATTAAAGTGACAAGGTTTTTTTTTTTTTTTTTTTTTTTTTTTTTTTTTGAGACGAAGTCTCGCTCTGTCGCCCAGAGACTGGAGTGCAGTGGCGCGATCTCCGCTCACTGCAAGCTCAGCCTCCCGGGTTCACGCCATTCTCCTGCCTCAGCCTCCCGAGTAGCTGGGACTGCAGGCGCCTGCTACCACGCCCGGCTATTTTTTTGTATTTTTAGTAGAGATGGGGTTTCACCGTGGTCTCGATCTCCTGACCTCGTGATCCGCCCGCCTTGGCCTCCCAAAGTGCTGGGATTACAGGCGTGAGCCACCGCGCCCGGGCCACATTTTAATTTATTTAATTATCATGACGTTTTTATTTAGTTATCACAACAACTTTATGATGTAGACATTAACTGTTATTATCTCAATTTCCCAGATGAGGAAACCGAAGCTCAGAGAGGTGAATCACTTGCTCAAATTCATCCAGGTAGAAGTTGCAGAGATGGGACTCTCATTTAGGCTAACCTCTTGGTCCAGGGCCTTAACCACAACTGTGTCATCTCAGGTGGAGGAAAGAGAGAAGTGAAGCGCCTGGGGGCTGGTTGCAGAGAGGAAGTGGCTAACGTTACCCCAGCACTTCTTGACACTTACACTGAGACATGCAGCAGAAGGGACCAGTTTCCAGTCACTCTTCCCGCTTCCCACTGAAGTCACCCTCCAGGTCCCCCTTTGCTTTAACCAAGAGGCTTCAAACTGTCAAAGGAGAAGGCATTATAAAAGTCAAGCCAGGCGTGGTGGCTCACAGCTGGAATCCCAGCTACTCAGGAGGCTGAGGAGGGAGGATGGCTTGCAGCCAGGAGTTCGAGGCCAGCCTGAGAAACATAATGAGACCTCATTTCCTGAAGAAAAAAAAAAAAAAGAGAGCAGGTGGGGTGGTATGATGTTCTCTGAACATCTCTTCCCTGGGACTCCTCTCTTGGCACCCTTTCCCCTGAGCTTTAGAAGAGTGCCCAATTTTTTTGTCCATCGAGCAGTGTAATAAACCTACTCTCAAAAATTAAGACAGTTCGGCCGGGCACAGTGACCCATGCCTGTTAATCCCAGCACTTTGGGAGGCAGAGGCGGGTGGATCACGAGGTCAGGTAATCGAGACCATCTTGCCAACATGGTGAAACCCCGTCTCTACCAAAAATACAAAAATTAGCTGGGTGTGGCGGCGCGTGCCTGTAATCCCAGCTATTCGGGAGGCTGAAGTGGGAGAATCACTTGAACCCGGGAGGCGCAGATCGCAGTGAGCCAAGATCACGCCACTGCACTCCAGCCTGGCAACAGAGCGAGACTCTGTCTCAATAAATAAATAAATAAATAAATAAATAAATAAATAAATAAATAAAAATTAAGACAGTTCATTAAGCAGACGTGGAGACGGCCTGGAGTATGATAGGATTTTAGGATTTTTTTTTAAAGGCAGGAGACAAAGTTGTTAATCACAATTTGCCCATTATGTAGACTCTATGTGAATACAGACATGGAGAGGGCCAGGGAAAGAAGGAGACAGTTGCTTTGGGCATTGTAAGAAAACTCACTCTTCAATAGATGCTCTCTCTCTCTCTTTTTTTTTTTTTTTTTTTTGAGACAGAGGAGTCTCCCTCTCTCGCCTAAGCTGGAGTGCAGTGGTGCGATCTCGGCTTACTGCAACCTCCGCCTCCCAGGTTCAAGCGATTCTCCCACCTCAGCCTCCTGAGTAGCTGAGCTGGTATTACAGGCGAGGGCCACCACGCCTGGCTAATTTTTGTATTTTTAGTAGAGACAGGGTTTCACCATGTTGGCCAGAGTGGTGTCGAACTCCTGACCTCAGGTGATCCTCCAGCCTTGGCCTTCCAAAGTGCTGGTATTACAGGTGTGAGCCACCGTGCCCTGCCTTCAATAGATAGTCTTAAACAAAAACCTTAACAAAATAATCAGAGATATTGAGGGTTTTAAAAGAAATCTTTAGCATTTCAAAGGTTTGGACGAGGGGGATTGGATACATTTTTAAAATAAATTTTTTATTTTAGAATGGTTTTAGATTTACAGAAAAATTAAGGAGACAGTACAATTACGATTTGTCGGAATGTATAGCAGAATTTGCCCATAAAACCTTCTAGGACTTTCTTAGATCTTTTACTTCCTTTGTAAGTTCTTTGGTTATTGGTCCATTCAGACTTCCTATTTTTTCGTAGACTAATTGTTGCCATTAAAACTTCCATGAAGAATCTTCCATTTTCATCTTCATTTAAATTTTTAGGTTTAAAAAAAAAAAAAAAGAACCCTCTGCCTCCCCAGGCCCCTGGGGATCCAACCCTCGCTCCTGATTGGACATCAAGGATAAGGGGTGAGGCTTAAGCGCTGAGTGACATATTGAAAGTCGAGCGGGGAACTTGGACAGAACCTCTTGTTAGAAAGCAGGTTGGGGCGGCCGGGTCAACTCGTGTTTCCCGACCAGTTTGTGGACCTAGGAAACAGGGGTCCCTGTGCACAACAGGAGTGCTGCCCACCGGCAGGAGATGGCACAGAGGACCACAGCCTGGCTCAGTTCCCCTGCAAACATCATCCCAAGCGCCCCGCGCGCTTTCATGGGATGTTCGCGGAGCGCCCCCTGGAGCTCAAAGGCTGGTGGTGACCCTGGAGTTAGGCATCTGGGCTGCTTAATACATTCATTTCCCAAACTCTCAGGACATGGCTTAGCCCCAGGCTTCTGGGATTGCTCCCCAGGATCAGTTCCCACTTCCCAGTCAAGTTCCACCACCACGACCCCTTGCTTCACCGGGGGGTGAGATGCAGCTCACCAATTCCTCCGAAGACAGACATCCCTGTTACATGTAGGGAACAGCTTTTGTTGTTGTTGTTGTTTTAAAAAGCTCCCACCACACCTGCCACCAACAATTCTCAATGTTTTATTTTTCTTAAATGTTCATGCAAACAGAATAACAAAGTAAACAACCGTGTACTCACTATTTCACCGCTTAATACAGTCGTTTATTAAATTTCAGAAGTAAGCTATGCTCACCATAAAAAATGCCTAAACATTACGAAAGTCAAAAGCAAAACTCCAGGCTGTGGTCTTATCCTCCAGCTCATAGGGTCCCTTCTAGAGAACGTGGTTGTATTTGCAAATCTGCACTCAGAGGATGGGTGGGTTACAAGAGAGCACTCTATACCAGGGGTCCCCAACACCCCCGCTCCCCACCCCCACAGACGGGTACCCATGGTGGCCTGTTAGGAACCAGACCGCCACAGCAGGAGGTGAGCAGCGGGCCAGCCAGCAAAGCTTCATCTATATTTGCAGCCACTCCCCATCGCTGGCATTACAGCCTGAGCTCCGCCTCCTGTCAGGTCAGCTTGGGCACTAGATTCTCACAGGAGCGCAAACTCTATTGTGAACTGCGCATTCGAGGGATCTAGGTTGCATGCTCCTTATGAGAATCGAATGCCTGATGATCTGTCACTGTCTCCCATCACCCCCAGATGGGACCATCTAGTTGCAGGAAAACAAGTTCAGGGCTCCCATTAGATTTGACATTATGGTGAGTTGTATACTTATTTGATGATATATTATAATGTAATAATAATAGAAATAAAGTGCACAATAAATGTATTATGCTTGAATTTTCCCCAAACAATCCCCCACCCCAACCCACCCACCCCACCGCTGCCGTCTGTGGAAAAATTTTCTTCCACGAAACCAGTTCCTGGTGCCAAAAACATTGGGGACCGCTGCACCTCACAGTTCCGCAGCTGCTACCATCCTGGTTTATCGATACATCTTGAGGCCTCCAGGTCAGCCCCTGCAGCTTTACCTTCTTGTTTATAGCTGCATAGACTTAGATGGTCAGAGAATAGTCCAGTCTCTGTTCCATCCAGCTTTAGAGCCTCAGCGTTTCTTCACATCAGTCACTTACTTATTAATTATTTAAAGGTTCTTGCTTCTTCTTCCTGAAACTAAAGGAGAGGTACCTGATCAAGTTGAATTTTGCAAAGGTGAGTAGTGACTTTTACAGCTAACTCCTGGGATTGGCTGGTGGAACTCAAGGGCTCCAGCCCTCACTAAGTTCTCTTAGGGAATCATTCATTCCTTTAAGATCAAGCTAGACATTTTTTTTTTTTTTTTGAGACAGAGTCTCGCTCTGCCACCCAGGCTGTAGTGCGGTGGCACGATCTTGGCTCACTGCAACCTCTGCCTCCCAGGTTAAAGCGATTCTTCTGTCTCAGCCTCCTGAGTAGCTGGGACTACAGGCGCATGCCACCACACCTGGCTAATTTTTTTTTTTTTTAAGTAGAGACAGGGTTTCATCATATTGGTCAGGCTGGTCTCGAACTCCTGACCTCATGATCTGCCCATCTCTGCCTCCCAAAGTGCTGGGATTACAGACATGAGCCACGGCGCCCGGCCGAGCTAGACATTTTTTTTTTAAAATTAAGACATTATTATTATAATTTTTTTTGAGATGGAGTTTCACTCTTGTTGTCCAGGCTGGAGTGCAATGGTGCGATCTTGGCTCACTGCAACCTCTGCCTCCTAGCATCAAGCGATTCTCCTGCCTCAGCCTCCCAAGTAGCTGGGATTACAGACATGCACCACCATGCCCGGCTAATTTTGTATTTTTAGTAGAGATGGGGTTTCACCATGTTGGTCAGGCTGGTTTGAACTTCTGACCTCAGGTGACCAAACCACCTCAGCCTCCCAAAGTGCTGGGATTACAGGCGTAAGCCACTGCGCCTGGCAATAGACATTATTTTTTGAAGCAGTTTGAGGCTTACAGAAAATTGAGCAGGTAGTACGCAGTTCCCATATACCACTCAGCCCCTAATACCTTTCCCTATCATTTTGTTCTAAATTTATTTGTTTTTTAAAATTGTATGACTTTATCTTGTACAATATAATGTTTTGAAATATGTATACATTGTGGAATGGTTAAATCTAGCTTATTTATTTATTTATTTATTTTTTGAGATGGAGTTTCACTCTTGTTGCCCCAGCTGGAGTGCAATGGCGCAATCTCGGCTCACTGCAACCTCCGCCTCCAGGGTTCAAGTGATTCTCCTGCCTCAACCTCCTGACTAGCTGGGATTACAGGCATGTGACACCATGCCTGGCTAATTTTGTATTTTTAGTAGAGATAGGGTTTCTCCATGTTGGTCAGGCTGGTCTTCGAACTCTCCACCTCAGGTGATCCTCCTGCCTCAGCCTCCCAAAGTGGTGGGATTACAGTTGTGAGCCACTGCACCTGGCCAAATCAGCTAATTTAAAGAAATGTGTTACCTCACATAGTTATCATCTATTTTTTTGTGGTGAGAACACCTAACATCTACTCTCTTAGCATTTTTCAAGAATGCAATATATCACCATTAATTATAGTCATCATGCTGTCCAATAGATCTCTTGAACTTATTCCTTCTATCTAAATGTAATTATGCATCCTTTGACCAGTGTCTTCCCAACTCCCCTTTACCCCCAATGACCCCAGATTCCTTTAACCGCCATTCTACTCTCTACTTCTATGAGGTCCACTTTAAAAAATGTATTTATTTTTTCAATTTTTTTAAATTATTTATTATTTATTTATTTATTTATTTATTGAGACGGAGTTTCCCTCTTGTCGCCCAGGCTGGAGTGCAATGGTGCGATCTTGGCTCACTGCAACCTCTGCCTTCCGGGTTCAAGTGATTCTCTTGCTTTAGCCTCCTGGGTAGCTAGGATTACAGGCGCCCGCCACCATGCCCAGCTAATTTTTTTTTGTATTTTTAGTAGAGATGAGGTTTCACCATGTTGGCCAGGCTGATCTCGAACTCCTGACCTCAGGTGATCCACCCGCCTTGACCTCCCAAAGTGCTGAGATTACAGGCGTGAGCCACTGCGCCCAGCCTTATTTATTTTTATTATTTTATTTCAGTAGGTTTTTGGGGGAACAGGTGGTGTTTGGTTACATGAATAATTTCCTAAGTGGCAATTTCTGAGATTCTGGTGCACCCATCACCCAAGCAGTGTACATTGTACCCAATATGTAGTCTTTTATCCCTCACCTCCATCCCATTCTTTCCCCTGAATCCCCAAAGTCCATTGTGTCATTCTTATGCCTTTGGATCTTCATAGCTTAGCTCCCACTTATGAGTGAGAAAGTATGATGTTTGGTTTTCCATTCCTGAGTTACCTCACTTAAAATAATGGTCTCTAATCTCATCCAGGTTGCTGCAAATGCCATTATTTCATTCCCTTTTTATGGCTGAATAGTATTCCATGGTATGTGCGATATATATATATATATATATCTCACATTTCCTTTATCCACTTGTTGATTGATGGGCATTTGGGCTGGTTCTATATTATTGTAATTGTGAATTGTGTTGCTATAAACATGTGTGTGCAAGTATCTCTTTTGTATAATGACTTATTTTCCTCTAAGTAGATACCCAGTAGTGGGATTGCTGGATCAAATGGTAAATCTACTTTTTGCTCCTTAAGGAATCTCCACTGTTTTCTCCAGTGGTTGTACTAGTTTACATTCCCACCAACGGTGTAAACGTGTTCCCTTTTCACACATGCACAACACCTATTATTTTTTGATTTTTTGATCTTTGATTTTGTTATTTTTTGATTATGGCCATTCTTGCAGGAGTAAGGTGTAAGTAAGGTGTCAGATCCACCTTTTAGGATTCCACATGTGTATGAGATCATGTGGTATTTGTCTTTCTGTGTTTGGTTTATTTCATTTAACATAATGTCCTTTAGGCTCATCTATGTTGCAAATGACAGGATTTCATTTTTTTAAATTATTTTTTAATGGCCAAATAGTACTCCATTGTGTATAAATCACACTTTTTGTTGTTGTTTTTAGATGGAGTCTCGCTCTGTTGCCAGGCTGGAGTGCAGTGGCGTGATCTCGGCTCACTGCAACCTCCGCCTCCTTGGTTCAAGCAATTATCCTGCCTCAGCCTCCCAAGTAGTTGGGACTACAGGTGTGCACCACCACACCCAGCTAATTTTTGTATTTTTAGTAGAGACCAGGTTTCACCATGTTGGCCAGGCTGGTCTTGAACTCTTGACCTCAGGTGCTCCACCCTCCTCGGCCTCCCAAAGTGCTGAGATTACAGGCGTGAGCCACTGTGCCTGGCCTATTATTTTATTAAATACTTTCTTACCCTTTTCTCTCTCTTTGCCTTCTGGGACCCCAGTAATTTGAAAATTTGGTTGCTTTATGGTATCATATGTCATGAAGGCTTTTATCATTCTTTTTAAATTCTTTTTTATTTTTGTCTTCCTGGGTTATTTCAAAAGATATGGCTTCAAGTTCTGAAATTCTTTTTTCTACTTGATTTAGTCTGTTGTTGAAGCTTTCAAATATATTTTGTATTTCATTCAATGAAGTCTTCATTTCCAGAATTTGTTTGGTTCTTTTTTATATCTATCTCTTTGGTAAATTTCTCATTCATATCCTGAATTGTTTTTCTGATTTGTTTGTATTATTTTTCTGAGTTCTTTTGTATCTCACTGAGCTTCTTTAATATCATTATTTTGAATTCTTTATCCAGGTATAGTCTCTGTATGATTTATTTGGCTGTAAGCAACATCAGTAGTGTTATTTCCTCCGTGGCTTAAGGTGCAGTTGTTGGTGGAGGCTGTGAAGCTTTTCTGGGATAGGGGATGTCAGGTGGGCCGGTTTTCGGGCCCAGTGGTGGCAGTGGTGAGCCTGTCCTTGAGTCCCAGGGTGGTGTACGCTGGCACAGGTTTAGCAGGTTTAGGTAGGCCAATTCCCAGGCTTCCAGGTGGCTTTCTTGGGTGCTGGCATTGCCAGCCGTAGGCCAGGTAGGTGCGTAGTTCCTGGGGCCACTGGGCAGCAAGGGTGGCATGGGCAATGGCAGTAATATTGGCAGGACAATCTAGCTCCCAATCAGCTTGTGCTAGTGTTGGTGATGGCTGTGACGGGCTGAGCAGGCCAGTCTCCAGGCCTGTAAGTGGCACATGCAAGTAGATGCCACCTGAGGTGGTAGTGGCCAGCTAGGTGTGTTCAGCCTCAGGTCCCTGGGACTATTCTCATCTCCTGGAAATGCTTGTGCATCAGTTTAAAATCACCTCTTTGCTGTGATCTAGGGAGACTAGTGAATGTCAAATCCCTTCAGTTCCCAGAGATAGGTGATTTAGGATGCCGTGGAAGCTGCAAAAATTTGGGTGCTCACTGCATGGAAAAACTCCTTCCAGGGAGAGTCTGTAGACTTACCACTAGAGCAAGCAAGGGCAAAAGGCTTGGACAGTGTCTGAACTCCCATTCAGGCTCCCAAGGATCCAGCATTTGTCTGCCCTGTTGACTTCCAGATACAGGCTGGTTAAAAGCATGACTATCAAGCAGCAGCTGGAAGAGTGTGCTGGCAAATCCTTTTTGAGGAGTAACTGGGAGCTGTACATTTTGACCCCTTCTCTGCACTGCTCTGGTTGGGGGAGTGTGGTGGAGGAAGGCTAGCCCTGAAGTGCTTGTGTGCCTGCTTAAAACCACCTTTTTCTCTGTGAGCTAGGGAGACTCACATATGCCTAATCCCTTCCATTTCCAGAGCTAGGGGATTTAGGATGCAGTCCCTTGAGTGCAGGTATAAAAGTTGGGGTGCTCAATGTGTGGACAAACTTCTTCCAGGAGGAATTGATAGACCTGGATTTATTGCTGGGCTGAGCTGGGGTGAAGCTTTGGGTGGCACCTAGCTTCTGTTCAGGCTCTTGTAAGTCTGTAGTTTACCTACCTAGTCAACTCCCTGATGCAGGCTCGTTAGGAACTTAACCATCAACTGTTAGGGTGCTATATGTGTGGTTCACTGCTTCTCTCCTGGGGGAGAAGCTGGGAACTGGGGATTCCTTCCTGATTGTATGGCTCAGTGCCCAGGGTGGGTTTAGTGTTTCTGAGTGCTTCAGCTTTTGCTGCCTGTTTGATAAGACATTTTTTTTCTTGTCTTTTCTTCCTTTTCTTTTTTTTTTTTTTTGAGATGGAGTCTTACTCTGTCGCCCAGGCTGGAGTGCAGTGGTGCAATCTTGGCTCACGCAACCTCCGCCTCCCGGGTTCAAGCAATTCTCTTGCCTCAGCCTCCCAAGCAGCTGGGACTACAGGTGCCCACCACCACACCCAGCTAATTTTTTGTATTTTTAGTAGAGACAGCGTTTCACCATGTTAGCCGGGATGGTCTTGATCTCCTGACCTCGTGATCCACCCACCTTGGCCTCCCAAAGTGCTGGAATTACAGGCGTGAGCCACCGCGACTGGCCTGCTAAGACATTTTCTTAGTTGCCTGGTGTGTAGGAGTCTCTCCACTCACTTCTGACTTTCTTCCAGAGAGAACTGATGTAGGCACAGACGTTTATTCAGTCCATCAATCAGGAACCTCCTATGTCACTGTGTTCCTGGCGTCACTTCTCTGAATACAATCTTTAATGCTGAAATTTGGGTGAGGAGGCACTCAAATGGAGTTCAGAAAATGCAGGCAATGATGAAAGGTAGGGGAGTTCCTTTATTGTTTTTTCTACAGAAAAAGATAAATTCCCAGCCCCTGATCTACTTAGACTGGGGTCAAACCATTAAAGATGTGTGGAAATATGTCTCAGTGGGTCAGATCCAGACCTCCCCTAGAAGTGATGTGTAAGAAGTTACACTGAAGATTGGAGCTGGTCATACTCAAGGCATACTGGAAAAAGATATTGATTTAGGCTGCTGGTGTCATCTTCCCCTGGCAAGTCATAGATCTTTACAAATTCATCTATTTCAAAGAGAGTGGAGGCCCAAGGAGGATTTGAAGCCCCCAGACATATCTGTTCAATGTCATATGACTGAGAATCCCAGGATGAAACCCTCGCAGAGGCGCTGGCTCCTCCAGGATTCTTGATACCAGAAGGCTCACGTAGATCATGGTCATTTGCATCAGAGATTCCAGGACTTACTGGACGAATGTTTGCAGTAGTTATGGCTGAGGGAGTCTCCTCCTTCTTCACTGAAGTTGTCTGGTTTGCTGGCCCTAGTGATGGCCGTGTCTGCATTTGCTGCCGCTGCTGCCTCTTCCATTTGGCACGCTGGTTCTTGAACCAGATCTAAGGAGGGAGGAGGGGGGAGGTTAATAATGGATGTTGAGTATAAAGGGGCATCCTCATGTTCCTCAGGAATTCGGTTTTTTGGTGTGAGAGAGAGTCTCACATTTATTGGAACAAGGGAAGCCCTTTCTACTCTCTGCTGTCCTGGGTTTCAAGGGAAAAGTGGGTGTAGGATTGTACTAGCAATGGGTGGAATATGACCTAGATTGTGATGTATTAAATAGAAGGGTGTTTTTATTAGTGGTGTATTTTTTTTTTTTGAGACAAGCTACCACTCTGTCACCCAGCCTGGAGTGCAGTGCTGCAATCATAGCTCGCTGCAGCCTTGAACTCCTGGGCTTAAGCAATCCTCCTATCTCAGTCTCCCAAGTAGCTGGGACTACAGCCATGTGCCTCCATGTCTGGTTAATTTTTAATTTTTGTTTGTAAAGACATGGTCTTGCTATGTTGCCCAGGCTGGTCTTAAACTGGGCTTAAGCGATCCTCCTGCCTCCACCTCCCAAAGTGCTGGGATTACAAGTGTGAGCCACCATTCCTGGTGCCCAGAGAAAGTATTTTAAAGTCAGAGTATGGGGTGAGAGTTTAGCTTGGGTCATCTTTAGGGTTCATCCAGGTGTTCTCCCATGAATACTTTGTGGGAACTTAGTGACAGGCATCTGGATGACTGTGATGGTCCTGATTAAGCAGAACCCATCCTGAATACACAAGAACAGACCCAAATGGGAGTATCTGAGATCCAGCCTCAAAGAGTCCTGTGTAGCATGGTGGGTCTGGAGTTGGAAAGGTCTGGGTTCAAATTCCAACTCTTGTGTTTATAATGCTTGGAAGACAGCTCTTCTATGTGAGCTTTAGTGTTCCTCAATAAAGTGGGTGCTCATGACAATAAAAATATAAAGTGCTTAACATCTGTCCTTACACATAGCAATTGCCAATAAATAGGAACTGTTATAACAATGATCAAAAGTGTGTGTGAAGCTCTGGGTTAGGCGTGCTACCTACAGACACACTTGGGAACAGACCTTTACTACGGATAGATCAAGTTGTAGCTTTGAAGCCAGTTTCCCCATTGTAGCCAAACTTGGGTGCATGGTCTTTTCAAGCAATTCTCTCAATGCTGTGAGTTGTTTGGAGAGAAATCTTGTGCGTGGCCGACGATAACGCCTTGGCCCTTCTGCAGAGGGAACAGATAAAAGGCTTTCATTAAAAAAATTCGGAAGGAAATGAGGAGAGTACTACATCAAGGGAACACCTGTGGGACAAAAGAATCTGAACAACAGCCTTGAGCCCTAGACCGTCCCTCTGACAGAGCCTACACAAATGAGAAGGAACCAGAAAACCAAATCTGGTAATATGACAACACAAGGTTCTTTAACATCCCCAAAAAATCACATTAGTTCATCAGCAATGGATCCAAACCAAGAAGAAATCCGTGATATACCTGAAAAAGAATTCTGAAGGTCAGTTATTAAGCTAATCAAGGAGGCACCAGAGAAAAGTGAAGCCCAATTTAAGGAAATTAAAAAAAAAGATACAAGAAATGAGGGGAGAAATCTTCAGTGAAATAGAGAGCATAAATAAAAAATAATAAAAACTTTAGGAGACAATGGACGCCCTTTTATCCACTAGACCTAAGAAATGAGATAGACAGCAACACAATGACCAAGAACCCAAAAGCAAATGCAATAAAAACAAAGATAAATAGCTAGGACTTTATTAAACTAAAGAGATTTTGCATGGCAAAAGGAACAGCAGAGTTCTAGACAACCCACAGTCTAGAAGAAAATCTTCACAATCTATACATTTGACAAATGACTAATATCCAGAATCTGCAACGAACTCAAACAAATTAGCAAGAAAAAAACCAAACAATTCCATCAAAAAGTGGGCTAAGGACATGAATGACATGAATAGATAATTCTCAAAAGATATACAAATGGCCAACAAACATGAAAAAATGCTCAACATCACAAATGATTAGGGAAATGCAAATCGAAACCACAAGAATGGCCATAATAAAAAAAATAAAAAAAAATAGATGTTGGCGTGGATGCAGTGAACAGGCAACACTTCTACACTGCTGGTGGCAGTGTAAACTAGTACAGCCACTATGGAAAACAGTGTAAAGATTCCTTCAAGAACTATAAGTAGAACTACCATTCGATCCAGCAATCCAACTACTGGCTATCTACCCAGAGGAAAATAAGTCATTATACAAAAAAGATACTTGCACATGTATGTTTATAGCAGTACAATTCGCAATTGTAAAAATGTGGAACCAACCCAAATGTCCATCAATTGAGTGGATAAGCTGTGGTGTGTGTGTGTGTGTGTGTATATATATATATGTATATATATATAATAATTTATGTATAATGTATATAAATTATATTGTATATAATTATATATAATACAAATATTATAATTTATATATATATAATTTATATATATATAAATTATATGATGGAATGCCACTCAGCCATAAAAATGAATTAATGATATTTGTAACAACCTGGATTAGATTGGAGACCATTATTCTAAGTGAAGTAACTCAGGAATGGAAAACCAAACATCATATGTTCACACTCATAAGTGGGAGCTAAGCTATGAGGATGTAAGGGCATAAGAATGACACAATGGACTTTGGGGATTCGGGGGAAAGGGTGGGAAGGGGGTGAGGGATAAAAGACTACAAATATGGTGCAGTGTATGCTGCTCGGTTGGTGGGTGCACCAAAATCTCACAAATCACCACTAAAGAACTTACTCATGTAACCAAACACCACTTGTTCCCCAATAGCCTACGAAAATACAAAAAAAAATTTAAAAATGTTTTATTAGAATGCAAATATGTATATTCCAAAGGTAAGCTTCTTTCCTAAGCTTGACCTGTGAATCAAGAGCTTAGGCTAAACATTTGACTCACGAGACCCACTCCTCACTCTCTTGCTGGGAGTGTTCTGCATTCCTAGAAAATCAGTGCCAACTTCCACTGAGCAGGACATGTTTTTAAGCCACAGATGGGATAAGCTTATTTTGGTGGCCTCATCCTACAGCCCCTGGAGGAGGAACATCAACCTCTCCATGACATTGGGCACCAATATGTTTTCCTAGCAACTTGGGGACATCTTTCTGTTTCTCATGCTGCTAATAAAGACATACCTGAAACTGGGTAATTTATAAAGGAAAGAAGTTTAATGGACTCACAGTTCCACATGGCTGGGGAGGCCTCACAATCATGGTGGAAAGCAAGGAGGAGCAAAGCCACATCTTACGTGGTGGCAAGCAAGAGAGGGAATGAGACCTAAGCAAAAGGGGAAACCTCTTATAAAACCATCAGATCTTATGAGACTTATTCATTACCATGAGCACCGTATGGGGGAAACCGCCCCATGATTCAGTTATCTCCCACCGGATCCTTCCCACAACGCATGGGAATTATGGGAGCTACAATTCAAGATGAGATTTGGGTGAGTCCTTATTGAGATAGAATAGAATAGTGGCATGATGTTGACACCAGGTTTATATGAGTCTATAAGATTCATAAGAGTATTTGAGGCCCTATTATCCTAACCGGTCATAGACTCAGTGGCACTGCTGTCTATGTTGATTGGCTTGTGAGACCCTGAAGCTATTGGTTTGGCCATTTATTAATGGGGTCTGTAGGGAAGGAGATATGAAGCTTAGTGACCTAAGAATGAATGTCGATTCTCTCATTTACTAGCTCTGTGACTTTGGCAGCATCAGTACACTTATACTGTTTGCCTCCGTATCTTTAACAATAACATGGTCCCAGAAAGCTCACTCCTTTAGGGAAGATGTGAGTAACCAAAGAAGCAAGTCTGTTAATTACAGGCTTGGTGCATGTGTTAGTCCATTTTGCATTTATAAAGAATTACCTAAAACTGGGTAAATTAGAAAAGAGGAATTAATTGGTTCACAGCTCTGCAGGCTATACACAAAGCATAGTGCTGGCATCTGCTTCTGGTGAGGGCCTTAGGAAGCTTCCACTCATGACAGAAGGCGAAGGGGAGCCAAGGTGTTACATGGTGAGAGTGGGAGCAAGAGACAGCAGGGGAAGGTCCCAGACTCTTTTAAACAACCAGATCTCAGGTGAACTTAGAGATAGAGAACCCACTCATTACCATGAGGATGGCACTAAGCCATTCAGAGGGATCTGCTCTCATGATCCAAACCCCTTCCACCAGGCCCACCTCCAACACTGGGGATCACATTTCAACATGAGATTTGGAGGGGACAAATATGCAAACTGTATTAGTGCATAATGGGAGTTTTTACTATGGTTTAGAATATAAATAAGACCTCATCATCTAGTAAAACCTGATTCTCATGGTCATCTATTTTATAGGAAAGTTTCTATTTTCAGGATGCTCTTATTCCTCATGCAAATACATGGAAAAACAGAAGCCAACATGCTGCCCAATTATCGCACAGTGAAGACAAGTGATCGGGCACATGGGTTTCTCTTAGTGTCTCAGCATTTGTTTAGACACAAAGGGAGAACAAAAATTTACAGGACATTGAAGAAAAATTCTCAAACAGGAAGGGGACAGCAAGAAAGGGAGAGAGGGAGAGACAGAGAGAAAGAGAGAAAAAAGAAAGGGAAAGTGGAAGAGAAAAAGAAAGAAGAGGAGGAAAGCAGCAAATAACCACATTTTTTCTTAAGAAAAGAAATAAGGCTGGGCACGGTGGCTCATGCCTGTAATACTAGCACTTTGGGAGGCCAGGGAGGGTGAATCACTTGAGATCAGGAGTTCAAAACCAGCCTGGCCAACATGGTGAAACCCCATCTCTACTAAAAATATAAAACAATTAGAAAAAAATTACAAAAAAAAAGAAAATCTATAAATGTTAAAATTAATATGCTCGGATAAAAGATATTGCACTCATACATCAAGAAAGTCTTGAAAAGAAAGGAAAATCTGATAAGACAAATGTTCTTTGAAATCAGTAGCTAAAAAGAAACCCTTAGGCAATAATAGAAGAGTTGGAAGACAAAGCTATTCCAGGAAGTAGAAAAAGTATACAAAAGTGGACAAAAAGAGTGAAAAGGTCGGAAAAAAATAAGATCTCTGCTCAGGGATGTCCAGCACTAGCAATATTTATGTGACTAAAAATATCTCTGACTAAAAAATGTTTCAGAGAGTATCATGAAAGTATTTATTAAAAAAAATTCAAGATTTGAGAGATGAGGCACAGGGGTTTCCAGAATGAAGACATTCCACGATGAGCACAATAAATGAACAAAAGGATCGTTGTTGCAAAAATATCAGAATACCAGGAATATATAGAAATTTCCAGAAGCTTCTAAAGGGAAGTAGAATTTCCATCAAAGGAATGGTAATTAGAATTCTACTGGTCTTTAGAAAAGCAACACTGCACATTGATAAGTTATAGGAGGTAAAATCGAGGAAGGATGTGGCTTTGAGTTTAAAATCATCTACCAAGCTGAGAGGTCAATATGTAAAATCGACTAATTAGTATTTTTGTAAGTTTAGTATTAAACAATAGGAAAATGTATTAGAAGAGCCAGGTACAAGTTTTGATAAGTGAGCTTGTTGATGCATAATTTTTCTATTAGAATCAAATCATTTTAAGAAGTTAAAATAAAATGTAACTAAAATTACATTTATGTCCCCAGCCAAGAAATACACTTTTTTTGTTTTTGAGACAGAGTCTTGCTCTGTTGCCCAAGCTGGAGTACAGCGGTGCAATCTCAGATTGCTGCAACCTCTGCCTCCCAGGTTCAAGCAATTCTTGTGTCTCAGCCTCCCAAGTAGCTGGAACCACAGGCACATGCCACCATGCCTGGCTAATTTTTGTATTTTTAGTAGTGACAGGGTTTTGCCATGTTGTCCAGGCTGGTCTTGAACTCCTGGCCTCAAGAGATCCGCCTGCCTTGGCATCTGAAAGTGTTGGAATTACAGGTGTGAGCCACCATGCCCAGCCAGTAATATACTTCTAAACTACGTTTTACAAGTACAATTATAAAAGGAAAATGTTGATAAATATCACAATGACAACTTTTAGAATATTTGTACAACGGTACTCATAAGTAAATTGAAAAACACAAGCCAGGCTGGGAGAATATATTTGCAACACATATAAGAGATAAATTATTAGTGTCTAGAAGACAACAAAAATATTCTACTAAGCCTCAAGAAAAAAAACATACTAAAAACTGGGAAATGATATAAATATAAAAATTAGCATAGGGGAAAAACAGAATGGCCTTTAAAATAGAGTGAACAGATTCAATCACACGGGTTAGTAAAGAAATGGGAATTAAAGATCACATACTATTTTATACCCATCAATGGACTGACATTTAAAAAGTATGAAAGTTACCAGGCATTAAAAAGGATGTGAGTTCAAGACGACCTTAGGCAACAGAGTGAGATCCTGTCTCTACAAAAAATTTAAAAATTAGCGGGACATGGTGGCACACACTTATAAGTCCCAGCTACTCCTGAGGGTGAGGTGGGAGGATCACTAGGGCCTAGGAGCTCGAGGCCAGCCTGGGCAACATACCAAGACCCCATCTCTTTAAAAAAGAGATGTGGAGAAACAAATTCCTAAGTTACTAGAATCCCTTGCAAAGTGTTTTTCAAACAATCCTTGTTGGTATAACCCAGTGGTTTCTAAATTTACCCAGTGGTTTCTAAGAAGCCACCACAAGGTCCCACACCTCTCACTTGATTTGTCTGCAACCCAATCACTGAAACCCCAGCCTCTTGCCTTCGCCCAACTTACCAAACATGGTGTCCTCTAGAAATGAGTGGGTTCGATCAGCTGTGTGCTGCAGAGCTCCTGAGCTGAGTCTATGTGACTGCTGGGCTAAAAGACCCGCTTATTTAAGCAGAATTTTAATGTAATCATGTCCCCACCCTGTCCTACCCTAATACCACGCCCTCCAATAATCCATTCAATATCTGTTTATTTAGAACCTATTATATGCCTGATGCTGTGTAGGGCACTGGGAATAAAACTATGTTTAAAAAAAAAAAAAAAAAAAAAGACTGATCCTTGACTCCAGAGAGTGGAAGAAAACAAAAGAAAGTGGAGCGAACTGAAAATGGATAAAATGTTCAAAAATGTCACTTGGGATCAATGAGTAAATAAACAAGGCGCTGAGAGAAAAATAAGTTGGTAAGATGATTCAAACTGGAAGGTGAAGGAGGTGCCCTGTGCGTGGACGGCTTCCAGTGAGACCCGGAGTGCAGCAGGAGGCATCCTGCTAGGAGTTTGGGATGATGGGAGTTAAGCCCTTCACCCGCCCATCTCGGTTCAACCTCTTCCAGTTGAGACAGCAATGGATGACAGTGAAGAACTTGGCAGAGCCTAAACCATAGGGGATCTTGTATCTTCTCTTGAGTATGGATTTGGGGGCAGCTGGGGAGCCCATAACGAGTTTTCAGCAAGGAAACTTAAAATATAAATTGCATTAAAAGAATCATGCTTCTTTCTTTCCTCTGAGCATCCCTCTCTCTGTCCCTCTGTTACTCATTTACTCCACCTTTCAGGCACCTTATTAACTCATTTATTTATTCCTCCCCCTAACGTTCTTCTCCATGATGGGTCTTATTTGTGGGGTGAGTGTAATTCACTAGACAGATCTAGTCTCTATCCATGAGATATGGCCTCCCCACACTCAATGTGGACCCAAGCTTTCTGAAGCAGAGATGGGACTCTGGTCTTGGCCCATCTTATACTACCCCTCAACTCTGTCCTCTCCCGCAACCTCCACACCCCCACCAGGTTGGTTTGGAAAAGTCTTGGACTAGCGAAAGAACTCTGTCTCTGGGAACATTGCAGGTAGCCTGAAGGCCAAATGATTGAAGGACCCATCTGTATCTTTTTACGTTTTGTTTTAGGGTCTCACTCTGTTGCCCAGACTAGAGTGCAGTGGTGCCATCATAGCTCACTGCAGCCTTCAACTCCTGGGCTCAAGAGATCGTCCAGCCTTGGCCTGCCAAAGTGCTAGTGAGCCATTGCACCTGGCCCCATCTATGTCTTTTACAGGAATAAAATTCAGGAACACTTCTAACACAGTCAAGGGTAGAAACTCCCAAATCCTATCGGAAAGGATAAAGTGGGCCTCAAATTTTCCGTTTAAATGTTAGAATCAGTCCCTGGAGTTGCCCTATGACACTAATGAGGATGGAAAGAGAGTGATATATTCAAAGGGTATGACCTCCCCAATAGCAGGGAATTTTGCAGAACTTAACGTTAAAACACCCCTGACACTTCTTCATTTGTTTGCTTAATTATTTGAATGCCTGCTCTGCTAAGATTTGTTCCAGTGACTAGGAAATTGGGATTTACAAAAATAGAACTCACTGCCGCCTTCCCAAGTGCTGGCATTCTAGGGAGGGAAGCAGGAAATAAAAAAGGAAACAAGACAATACGCAGTTCTGATTATGATACTACTGGTGTTATGAATGCCACCAACAGCACTGATTCAGAGGATGTGCAGTAGTTTTAAGGTAAGGTAAGATGTCTCTGAGGAAGTATCATTTTCACTGAAGGAGAGGGAAGAGTGTTCTAAGCAAAGGGAACATCAAGTGCAAAGGCCCAGAGACATGAAAAACCTTTTCATGTCTGAGGTGCAGATAAGAGGCCACTGTAGTTGAGGTGTGTTGTGGGAGAGGAATATCGGGAAAAGCTCAAACTGGAAAGGCCAACCAAGGTCGGGGCAAGGTGAAGAAGTTTGAATTTTATTCCAAGTGAAGGACAAAGCCATTCAAGGGGCCTTGGGAGACACAGAACACTCAGTTCACTTTCTTTCCCTTTTTTCTTTCTTTTTTTGAGATGGGGTCTCGCTCTATCACCCAGGCAGTGGTGTGATCTCGGCTCAGTGCAACCTCCGCCTCCCAGGCTCAAGGGATCCTCCCGCCTCAGCCTCCCAAGCAGCTGGGACTACAGGAATGAGCAACTGCACCCAGTCTCAGCTCACTTTTCTTACCACAAGCTACTTGAGAAATGAAAGAAAAAAATCGCCTCACCTTGAGAAAGTTGCTTGAGATTCCAGGTGCCCGCCTGACAGGCAGGTTCCACGGAGGCATGAGGCTGAAAACCGTGTGCAGTTACAGTTTCTCTTTTTGTTGCATTTGTTTGGAGCACACCCTCCCCTTACTTTCAGAGGCCTCATTCCCTACTTTCTCATCAAAGGCTTCTCTCATACGCCCCAGGCCAGGTCAGAACTTCTGTGTGGTGCGGCAGCACTCCCGGAGCTTCACCATACCTCGCTATGTTTATTTGCGTGGGTTTTCTGGGAATGTTGGTCTCCATGAGGGAGGTTGTGGGTCTTTCCCTGTGATCCTCAGAGCCCTGCACAGGACCTGGCCCATGGTAGTTGCTCATTATAAGAGTTTAGGAGACATGAATAAAATATTGGACTCTCCCTGGGGGAAAGTGGCTGTAGTTGACCTTGCTACTGTGAGATTTCAAATGTAAATAAAATATTTGCCTATTTTGGCATGCACTGAAGTATTAGGAACATGTTTCTACAGCACTTAGGATGGGACACGGTGGTACAGGATGCTGTCCACTAGCCTGATCCAGGCATGCCTAGCATGTGAACCGTAATTCCATTTTCTTATTCTAAGTTGCACATACATGCAGAAAAGTTCATGAGTGATTAGTGTAACACCAGCGATTTTAAGCCCCCATGTAGCCAGCACCCAGATCCAGAAACAGAATATTTCCAGCATCCCACAAGCTTCTTTCCATCTCTGCCTATGCAATGGTACCAACTTGCCTGACTATGTCATCGCAGATCAGTAATGCCAGCTTTTGAACTTCATATACATGGATTATAAAGACTTTTTTCTCTTTTATTTTTAATTGACATGGAATAATTGTACATATTATATTTATAGAATACAGAGGTTTTTTTTTTTTTTTTTGAGACAGGGTCTCACTCTGTCACCCATGCTGGAGTGCAGTGGCACCATCTCAGCTCACTGCAGCTTTGACCTCCTGGGCTCAAGCAAGCCTCCCGCCTCAGCCCCTGAGTCTATAGGCATGGTGACAAAGGAGACTAAAGAAGCATAACAATGAAAGGCATGAAATCTGATTGGATGATGGATTTTAAAACAGCTATAAAGGACATGCTTTTGGACAACTGGGGAAATTTAAATAGTACTGTGAATTAGATGCTAACTTTTAAGAGATGGCAGAGTAGAACCTAACAGTCTTGTGGAGCTGAATGTACAAAAATGGTAGGTTGGTGCCTGCCAAGTGCGAGAGGGAATATTAGGCTTTTATTTATTATTATTACTTTGAATTTTTGTTTTAAAACAATTCTTCATCTTTTCTGTTGTATTCTTCTCAGACTGCTTTCAGGAGCTACCAGAAAATAACACGCAAAGTTTGAGACTCTGGAAGATTTTGCTTTAACTAAGTCACACTGATGTATTAAATTTATCATTTTAGCATTCCCTGTAGATCTTGTCATTCCTTACAAATGACACCCTTTGTCCTGGAGAAGAATACTAAGTTAGAGCTGGTGGGTTTCTAGTTTAGGAGAGTAGCTCGAAAATATAATCTTTAACAAGTTGAAAAATAAAATATGAAATAAGAGGGTGCTTTCTCTTTTTGTGCTCACCTGTATTAAGCAATTTCCTTTCACAGATAGCTCCCTCAAAGGGAAATCCTTTTAATTTAATTTTCTTTTTGGATGATGATTATTCAAAGTCTATGTATTTATTTATTCAATTAATTAAATTTGTTTTTTTGAGGTGGAGTTTCACCCTTTCACCCAGGCTGGAGTGCAGTGGCGTGATCTTGGCTCACTGCAACCTCCACCTCCTGGGTTCAAGAGATTTTCCTGCCTTAGCCCCCCAGGTAGCTGGGACTACAGGTGTCTGCCAAGACGCCCAGCTAGTTTTTTGTGTTTTTAGTAGAGACTGGGTTTCGCCATGTTGGCCAGGCTGGTAGCAAACTCCTGACCTCAGGTGATCCACCCACCTCAGCCTCCCAAAGTGCTGTGATTACAGGTGTGAGCCACTGTGCCCGGCCTATTTATTTATGTTTAAATATTTGTTTCAATAGGTTTTTGGGGAGCAGGTGGTTTTTCGTTACAAGAATACATTCTTTGGTGGTGATTTCTGAGATTTTGGTGCACCCATCACTGCAGCAGTGTCCACTGTACCCAATGTGTGGTCTTTTATCCCTCATCCTCCTGCCTTTTCCCCCAATTCCCCAAAGTCCATTGTATCATCCTTATCCTTTTGCATCCTCATAGCTTAGTTCCCGTGTTAAACTTTTAGTGGGAGCGATGAAAGGACTGTGCCCTACACGAACAGGTGTACCAATCAGTACTTAAATCAACCAAACTCTGAATCTAATCAACTTAATCCCTATTTAGATTAAAGTAATAAACCCCCATTCTCACTGCCTGAAATGTTAATCCACTCTAGAAGCAGATAATGTCTTTTGAGCATTAAATATGCATGTACTTTGATATATTATGCACCATTAAACACGCGATTGCTTTCAATAAAATTTAGCAGGCATTCCAGATTTATTTCACAAGTCTACTTGTACAGATTAGATTTATAAAATCTAATTGCATTAAATGGCCTCACAACTCTGAAACCATCATTCTATGATTATTTTATCTAGTTGAGGAGATAACACACACTCTTCTATAATAAGAGTTAATATTTACTGAGTGTTTACTTTGTGCAAGGCACAGTTCTAACGCTAAGGTGATTTTCACATATTTCTTTTGATCTTCACAGAAACCCTGTGATGCAAGTCCTAATATTATCTCTAGTTTACAGATGAAAACTTTCAAGCACAGAGAATTTAAGCATCTTGTTACTATTCATGGGCTAACAAGTGGCAAAATCAGGCTTTGAATCCAGCCAGCCTGATGCCAAAGTTTGCAGTCTTTTTTTTTTTTTTTTTTTTGAGATGGAGTCTCTGTCTGTTGCCCAGGCCGGAGTGCAGTGGCATGATCTCAACTCACTGCAACCTCCGCCTCCCGGGTTCAAGCGATTCTTCTGTCTGAATCTAACGAGTAGCTGGGACTACAGGCGCCCCCCACAACGCCCGGCTAATTTCTGTATTTTCAGTAGAGACAGGGTTTCACCATATTGGCCAGGATGGTCTCGAACTCCTGACCTCATGATCTGCCCGCCTCGGCCTCCCAAAGTGCTGGGATTACAGGCATGAGCCACCGCGCCCGGCTAAAGTTTGCAGTCTTTAACTGTAGTGGTGTAATTGTCATCAGCCTCTCCTCTGAGCTTAAGACTTGTATATCTCATATGCCTTAAATTACTATAGGTTTATAAAGTCACGGCATCTTGTTAAGCCAGGTTGTCATTCTATCTTGTTCTTATTGATGTGTGTCATGGTCCTTCCATTTAGAATTGCTGGGTACCTCTGCACTCATAATTCACATTCCTATTAATGCCACTTATAGAAAGTGGCAATATGTTTGTCATGGGTGGGGTAGAGAAGAATTGATGAGTAGGAGGCTCCTTAGAAAAATGTTGCCTGGTGTCCAGATGTGTGCTACGTGCATCAACATGTATTTAAAAAGCAAACTAGTTTTCCCTTCTTGTTATGCTTTGAATATGTTCTCCAAAGTTCATGGGTTGAAAAGTTAATCCCTAATGCAACAGTGTTGGGAGATGGGGCCTAATCAAAGGTGATTAGGTTAGGAGAGCTCGGCTTGCCTGACTGGATTAATGGATTAATGTCATTATCTCAGTATCTCGGGAGTGAGTTTGTTATAACATCGAGTGTCTCTCTCTCTCTCTCTTTCTCTCTCTCTTTCCTTCCCTTTCTTCTGCCTTCTACCGTGGGCTGATGAAACAAGAAGACCCTCCCCATATGTGAGCCCCTTGACCTTGTACTTCCCAGCCTCCATAACTGTAAGCAGTAAGTTTCTTTTCATTAAAAATTGTCCAGTCTGTGGTATTCATTATACTTTAGGATAAGATACTTTAGGATAAGATATGATAAGAAGTTGTATGTGGATGAAAATAAGTGTGAGGAATATCAGTTTAAGGCAAATCATGTTGAAAGACAAAATTACAGCACATTTAGATAAAGATCTTATTGGCTTTTATTCGTAATTCATGAATCCTTTTATTCATCCTTCATTCTATGAAATAGAATGAGAGCTCCCACTGGCCAGTGGCAGAACAGTGAATTTTGTAAGGTGGGAAAAAGGAAACAGAAAAATAGGAAAAAAAGCTGATTGGTTCATGTCAAATTACTTCCGGTTACTTTTTAAATAAGGGTTAAAGCAGAGGGGACTTCCTTCTTACACTGACTGAGGTAAAGTGGGATCTCCTATTGTCAGGAAAAACTGATCTGTTTGGGGATTTTTCTGCCATCTTAAAGTTTCAGTTGGATAATGTGGCATTTAGCATGAGTGACTTTATTTTGGTTTGGTCTGGTCCGTTGGGCCTAGTATAGGAGCTCAGTCCAAAACAATGGCCTTCTACAACTTTTGCTTGACAGTATTATCAAATGATCTGTATGAGTTTCTTCCCTGTGAACCTTCATATACAGAATATTGAAGAAAGATACATCTGATTTAGCATTGAAATTCAAATGCAATGCCCTGGGTGAGAGACTGAAGGGATTTGCAACACAGGTGGCCTGAAATAACAAGGTTTCCTTCTGGACTGAGACTAACAAGGTAAATGTTCTCCCTTGGAGAGATGGTGTTACAGATTAGATTCCTGAAGCACAGCCTCAGACAGGGATTCTTGTTCAAGTGATTTATTGAAACAGAGCTTCCAGAAATAGAGATGTGAGAAAACTGAAATACAGCAAAGGGAGCTGAGCTGGAATGTGGTCTCAGCTGGATGTAGCTTAGTCTAATTCCAGGGAGAAGCACTGGAGGTTGAACTGCACCTCACAGTGGCTCTTTGAGGTATGGGAGTGGTCTTCTGTACCCCCATATCACCAAGTCATTGACTGCATTCTGCCTTCTGGGTTTGTAACCGAGCCTGCATTATGAAAATCGTGAGAGATTTGTTTTCCTTATTTTCCCGTCTTCCTCCATGCATGCTGGCTTTCACATAGCCATTTTGGTAGAGGGAGTCACGAGTAATTGGCTAACTTCATATCCTAACTCCTGGGGCTACTTGCAGGGTTAATGAACTTGTTTTTCTAAAGAACAGTGGTCCATGGGGCTGGGTATGGTGGTTCATGCCTGTAATCCCAGCATTTTGGAAGGCCAAAGCAGGAGGATCACTTGAGCCCAGGAGCTTGAGACCAGCCTGGGCAACATGGTGAGATCCTGTCTCTACAAAATGTTTTAAAAATTAGCTGGGTGCTGGGCGCAGTGGCTCACGTCTGTAATCCCAGCACTTTGGATGCCGAGGTGGACAGATCACAAGGACAGGAGCTCGAGACCAGCCTGGCCAACATGGTGAAACCCTGTCTCTACTAAAAATACAAAAAATTAGCTGGGCATGGTGGCACGTGCCTGTAATCCCAGCTACTTGGGAGACTGAGGCAGGAGAATTGCTTGAACTGGGACACGGAAGACAGAGTTTGCAGTGACCCGAGATTATGCTACTGCACTCCAGCCTGGGCTACAGAGTAAGACTCTGTCTCAAAAAAAAAAAAAAAAAAAAAAAAAGTTGCTGGGCATGGTGGTGCACGCCTGTAGTCCCAGCTATTTGGGAGGCAGAGGCGAGATGATCACTTGAACCCAAGAGTTCGAGAATACAGTGAGCTATGATCATGCCCCTCACTGCACTCCAGCCTGGACAACAGAACAAGATCCTGTCTCAAAAACCAACAAACAAAAAAGAAACTGATTCTTAGGTCACACAGACCTCCTTCACGGCATCCAGAAGTTTGATCAGGCCCAAGAATGCAATCAGTTTTGATTATTAGGGCATCTCACCTCCCACACACCTACCTTCCTCATAAAAGCCCTATTATGTTCACAGGCAGGTTAGATCTGAGAGACTTTCTCTCCTACCCTCTCACTTTGGCCAAATGGGATAATCCTCTCTACTCCTAAGCACTGAAGTGTCAATGTTTGGCTGACTGCACGTTGGGAATGTGAACCTAAATTTTGGGGTTCTACAACAAGTTGGAGGAAGTGAGGGGGACCTTCACCTCCGAAGTGAAGTGACTTCTGTTTGACCAAGGACAATTCTCCAGAGCGGGGGGAGCCAGCTTCTCGTGACAGCATCTGAGGGATGAGTGCCCTGATGGGTAAGAAGATCTGGGAGCAAAGTTAATAGCATGCACTACAGATGCAGGACACAGAGCTCAAGAAGGCATGAGAAACAGTAGGGAGGACTTTCCTCCTTCTCCCCTTCAACAGAGTCCCAAGGACATGAACTATAAGGGATTTCTGGACAAAATAGAGGGTAATTTGAGAGAAAGTCTCATGTGCAGGCCCCCAAATTCAGATCAAAAATAGAATTTCTGTAAAATTCTCTGGAATGTTTGGGCTTGGGGAAGTCAAAAGGAATGCAGTACATTGTATTTAGAAAATATCAGAACATAGGGAGTCGCTCAAGTTTCCTGTGGATCTGAGAATAAGTTTGAGGGGTTTATTATATCCATCATCGGCCCACAAAGAATAGCTTTGAGCTTTTTTTTTTTTTTTTTTTTTGAGATGTAGTCTTGCTCTGTCACCCAAGCTGGAGTACCATGGCCCAATCTCGGCTCACTGTAAGCTCCGCCTCCAGGGTTCACGCCGTTCTCCTGCCTCGGCCTCCTGAGTAGCTGGGACTACAGGTGCCCAGCTAATTTTTTGTATTTTTAGTAGAGATGGGGTTTCACCATGTTAGCCAGGATGGTCTCGATCTCCTGACCTCGTGATCCGCCCGCCTTGGCGTCCCAAAGTGAGCTTTTATGCATTCTCAAAACGCGACCCTCTAGGAGTGAGGTCATATGCATTGAAGACATTTTCAGGTTGTAGCCATCAAGGGCGAGAGGATGGGTAAATTTCTATTGGATCTTCCTTTCCTGGGAAAGGAATGAGAAACTGTGCCATCTTCCAGAGTAAAGGCATCAGCTAAGACAATCTACAAAGAGGCCATCAGCAGCTGAGGTTAGAGCAGTCCCACCCTTTTTCTGGATTTCCTGGAGCTGTAGTTATGTCGGTTGTATAGGTTGTAAAATTCAGCATTACGGAGAGAAGAGGGTGGATAAAGCTCAGATATGAAATTCTAATCTGGACAAGAAAACAATTAATGACATTCAATTTATTTTATTAACAAAAGACATGTACATGGTCTTTTTTGAACAATAAAAAATCAATGTATGTAATTTCATAACATAACTAAGAGGTAGTTGGTATTATCCCCATTTTACAGATGAGGAATTAGCATGGATATGTTAAGAAATAACTTGCTAAGGGCACATTTTAGAAGATGACATGGAACTGTACCCAGGCAGTGTGTCTCCAGAGCCTGGGCTGTTAACCAGAAGACTATATTGCCTGTTGTGACAAAACAAAAAATAAAGACTTGGTCTTTGTCCAGGTTCCTGGCACACAGCTCCAAAATCCTTGGATTCTCTGGAGTAAGGAGTGTCTTTTACATGTGAATGAGATGACTGGTGGCTGGGGGCCCCTAGGTAGCTTCAGGATGAGGGCTGCTCACTGGAAAGACCAAGACGTGATTAGAGGGTTGGAATTTTTAGCTCCACCCCGACCTCCAGGGAGGCAAGAGGGACTGTAGATTGAGTTAATCACCCATGACCAATGATTTAATCAATTATGCCTAAGGAATAAAACCTGTCAGTGAGCTTCCGGGTGGGCTAACACTTTAAAGTACTGGGAGCATGGCACACTCAGGGCCTGAGAGTTCTGCACCATCCACCCAGCCCCCCATTTCTTGCTCTATACATCTCTTTCATTTGGCTGTCCTAAGTCGTATCCTTTATAATAAACCAACAATCTAAGTAAAGTGTTTTCTGAGTTCTGCAACCATTTTAGCAAATTATTCAACCTTTGGAGAGGGTCATGGGAACTCCCCAATTTATAGCCAGTTGGTCAGAAGTGCAGGTGGCAGTTGAGACCTTGCGACTGCCACCTGAAGTGGCAGCAATTAGGTGGGTCTGAGCCCTTTAACTTGCGGAGCCTGACGCTGCTATTGTTGTTGGCTGGCCAGTTCAGGTTCTTGACTTCACCGCACAAAAGAATTTCAGAGTCAAGTGCAGAGTAAAAGTCGGCAAAGGAGTTTATTGCAGAGCGAAAGTGCACTCTGAAAGCTAGGTCAGAGGCGGCAGCTTGAGAATGAGACAGCCCAGACTGGCACTGGGAAACTCCCTTTATGGAAGTCTTCCACGATTATTCATGAGGGCATGGAAAGGGGTATTGTTTTTAAGCATGTTGTGGGTGGTCTCCTGGATGCGCATGTGCTATTGCTCTACATATGAGTACATACATCACATGTCTTACTGGTATTTTATTTTATTCATTTTTAGAATGTTTTCTAAATTTCAATAGTTTTGGGGGTACACGTGGTTTTTGGTTACATAGATGAGTTCTTTAGTGGTGAATTCTGAGATTTTTGGTGCTCCCATCACCCAAGCAGTGTACACTGTACCCAGTATGTAGTCTTTGTAGTCATTTTTTTTTTTTTGACGGAGTTTCGCTCTGTTGCCCAGGCTGGAGTGCACCACTGCACTCAGCTTACTGTGATCTCAGTTTACTGCAACCTCTGCCTCCTGGGTTCAAGTGATTCTCCCACTTCAGTCTCCCGAGTAGCTGGGACTACAGGCACCCACCACCATGCCCAGCTAATTTTTGTAATTTTTTTTTAAGTAGAGATGGGGTTTCACCATGTTAGCCAGGCTGGCCTTGAACTGCTGACCTCAGGTGACCTGCCTGCCTCGGCCTCCCAGTGCTGGGATTGCAGGCATGAGCCACTACCCCCAGCCCAATACGTGGTCTTTCATCCCTCACCCCTCTCCCAACTTCCCCACCCCCGAGACCCCAAAGTCCATTATATCACTATGTATGCTTTTGTGTACCCATAGCTTAGCTCCTACTTATAAGCGAGAACATGCAATATTTGGTTTTCCGTTCCTGAGTTACTTCACTTAGAATAATGGCCTCCAGCTCTATCCAAGTTGCTGCAAAAAACATGATTTCATTGCTTTTTATGGCTGCGTAGTATTCGATGGTGCATATATACCACATTATCTTTATTCACCCGTTGGTCAATAGATGCATAGGTTGGTTCCGTATCTTTGCAATTTCAAATTGTGCTGTTGTAAACATGCATTCCACATCTTTTTTTTTTTAAGGGGAGTCTCACTCACTCTGTCGTGCAGGCTGGAGTGCAGAGTGGCGTGATCGCCGCTCACCGCAAATTTCCGCCTCTAGGTTCAAGCGATTCTCCTACCTCAGCCTCCTGAATAGCTGAGATTACAGGTGCACACCAACACACTCAGCTAATTTTTGCATTTTTGGTAGAGAAAAGGTTTCGCCCTGTTGACCAGGCTGGTCAAAATATCGCTGATGCCGCCTGTAATCCCAGCACTTTGGGAGGCCGAGGCGGGCGGATCACGAGGTCAGGAGATCGAGACCATCCTGGCTAAAACGGTGAAACCCCGTCTCTACTAAAAATACAAAAAATTAGCCGGGCGTAGTGGCGGGCGCCTGTAGTCCCAGCTACTTGGGAGGCTGAGGCAGGAGAATGGCGTGAACCCGGGAGGCGGAGCTTGCAGTGAGCCGAGATCCCGCCACTGCACTCCAGCCTGGGCGACAGAGCGAGACTCCGTCTCAAAAAAAAAAAAAAAAAAAAAAAAAAAAAAAATATCGCTGATGCATCCTCTCCCACCGCTAGAGGGCAGCATCCTGGGAATCCGTTTCCAAAGGGCTGAAATTGAGTTTTTAAAGGTCACAGACCCTTTTGGTAAACAAATAAATGCTCTGGACTCCTAATTTTTAGGGCATTTTCTCATGTTTACGGGTTCTTCTATATTCAGAATTTTAAAATATCATTCTCACCAGGAATTGGAACTTACTGAAAAAGAAGAGAGTGAAAGAATTTCTGAGCCAGTGGGAAGTCTGGCCATGTAGTGCAGTGGAATGAAAACTAGGACTCCAGGGGGCAAATGAGGGTAAGCGCTGCTCCTGAAGCAGGGAGTAATTAAAAGACGACAATCACTACCTTAGGTGGAAGGTTGGTGAGTTTAGCCCATGGGATAATATGTGTGCTTTTCTTTTGCGGTTAGGGGTTGAGCCGCAAAATGCTTTAAACTTCAATTTAAGAAGAAGAAGGTGAGAACACTTGGGACATTATTTTCCCTGGTAGCTAATTCTGTTTTCCTAACCCCAATTTGATTTTTTTGGTTACGTAGTGTTTGGCTTCCCCTAGTGGCTTCTCAAGACATATTGGGCCAATTTTCACTAGATTCCCACTGTGACATTATGTTGTCCATGTAATAGTTCAACAATCAGACTCAGATTTGCTAAACATGAAACCTCATTGCTGCATCTGACATTAAATTTTGATTCTTCTCAAATATAACCTGCCTTCTTCTCAAGATAGCGTATACGTGGCCCCTTCCGGAAAGGAAAATGTTCTTTCCAGAGAATTCTTGATTTAAAAAAAATCCATAAGAGACTGGGCGCGGTGGTTCATGCCTGTAATCCCAGCACTTTGGGAGGCTGGGACCCCAAAAGAGAAGCACATATATTATCTCATGGGCTAAACTCACCAACCTTTCACCAATCACCTAAGGTAGTGATTGACCTTTTTTAACTGATCCCCGCTTTAGGAACAGCATTTACCCTCATTTGCCCCCTGGAGTCCCAGTTTTCATTACACTGCAGTGCATGGCCAGGTTTCCCACGAACTCAGAAATTCTTTCACTCCCTTCTTTTTCAGTAAGTTCCGATTCTTGGTGAGAATGATATTTTAAAATTCTGAATATAGAAGAACCTGTAAACATGAGAACATACTCTAAAAATTAGGCGTCCATAGCATTTATTTGTTTACCAAAGGGTCTGTGACCTCTAAAAACGCAATTCCAGCGCTTCGGAAACGGATCCTTAGGATGCTGCCCTCTAGCGGTGGGAGAGGATGCATCAGAGACATCTTCAGGCTCCATCCATTTCCAGCCTTGGAAAAGAAACTGTGTCCTATACTTAATAAGACAGACTGTCTGTCCAGTGATGCCTCTCCAAGGCATAAAGTTGTCTTATAATTATTTCTTACTTAGACTATGTCTTTGTCAATTCAGGTTGTTACAACATCATACCACAGACTCAGTGTCTTATAAACAACAGAAATTTATTTCTCACAGTTCTGGAGGCTGGAGGTCTGAGATCTGGGTGCCAGCATGGCTGGGTTCTGCTGAAAGGCCTCCTCCAGGTTGCACGCTGCTGATTCCTTGTTGTATCCTCACATGGTAGAGAGAGGGCGAGAGAGCTCCTTGGGGTACTTTTTAGAAGGGCACTAATCCCATTCATAAGGGCCCCACCCTCACGAGTTAATCACCACCCTAAGACCCTACCTCTTTATGCCGTGACATTGCCGGGGGGGTTACGATTTCAATATAAATATGAGGGGACACAAGCATTCTGTTTATTGCAGACCGTTGCCATACCTTAGATATTCATCTTATGAGCTGAGACATTAAATGAGGGAGTGAATGAGCCTGAGCTTTTATTACAATAATTAAATGGGGACCTGGGAAATCCAGCCAAGCTGTCAGTGCCCACTTCTTTTACCTGAAAAGCCAGTCCTGAATTCCTAATTTAACTCTGCTCAGATGACCAAGAGATACATGGGTCTTTATTGACCCCAAGGCATCTAGCACAATCGGCGTGTCTGTAGAAACAAGGAGAAAACTTTTTCCAAGTGCTTCCTGGATGTCTTCTGATGTCCACATCCTAGTCCCATAAATGCTATTTGCTTGAGGAAATCCATGTGATAATCTTGAGGCAAGACAGGTAGTCAAGGAAGAGACCATGTTTTTGGGATGCAGCAACCTTGGTGGCCATACAATCAACACAGTAAGCCTCAGCATTCACATTGTAATAGAGCTCATTCAAGCAAAGCTCCCTTCAGTAGAGGATTTCGTTTCTAGAAAGAATGTGCATTTTAATTTTACCTGTCCTCAAGCAGATCTGTTGCTCATTATAATAGTAAAAAACACATCTCTGGGTGGAGATTTAAGATGCTAATGAGACACATGATGTATGAACAGGCATGTACAGCTACTGTGCGTGTGCACCCAGAAGACCACCCAGAACATGCTTATTAGTAACACCTTTTCCCACCTCCTTATGAATAATCATGTAAGTTTCCCAGAAATGAGGTTTCTCCAGCAAAACGCAACACTGTCTCATTCTCATGAGCAAACTACTCTGACCTCTCTCTCTTAGGGTGTACTGTCTATTCTGCACTTAACCTTCAAAGTATTCTTTTGCAATAGATTACTCTATGCTGCATCTCTTTTGCTGTGTGTCTCTTGTTTAAATTCTTTTTTCTTAAATCAACTTTTATTTTAAGTTCCGGGGTGCATGTGCAGGAAGTGCAGGTTTGTTGCATAGGTAAATGTGTGCCGTGGTGGTTTGCTGCAGGGATAATCCCATTGCCTAAGTATTAAGCCCAGCATTCATTAGCTATTCTTCCTGATGCTCTCCCTTCCCCTGCCCCCCTGACAGGTTCCAGTGTGTGCTGTTCCCTCCCCTGTGTCCGTGTGTTCTCATCATTTACCTCCCACTTATAACTGAGAACATGCGGTGTTTTCTGTTCCTGCATTAGTTTGCTGAGGATAACGGCTTCTACCTCCATGCATGTCCCTGCAAAGGACATGATCGCGTTCCTTTTTACGGTGGCATAGTATTCTATGGTGTATATGTACCACATTTTCTTTATCCAGTCTATCATTGATAGGCATTTGGGTTGATTCCATGTCTTTGCTATTGTGAATAGTGCTGCAGTGAACATTCGTGTGCATGTATCTTTATAATAAGAATAATTTATGTTCTTTTGGGTATATACCCAGCAATGGTATTGCTGGGTCGAATGATATTTCTGGTTCTAAATCTTTGAGGAATCGCCACACTGTCTTCCACAATGGTTGAACTAATTTACATTCCCACCAACAGCATAAAAGCATTCCTTTTTTTCTGCATCTTGTTTAAATTCTTTTAAACTAAGAAGACAAGAACTGAGTTATCACAACAGCCGTCAACAATCTCTGTGTGTAGACAATCAACAATTTGTTGTTCTTCAACGCCTCTGGAGCCTGAAGTTGTCAGATGAACCCTCATGGGTCAGCTGTAAGGTGAGGCAGAGCCTGGGCCAGTGCTTTGAGGCTGTATGTGTAGTGGTAGGTTGTGTCCTATATAACTGCCTCATTGGGAAGGGACACAGACTTATCATCAGTAACATAACATTGTATACTTTCAAAACATGCTAATAGGCTGGGCCCATTGGCTCACGCCTCTCATCCCACCACTTTGGGAGTGCCTCGGCCTCCCAAAGTGCTGGGATGACAAGCGTGAGCCACCATGCCCAGCCTATGACAATTTTCTATCAGATGAAAATAAATTATCTTGAGGAAGAGTTCTTTTTTCAGTTGCTACACTGATGTTTAATTTAAAAGATATTGCTCTTTCTCCTCTTTTCTGCTGGTGCTCAGCAATTCTGTGCCATCCCATTTCTTTGTCTCAATCTTAACAGTTGCCTCGAGGGTGGGTTTTTTACCTTCTAAGGGTATATATTTTTTGGGTTCTGCTTTTGCAAGGCCCTTTCTGTATTCCCAGATGTTCCCTGCTGCAAATATCATTGCATCCTTGTCATGCTGCTGTCTGCTGTGAGTCCCAACACTGATTCTGCGGGTTCCAAGTATGGTTGTTATTTGATGTTGTGGTGGGGGAGGGGGTGGGGGATGGAATTTCTCATTCCTAGAGCCTTCTCATGCTTCTTCTATTCAATTCTTAAGGATCAGACTTTTGAAGGGCTTAGTCTTGGGTTCCCCATGTTTCCACATCTGTGTTAGTTTCCTTTAGGCCATATCAAGTCTGCACGTGTTTAAGATATGTGCTGAATATGCCAAGTTTATCTCTACCATAGACCTCAACCTTTTCTACTGGAGCTCCAGACATATTAACATGTAATTTCTGCCTTAACATCACTACTCACATTTCTTCTGGACACCTGTCACTATTAATGCAAATCAGGTTCTCCTCCATTTTTCCCTGTACCAATATGGAAACCCTCTCCACTTAGCTGTTCCTGAACGGGAGTAATCTTTGACATACTCTCCCTCACATTGAATAAATATAAATCCTGCTCTCTCCCTTTCTCTCTCTCTTTTTTTAACATGTAAATGTTTCAAAAATCTGGTCTATTGGCTGGGCGTGGTGGCTCAAGCCTGTATTCCCAGCATTTCGGGAGGCTGAGGCAGGTGGATCACTTGAGGTCAGGAGTTCAAGACCAGTTCGACCAACACGGTGAAAACTTATCTCTATTAAAAATACAAAAATTAGTCAGGTGTGGTGGCACATGATTGTAGTCCCAGATACTCAGGAGGCTGAGGCAGGAGAATCACTTGAACCTGAGAGGCAGAGGTTGCAGTGAGCCAAGATTGTGCCACTATACTCCAGTCTTGGCAACAGAATGAGACGCCATCTCAAAATAAATAAATAAATAAATAAATAAATAAATAAATAAATAAATAAAATAAAAAAAGAAAAAAGAAAAATCTGGTCTATTTCTATCTCCTTTGAAACTGGTATTGACTCCTTGGATGTACAATTTAATGTGGGATGCTGTCTCAAATTGATTTAAGAATGGTTCATAAAAGTAGGTGATTGACACTACCAGTGAGAAAAGATGGATGTGTCTATCAAAGCCAGTATGCCAGGACCAATAGAATAGCACATGCCTTTTTTGTATTGTTTTTAATTTTTAATTTTATTTATATGGGAACATTGTAGGTGTATATATTTATGGGGTTCATGAGATATTTTGATCCAGGCATGCAATGCATAATAATCACATCATAGAAATTGGGGTTTACATCCCCTCAAACATTTATGCTTTCTGTTATGAACAATCCAATTATACTCTTTTAGTTTAGGGTTTTTTTTTTTTTTTTTTTTTTTGACAGAGTCTTGCTCTGTTGCCCAGGCTGGAGTGCAGTGGCACAAGCTCAGCTCACTGCAACCTCTGCCTCCCAGGTTCAAGGGATTCTTGTGCCTCAACCTTTCTGAGTAGCTGGGACTACAGACATGCGCCACCACGCCCAGTGAAATTTTTGTATTTTTTGGTAGATACGGGGTTTCACCATGCTGGCCAGGTTAGTCTTGAACTCCTGGCCTCAAGTGATCCACCCACCTTGGCCTTCCAAAGTGCTGGGATTACAGATGTGAGCCACCATGCCCGGCCTCTTTTAGTTATTTTTAAATGTACAGTTATTGACTATAGCCACCTGGTTGTGTTATCAAATACTAGGCATTATTCATTCATGCTAACTATTTTTTGTACCCATTAACCATCTGCATCTCTCATCCCCAGCCCTCTACTATCCTTCCCAGCCTCTGGAGACCGTCCTTGTACTCACCATTTTCATGAGTTCAATTGTTTTTGATTTTTAGATCCACAAACAAGTGACAACATGTGATGGTTGTCTTTCGGTGCCTGGCTTATTTCACTTAGCGTAATGAACTTCACTTCCATTTATGTTGTTACAAATTGCAGGATCGCATTCTTTTTTATGGCTGAATAATACTCCCTTGTGTATAAGCACCACATTTTCTTTATCTATTCATCTGTTGCTGGACACTGAGGTTGCTTCCAAATCTTGGCTGATGTGAACAGTGCTGCAGTAGACATGGGGGTGCAGATATCTCTTCAACATACTGATTTCCTTTCTTTTGGATATATACCCAGCAGTGAGATTGCTGGATTTCCATTTTTAGTTTTTTGAGGAATCACCAAACTGTTCTCCATAGTGTTTGTACTAATTTACATGTATTCTTTAACAAAATTTTACTTTACTGTGGTAAAAATGCTTGACATGACATCTACCCTCTTAACACATTTTTTATGTTTGCAGTACAGTGTTGTTAACTATTGGCACAGTGTTGTACAGACAATTTCTAGAACTTATTCATCTTGTGTAAGTGAAACTTTATGTCCGCTGGTTAGCAATATCCCATTTACCCCTCCTCCCGACCCCCAGTAACCACGATTTTACTCTCTGCTTCTCTAATTTTGACTATTTCAATCACCTCATATAAATGGAATCCTGCAGTATTTGTCCTTCTGTGGCTGGCTTATCTGCTTAGCATAATGTCTTTAAGGTTCATCCATGTGGTTGCATATTGCAGGATATCCTTCTTTCTAAAGGCTGAATAATTTTCCATTGTGTGTATACACCACATTTTTTTTATTGAATCATCTGTCTATAGTCATTTAGGTTGTTTCCATATCTTGGCCATTGTGAATAGTGCTGCAATGAACAATGGGATGCTAATATCTTTTTGAAATCCCGATTTCAACTTCTTTGCTATATTCCCAGGAGTGGGATTCCTGGGTCATATGGTAGTTATATTTGTAATTCTTTGCAGAAGTTCCATACTGTTTTCTATAGTGGCTGCACCATTTTGCATTCCTACCCACAGTGCACAAGGCCTCCAATTTCTTCACATCATTGCCCACACTTGTTATCTTTTGTTCTTTCGAAAATAGCCATGCTAACAGATGTGAGGTAATATCCCACTGTGGTTTTGATTTGCATTTCCCTGGTGATTCAGCATCTTTTAAAAAAAGTATCGATTCACCTGATGCTCACAACAACTATATGAGATAGATACAACTATCCTCATTTTTCAAAAAAGGAAACTGAGGTATAGAGAGTTTAAGAAACTTGCACAAGGTCACAGAGCTAAGAATTAAGACAGCAGAGGTTTGAACCAGGCTTGCTCCAGAACCTGAACTATTTTTGTTTGTTTTGATTCAGCATCTTTTCATGGTTATTATTGTGGTAATAGATAGACACGTAAGCAATATCAAAACTTCTTGGGGAGCCAGACGTAGTGGCTCACTCCTGTAATACCAGCACTTTCA
This sequence comes from Homo sapiens, assembly GCF_000001405.40. NCBI lineage: Eukaryota > Metazoa > Chordata > Mammalia > Primates > Hominidae > Homo > Homo sapiens. The sequence continues at coordinate 19,514 of NW_009646206.1, read as the reverse complement.
AGGGCTGAGGTAGGTGGATTGCTTGAGTCCAGAAGGTTGAGTCTGCAGTGAGGTATGATCCTGCCAGTGCATTCCAGCCTGGGCAACATAGAAAGACTGTCTCTACAAAGATAAAAAAAATTAGCTGGGCATGGTGACATGTGCCTGTAGTACCAGCTATTAAGAAGGTTGAGGCAGGAGGATCACTTTAGCCCTGGGGTTCGAGGCTTCAGTGAGCTGTGATCACACTGCTGCAAGCCAGCCTGGGTGACAGAGAAAGAGCTTGTCTCTAAAACACAAAACAAACAAACAACAACCAAAAACACAAAAAAAACATGAACAAAACTTTCCGAGGAAAATCATGGAAGAACACTCTGAGGGCCTAAAGATGACAAAAGCAACCATTCTTTTTACATGAAGTGTCTGGGAGTTTGTGGAAACTCAGGGACCACAGAAACTTGGAGGATAATTAGGTCTACAGGTTTTGGCTTTTCTGTATGTCTCCAGAGGACCTCAGGCTAGAGAGGTCTGGAAAGGTCTGAGCCCAGTCTCCTGGATCACACTTTGTGACCCCTGAAAGCTTTTGGGTGCACCCTGAGTGGTCCTGAGTGGAGGGAGGGGAGATAGACCTCCAGAAAGCCATGCATCAGGGTTCAAGGTACATCTGCCTGACCAACTGACACTTAACTCCTGAGTTAAGGAGCCCCTCTAAGAACAACTTCATCCCTAACTCATCAGTATCGAGTTCCTTTTGCCAATAGGATCATTTCCTGGTCCTCTCAGCTCCTTACACCAGTGATATGGGAATGTCTGGCATACATAGAGGTATATGACAGTAAGGGGTCAATAACTATGTGTTGAATGAACAAACAACTCAAAAGAGAGTCACACGCCCAAAGCCATATTTCTTCCTTCCATAGCCCAACACCCTTCCATCTTCTGCATAATATCATGAGATGCTTTGGCTCTGTCTCTATTTCAGGGGCAACCATTGACATTTTAACCACCTGCACCTTTCCCAAGCCACACTCTGTACACCCTACCCAGGATGAATTTCCACATGTGCCAAATCTTCCCTTGGGATCTTTCCTATTAGCGAGAGCCAAGTCCTGGCTAATACTAGGAAGATTTTACTATCATTAGCTTAAGTGTGGGGATTGGGAGACACTCTGGCACCTTCTGGGAGATGCTGTGATCATGCACATTATAAAAGAGTGTAATGAGGTGGATATTTTTATTGCAAGATTCTCTGCCCCTTACAATATATCCACTGAAGTCAGGAAAGTATCTCCCTTCACCTGCACCATTTTCACAGACTGTGGTGAAAGGGAGTGGGCAAACATATAGGTGGACTTCCCATTCACAAACACCTGGGGAAAGAGATGTACTGTTTGTGAGCTCAGAACATTCAGACCTCCACCTTCCCTTTCCTCAAATGCCTTTCCTCTCATTGCCTGTAAAAATTTCTATTCTCCCTCAAAACAAAACAGCTCAAATATCTCCTTCTCCAGGAAACATGGCCAAGCCTTGGCTGCAGTAAATCATCCTCCATTGTCCCACTTCTTTGCTTCCAGAGCTTCTCATCCCTGGTCTACCCTGATGACAGCAAGCCTGTAATTTTCCCTCAACATTCCTGACTGTCCTTGAGGGCAGGAGATGTGTTGGATTCACCTCTGAATCTGTACTTGCACAGCACACACTGCAGTGCTTAAAAAGTTGTCTTCAATATTTTCCTCAGGGTCAAGACTGCTGCCATGCACAGGAGACATGTCCTCCGCCCTCAGGGATGAAGGACTGCAGTGGGGAATGTGTCTGTGATCTGTGTTTTCTCAATGAGAAAGAGACAGTGACCAATAAGGTTCAGAGTTTTGATGTTTCAGCTCCATCTGCAAGAATGAGCATGTTTTATGGAGAAGACAAGGAGAGCACCAGAACCAGAGGTCAGCTTTTGTGGCTGGGGCTTGTGTGCAGCAAAGGGCATGGTAGGATATGGAATCCAATTTTTCTACTGAGACCAGATCAGATTTGGACTCAGTTCCTCCACAGCAGCCCCACCCCAGCCACTGAGGTCCATGCCCCTCACCCCTTAGGGCCCACATACCTGGTACTGATTGTCCAGCACCAAAACTCACAGCTCAAAAGACTTCCCTGTCACAAAGGAGCCAGAGAAACATGTTTTTCTCATTCCATAACCCTTTCTGGATGCTGTTCATCACTACCACATTGCTCGAGTACACTGGGAAGTGGAATGTCATGGTGGCGCCTTCCTTGGGATATTCACAGAAATCCACCTGGAATTCTGGACTCCTTCTGCAGAGACAGGAAAACGACTTTCTCCATAAAGCCATTACTATAGGAAATGTAACCTCCTGAGAGCAAACACAGTCCTTCTTGCTCTCTCTGTCTCAAACATCTACTTACCTTTATTAGTTTGCCCCCACCCCAACACACACAGGCACACACATGTGGAAAGGAAATCCTGCCTGGAGTGTATCTCAGGCTCTTACATCAGCCACCTCTGCTCATTTTGGTGACTGGAGAAGTCTGAGTTGTCTCTATTGTGGGTCCCAAGGCATGCTAATACTTCCCCTTTTCCCATCACCCTCCATTACACACAAACTGCAGTCTACTCCATTAGAGGGGGACATGAGATTTATCATGATCTTCATCATATGACCCACAATCAGGGAAACAGACAGTCAGCAGGGGTTGAGATGTGGGAGAGATGGATGCATCAGTAGGTGAAAGCCAAGACTTTGTTTCCTACATTGATGCCCAGGTAGAATCAGGACACAGAGCATGGTTTCCTCTTGCAGCTAAGAGACGCAGGCATGCCCCTGACAAGGAGATATTAATCTGAATCCAGACACACACACTCAGGGGCACAGACACACATTTTATATACAACTAATTCCAAACTTAAATAAAAATACAAAAAAACAGAGAATTAGGCAAATCCAGCCATTCTCATTGACAAACATATACATATTCTCTTTTGCACTATAGGCCAGTATGTGTGTAACCAAATCTAGGTTCAGCTGCTCGCCACTCAAAAGCCAAAGTCAAGAGACGAGAGTTGGTGTGAGGAGAAGCAGGTTTATCGGGAAGCAGCAACCCAAGGAGGTGGCAGGCTAGGGTTGCAAAGACCATCTCAAGTTTCTTAGGCTGGCTGGAGGGTTCTTATGGGAGGGCGATATGAGGAAACTATGCTCAGGGGTTGGGATCAAGAGGTGACTGAAGTCTGCAGACATCTGGGTACCAGTGAGGCTCTGAGAAGATTGGGAACTTCTTTGTCCTTGGTCAAGTCACAATGCTTCTATAAATCTTCAGGAAAACATAGTTAGTTGTTTCCATATCTCCCCTTTAATTGTACAGTTTACTTAAAAAACTACATGGTTGCTTTTGTGTTTTATCTCAGTGCTTTAAAATTATCTTAACTTACATGCAGGAATGGGTAAATGCCTCTTAAACAAAAGTGGAGTTTGTTTTGGTAGTTCCTTTGCTGTTTCACTGTTACATGTGTTCAATGATTTGTGCCCGGGTGACCTCCTCACTCAGAGGGAGATGTAGGATTTGCCTTGAACTTTATCAAATGACTCAGGGAAACAGTCAGTGAACCTTGGAGAAAAAGGTTCCAGACAGAGATATTAGCTACTGACAAGGACCATTATGAGGAAGTGTCAATAGAAGTTTTAAGGAGCAACAAGGAGGCCACTGTGTCTGGAGTAGAGGGGGAAAGAGGTAGGAGATGAAATTGAAGAGAATATGGAAAAATAGATCACAGAGAAACTTATGGACCATTATTAAGGAATTTGGCTGTAAGTGAAAGATGGGAGGCATGGACAGAGGACAGATATGATCATGCTTATATTTTAAAAGGATCCGCCTTGCTGCTGTGTACAGAATGGACTACGGATAGGCATGGACAGAAGAAAGAGTATTTGTAAGGCTATGACAGTAATCCTCCAGTGACAATGGTAACTCAGATCAGATTTGTGGAAGTAGAGCTGGTAGAATTGGTCAGAATATTTATATGTTTTACAGGAAAAGCAAACTGTATTTCCTGGTGAATTAGATGTGAGATGTGATAAAAAGAGAAGAATCAGGAATGACTACCGGGATTTTGGCCCAAGACACTGGGCGGGTGAGGAAGTCATAAATTAAGATTGGCAAAGCTGTGGATGGAGCATGTTTAAGGGGGAAGAATATCAGGAGCTCAGCTTTGGAAATCTTGAGTTTGAGATGCCTGTTGTATGTCCAAGTGCAGGGAGTTGAATACATGAGTTTAGAGTTTGGTACAGAAGTCTGGATTGGGGATATAAATTTGGAGCTTGTAACAGATAGATAACATTTAAAACGTGAGAGGCTGAGATCACCAAAGAGTAAGTACAGCTGAAAAAGAGAAGGGAAACGGCATTGGGTCAACCCAAGATAAAGAAGTCAAGAGAAAAGGAGGAAGCAGTAAAGGACATTGAGATGGAGCAAACAGCGAGATGAGAAGAAACTAAGAGAGTTCAGTGTCCTGGTGGCTAAGTGAAGAAAGTTTATCAAGCAGGAAGAAATAATCAACTGGCAGGTTAAGTAAGAAGAGACCTGATAACTGACCATTATGTTTAGCAATATGCAGGCCATTAATGACTTTAACAGAATCATTTCTATGAGGTGGAAGGATAGAAGGCCACTTCAGACTCAGTTTAAGGACAAATGAGTGAAGAAATTGAAGAAAGTAAGACTATGCAGTTTATTTTTCATATTAAGTAATCAATATAATTTTTTCATCTATTATAAGAAAACTTGCGTGGCTGTTCTTTATTTTATCCTTTAAATCCTTTACAAAGATGCTCAAGATTCTTTTTTTCAAAAACTTTAGATTTGGGGGTACCTGTGCATGTTTGTTACATGGGGGTATTGCACAATGGTAGGGATTGGGCTTCTAGTGTACCTGTCACTCAAAAACTGAACACTGTGTTCAATAGGTAATCTTTCAATCCTCACTCCCTCCTCTCTCTGCCCTTTTTTGGAGTCTCCAGTGTTTATTATTTCCATTTTTTATGTCCATATGTATCCATCGTTTACCTCTCATTTTAAGTGAGAACATGCAGAATTTGATTTTTTTGCTTCTGAGTTTGTTATCTTAGGATAATAGCCTTCAGCTTCATCCACATTGCTGTAAAGGATATGATTTTATTCTTTTTATGGCTACATAGTATTCCACAGTGTGTATGTAGCATATTTTCTTTTCTTTTCTTTTCTTTTTTTTTCACCCTGTTGCCCAGGCTGGAGTACAGTGGCATGATCTCGGCTCACTGCAACCTCTGCCTTTTGGGTTCAAGTGGTTCTCCTGCCTCAGCCTCCCGAGAAGCTGGGATTACAGGTGCGTGCCACCACACCCGGCTAATTTTTGTATTTTTTGTAGAGTCGAGGTTTCACCATGTTGGCCAAGCTGGTCTCGAACTCCTGACCTCAAGTTATCTGCCCGGCTCGTGATCCTCCCAAAGTCCTGAGATTATAGGTGTGAGCCACTGTGCCTGGCCATATGTAGCATATTTTCTTTATCCAATCAACTGTTAATGTACACTTAGATTGGTTCCATGAACTTTCTATTGTGGATAGTGCTGGAATAAACATAGGAGTGCAGGCCGGGCGCTGTGGCTCATGCCTGTAATCCTAGTACTTTGGGAGGCTGAGACAGGTGGATCATCTGAGGTCAAGAGTTTGAGACCAGTTGGGCCAACAAGGTGAAATACTGTCTCTACTAAAAATAGAAAAATTAGCTGGATGTGGTGGCATGCACCGGTAATCCTAGCTACTCTACTCGGGAGGCTGAGGCAGGAGAATCGCTTGAACCTGGGAGGCAGAGGTTGCAATGAGCCGAGATCGTGCCATTGCACTCCAGCCTGGGTGACAAGAGCAAAACTCCATCTCAAAAAAAAAAAGTAAATAAAAATAAACATAGGAGTGCAGGTGTTTCTTTTCCTTTGGGTAGGTACCCAGTAGCAGGATTGTTGGGTCGAAGGGGAGCTCTATGTTTAATCCCTTGAGATATCTACATACTGATTTTCGTAGAGGTAGAACCAATCTACCTTCCCATGAACAGTGTACAAGCATTCCCTTTTCTCTGCATCCATGCCAACATCTGTTGTTTTTTTGACATTTTATTAATAACACCCAAGAGGAAACAAAGAAATGGAATCACAGCTAGCAGAAGAATGAGATCAAAAGATGGACTTCTCTCTATTGTCTGGATTAAAAGTTTTAATTGACGGAGAAGTTGCAGTTTTATTGAAGCAGCTGCACAAATAGAAAGGCTTTTATTTTTTGTTCACTATTTGAAGAAAAATTTTTCACCATTTTTTGAGAAGCATTCTTAAGATTGTTGGCCTCACTATATTTTTATTTGCTAATATCCTTAAATCGACTTTCTGCTTCAGACAAGAATTGAAAGAAGTGGCTTATAGACCCTGAATCTGGAAAAATGTCAGTGGAGAAGTTTAACTGTCTTTCTTTTTAATTATTTCAATTTCTTTGTTAAATACACTTGAAAGCATTCTGAATTCCATCTTTGTGTTATCTTGAATTTCTTTGAGTTTCCTCAACACAGCTATTTTTCTCTGCCTGAAAGGTCACATCCCTCTGTTTCTCCAAGATTGGTCCCTGGTGACTTATTTAGTTCATCTGGTGAGGTCATGTTTTTCTGGATGGTGTTGATGCTAATAGATGTTCTTCAGTGTCTAGGAATTGGAGGATTAGGTATTTGTTGTAATCTTCACTGTCTGGGCTTATTTGTAGCCATTCTTCTTGGGAAGGCTTTCTGGATATTTGAAATAACTTGGGTGTGGTGACCTAAGCTGTATCTGCTTTAGAGGATACCCCAAGTCCAGTAACATGATGCTTCTTGCAGACTCTTAGAGGTACTGCATTGATGGTCTTGGACAAGATCCAGGAGAATTCTCTGAGTTATGAGGCAGAGACTCTTGTTCTTGTCCCTTAACTTCTACCAAACACACAGAGTCTCTCTGTGCTGGGCTGCCTGGAGCTGTGGAAAAGGTGACACAAACACCATTGTGGTCACCACCACTATGACTGTTCTGGGTCAGACCTGAAGCCAGCACAGTACTTGGTCTCCTCAAAGGCTTTCTGTAACCACTGCCTGGCTGCTGCCTATGTTTGCTCAAGAACCTGGGGCTCAATATCAGCAGGTGGCAAATATCCCCCAGGCCCTAGGTGGGTCCAGAAGTGCCATCCAGGAGTCAGGGACTGGAGTCAAGGACCTTAGAAGCCTACCTGGTGTTCTATTGTATTGTGGCTGAGCTGGCACTCAGACCACAAGGCATAGTCCTTCCCACTCTTCCTTGCTCTTTCCAAAGGCAGTGGTCACCCCATAGCCACTGCCACTCTAGGCCACAAGGAATACTGCCAGACTCCCTCTGATATTCTCTTAGGGCTCAACAGCTCCTAGGTCAGCTTGTAGTGAATGCTGCCTGGCCTGGGGCTCACCCTCCAGGGCAGTGGGCTCTCTTCTGGCCCAGGGCTGGTTCAGAATTGCTGTTCAAGAGTCAAGTCCGAGTCAATGACTCTAAGACCCCGATTGGTGCTCTACTCCCTGTGGTCATGCTGGTACCTAAGGTGCAAGACCAAGTCCCCCTTGCTTTTCCCTCTGCTTTACTCAAGCAGGAGCCTTGCCTCATAACAGCCACAGACAGGAATGTGCTGAGTCTCTTCTGAAGTCACAGGTCTCAGAGGCTCACCCAAGGCCCTCAACGTAGTACCTGGGTATCACTGCTGGTTATTTGGGGTCCAAGGTGATAAATAGCTATTCAGTTAGCAGGTGATGAATGCTTCCAGGAATGGGTCCTTTCCTTGAAGACAGCAAGTTTCCTTCTGGCTCAGGGTGTGTCTAGAAATGCCATCTGGGAGCTAGGGCCTGGAACGGGGGCCTCATGACTCCAACCAATGTCCTATCCTGCTGTGGCTGAGCTGATATCCTAGATGCAAGGCAAAGCTTTTCCCACTCTTCCCTCTCCTCTCTTTAAGTGAAAGAAAGGGGTCTGTTTTGGAGCTGTGAGCTGTGCAGCTTGGAGTTGGGGAGGAGATGCCAGTACTCCCTTGGCTGCCCAAGCTGGTGTTTTTGTATGTCATGTGCATCCCAAGTCCGCTATTTCTGGCCCTAGTTCAGCACTAGGGCTAGCCTAAGAGTTGCAGTCCTTACAGCCTAGACTGCTTTTCCAGGTTACTTGGAGACACAGAATGCTGTAGCTCTCAGTGGTGAGATTCGCAGACACTCAAGTTCACTCAAGTTCAAGATCACTGGGATCTGTGATTCCCCTCTGGCTAGCGCTAGTGTAAATGCTTCCTCCATGAGCAGGCATCAGCTGAATTTGGTCCAGTTTTACTTTCTGCTCTAACGGACAGCACTGAGTTCAGTGCTTCACGACTGCTCTGTTCTTCCTCTCCCAGCTCCCAGAGAAGATCTCTGTACCACTCTGCTGCTGCCAGGGAGTGCCGGGGGAGGTGGTGCCTGAGATTCAGGGCTGTTTTTTCTCTCTTCAGTGCCTCTTTCAGCAATATATAGTTAAAACCAGGGCCTACGAGTGCTCACCTGATTTTTGGTTCTTCTGAGGGTGTTTTTTTTTTTTTTCCTGGTTAGATTCTTGTTAACCTGGTATCTTTGCAGGGGTATGATCAGTGGAGCCTTCTATTCCACCATCTTGCTCCTCTGCCTTCGTAATTGGCTTTCAAACTAGCAAAATTATATTTACATTTCCACCTGTATCTTAGGTTTACTTATGCACACACCAATTGTGTGATGCTCCCTGGAGTGGAGAATAATAGGAGAGTCCTTACAGCAGAAATCGGGTAAGAAATACTGGCCCCCAGAAGGTACATCAGTGGCATTTCTTCAGTGGGTCCCAGAAAACAAACGACTCTTTCTGAAAACAACCATTAGATGTATTTAATCCTGTTTTGTTGGCATCCTGGAAGTGGACCATGGTAGAATTGATCAGAATACTGATATATTTTAAAGGAAGAGCAAACTATATTTCTTGGTGAATTGGTTGTGGGTTGTGATAAAAAGAGAATAAAGAATGACTACCAAGATTTTTGCCCAAGACTCTGGAGGAGCAAAGAATTCATAAACTGAGATCGGCAAAGCTGTGGATGGAACACATTAAAGGAGAAGACTATTAGGAGATCAGCTTCGGGAATCTTGAATTTGACTTGCCTGTTGTATGACCACGTGCAGACAGTTTACTATATGAGTTTAGAGTTTAGTAGATAGGTCTAAATTGGGGATGTAAATTGGGGCCTGTAACAGATAACATTTCAAACTTGAGAGGTTGAGATTATCAAGGGAGTAAGTGCAGCTTAAAAAGAGAAGGGGAACAGCATCGGTCAATCCAAGATAAAGAGGTCAAGAGAAAAGGAGGAAGCAGTAGAGGACACTGAGATGGAGCAAGAAACCAAGAGATTCCAGCGTGCTGGTGGCTAAGTGAAGAAAGTTTATCAAGGGGAAAGAATAATCAACTGGCAGGTTAAGTAAGATGAGGACTGATAACCGACCATTATGTTTAGCAATGCGCAGGCCATTAACGACTTTTATAGAAATCATTTCTATGAGGTGGAAGGAGAGAAGGCCATTTCAGACTGAGTTTAAAAAGAAATGAATGGCTGCATAAATATCTTCTTTTGAGAAGTGTCTGTTCATATCCTTCGCCACTTTTTGATGGGGTTGTTTGTTTTTTCTTGTAAATTTGTTTGAGTTCATTGTAGATTCTGGATATTAGCCCTTTGTCAGATGAGTAGATTGCAAAAATTTTCTCCCATTCTGTAGGTTGCCTGTGCATATGTACCCTAAAACTTAAAGTATAATAAAAAAAAGAAATGAATGAAGAAAATATAACAAAGTAAGAATAGGCAGTTTTTTCCTTTCGAGTAATCGATATGATTTTATCATCTATTACTATAAGAAAGCTTGCATATTCTTTAATGATTTTATCCTCTAAACCCTGCATAAAGAAGGTCAAGATTCTTTTTTTTTTTTCAAACATTTTACATTCAGGGGGTACATGTGCATGTTTGTTACATGGGTGTACTGCATAATGGCAGGGATTGGGCTTCTGGGGTACCCATCACCCAAATACTGAACATTGTGTTCAATAAGCAGTCTTTTGATCCTCACTCCCCCATCTCTTTGCACCTCTTGGAGTCCCCAGTGTCTATTATTTCCATTTTTATGTTCATGCGTACCCATCATTCACCTCTCACGTATAAGTGAGAACATACAGTATTTGATTTTCTGCTTCCGAGTTAGTTCACTTAGGATAATAGACTCCAGCTTCATCCATGTTGCTGCCAAGGACAAGATTTTATTCTTTTTATGGCTACATAGTGTTCTACAATGTATATGTAGCACATTTTCTTTATCCAGTCAACTGTTGATGGACACTTAGGTTGGTCCCATGAATTTGCTATTGTGAATAGTGCTGTAATAAACATAAGAGTCCAGGTGTCTTTTTTATATAATCATTTTTTTCCTTTAGGTAGGTGCTCAATAGTGGGATTGCTGAGTCAAAATGTAGCTTTATTTTTGATCCCTTGAAATATCTCCACACTGTTTTCCATCGAGGTAGAACAAATATACCTTCCCACGAACAGTGTACAAGCATTCCCTTTTCTCTGCATCCATGCCAACATCTGTTGTTTTTTGACTCTTGAATATTACCCAAAGGATAGGCACTTCTTTCAGGGAGATTTGTGGCAAGAGGAGGCAAAGAAATGAGGCCACAGCTAGCAGAAGAATGAGATCAAGAGATGGACATTTCTTTATTGTTGTGGCCTTAAACTTTTAATTGATGGTGGGGTTGCAGTTTTATTGAAGCAACTCCACAAATGGAAGGTTTTTCTTGTTGTTATTCACTATTTAAAGAAAATTCTTTCCAACATTTTCAGAAGTATTCTTGAGATTGTTGGCCTCACTCTATTTTTATTTGCTTGACAGCACTGGGATTGACTCTGCTGAAAGTTAATTCAAAGCCCTCGATGTGGTACCTGGGTGTCGCTGCTGGTCACCTTGACATCAACTTTCTGCTTCATACAATCATTGAAAAAAGTGGTTTATAGACCCTGAATCTGGAAACATGTCAATGGAGCAGTTTAATTGGCTTTCTTTTTATTTCAATCTCTTTGTTAAATACATCTGATAGAATTCTGAATTCCTCTTATGTTATCTTGAATTTCTTTGAGTTTCCTCAACACAGCTATTTTGAATTCTCTGTGTGAAGGGTCACATATCTGTGTTTCTCCAAGACTGGTCCCTGCTCCCTTATTTAGTTCATTTTGTGAGGTCATGTTTTCCTGGTTGGTGTTAATGCTAGCAGATGTTATTTGGTGTCTATGCATTGGAGGGTTAGGTGTTTATTGTAGTTTTCACTGGCTGTGCTTATTTGTAGCCATCCTTCCTGGGAAGGCTTTCCAGATATTTGAAAGGACTTGGGTGTGGTGACCTAAGCTGTATATACTTCACTGGATGCCCCAAGCCTAATAACATGATAATACTCAAGAAATAGGCACTTCTTTCTTTTTTGTTATTATTATACTTTAACTTCTGGGGTACATTTGCAGAACGTGCAGTTTTATTACATAGGTATACTCGTGCCATGGTGGTTTGCTGCACCCATCAAACCATCACCTACATTAGGTATTTCTCCTAATGCTATCCTTCCCATAGTCCCCCACTCCCCGACAGGCCGCAGTGTGTGATGTTCCCCTCCCTATGTCCATGTGTTTTGTTTGTTCAACTCCCACTTATGAGTGAGAACATGTGCTGTTTGGTTTTCTGTTATTGTGACAGTTTGCTGAGAATGATGGTTTCCAGCTTCATCCATGTCCCTGGAAAGGACATGAACTCATCCTTTTTTACGGCCACATAGTATTCCATGGTGTATAGGTCCCACATTTGCTTAATCCAGTCTATTATTGATGGACATTTGGGTTGGTTCCAAGTCTTTGCTATTGTGAATAGTGCCGCAATAAACGTACATGATAGGCACTTCTTTCAAGGAGATTTGTGTCCTTACAGACTGTTGGAGGTATGGCCTTGATGATCTTGGACAAGATCCAGGAGAGTTCTCTGGATTACCAGGCAGAGACTCTGTTCTCTTCCCTAAATTTCTCCCAAACATACAGAGCCTCTCCGTGCTGAGCTGCCTGGAGCTGAGGGAAACGTATCACAGACACCCCTGTGGCCACCACCACTATAAGTGTGCTGGGTCATACCTGATGGCAGCACAGCACTGAGTCTCCACCCACATCTGCTGTAACAACTGCCAGGCTGCTGCCTATGTTTGCTCAAGGCCCTGGGGCTCTAATATCAGCAAGTGGCAAAGCCAGCCAGGCCTGTGTTTTTCCCATAAGATCAGGGAGATCTCCCAGGCCCCAGGTGGGTCCAGAAGTGCCATCTGGGAGTCAGGGACTGGACTCAAAAACCTTAGAAGTCTACCTAGTGTTCTATTATATTGTGGCTGAGGTGGCACTCAAACTACATGACACAGTCCTTCCCACTCTTCTGTCCCCTTTCCAAAGGCAGAGAAGCCTGATTCTGTAGCTATTGCCTCCCCAGGCCATGAGGAGTACTGCCAGTCTACCACTGATGTTCCCTTAGGACCCAAAAGCCCTTAAGTCAGCTTGTAGTGGATGTTGCCTGGCCTGGAGCTTACCTTTCAGAGCAGGCATCAGCCGAGTTTGGTCCAGTTCTTCTTTCTAGTCTAGCAGGACAGCACTGAGTCCATTGCCTCACAATTGCTGTTCTTCCTCTGCCACCGCCCAGAGATGCCCTCTGTACCACGCTGTTGCTGCCAGGGAGTGTGTTTGGGGGGGCTGGTGGTGGTGGGCGGAGATGATGCCCCTGATTCAGGGCTGTTTTTGCTATATTTTCAGTGCTTCTTTCAGCGATATGAAGTTAAAACCAGGTACTATGAGTGCTCACCTGGTTTTGGTTCTTATGAAGGTGTTTTTTCCAGGCAGGTACTTGTTATCCTCTTGTCCTTTCATGGGGGATGATCAGTGGAGCCTTCTATTCCACCATCTTGCTCCTCTGCCTTCGTAATTGGCTTTCAAACTAACAAAATCATCTTTACATCTTCACCTGTGTCTTAGGTTTACTTATGCACACATTGATTGCATTATGTTCCCTGGAGTGTAGAACAATAGAAGGGTCCTTATGGCAGCCATCAGGAAAGAAATACTGGCTCCCAGAAAATACATCAGTGGCATTTCTTTTTCAATGGGTCCTGACAAACAAACATCTCTCTCTGAAAACAACCATTAGATGTATTTAATCCTGATTTTTTGGCATCATAGAAGTGGATCTGGTAGAATTGGTCAGAATATTGATATGTTTTAAAAAAAAGTGCAAACTGTATTTCCTGGTGGATTGGATGTGGGATGTGATAAAAGGGGAAGAATTGAGAGTAACTACCAGGATTTGGCCCAAGGCACTGCACTGTTGAAGAAGCCATCAACTGAGATTGGCAAAGCTGTGGATGGAGCACGTTTAAGGGGGAAGGATATCAGAAGCTCAGCTTTGGGAATCTTGAACTTGAGATGCTTTTTTATGTCCAAGTGCAGAGAGTTGAATATATGGGTTTAGAGTTTAGTAGAGAGGTTTGGATTGGGGATACAAATTGGAGGGTTGTAACAAATAGATAACATTTCAAATTTGAGAGATTGCCATCACCAAGGGCGTAAGTACAGCTAAAAAAAGGAAGAGAAACAGCATTGGGTCGATCCAAGATAAAGAAGTCAGGAGAAAAAGAGGAAGCAGTAAGGGACACTGAGATGGAGCAAACAGTGAGATGAGAAGAAACCAAGATAGTTCAGTGTCCTGGTAGCTAAGTGAAGAAAGTTTATCAAGGAGGAAGGAATAATCACCTGGCAGGTTAAGTAAGATGAGGCCTGACCGCTGACCACTGTGTTTAGCAATATGCAGGCCATTAATGCCTTTAACAGAATCATTTCTATGAGGTGGAAGGATAGAAGGCCATTCAGACTGAGTTTGAGGGGAGATGAATAAAGATATTAGAAGAAAGTAAGACTATGTTGTTCTTTTTTCCTTTTGAGTAATCAATATATATATGTTTTCATCTATTATTATATGAAAGCTTGTATAGTTATACTTTATTTTATCCTTTGAACCCTCCATAAAGAGGGTTAAATTTTTTTTTTTAATTTTAGATTTGGGGACACATGTGCGTGTTTTTTTCCTGAGTGTATTGCATAATGGTAAGGCTTGGGCTTCTGGTGTACCCATCACTCAAATACTGAACATTGTGTTCAATAGGTAATCTTTCAACCCTCACTTCCTCCTCTCTCTGCCCCATTTTCAAGCCCCCAGGGTCTGTTATTTCTATTTTTATGTCCATATGAACCCATCGTTTACCTCCCACTTGTAAGTGAGAACATGCAGTATTTGATTTTCTGCTTCTGAGTTAGTTCACATAGGATAATAGTCTCCAGCTCCAACCATGTCACTGCAAAGGACAGAATTTCATTCTTTTTATGGCTACTTAGTATTCCCTGGTGTATATGTAGCACATTTTCTTTATTCAATCAACTGTTGATGGACACTTACTTTGATTCTGTGACTTTCCTATTGTGAATAGTGCTGCAATAAACATAAGAGTTAAGGTGTCTTTTCATATAATTATTTCTTTTTTGGGATGTATATACCCAGTATTGGGATTACTGGGTGGAATGGTAGGTCTTTTTTTAATTCGTAGAGATATTGCCATACTGTTTTCCATAGAGGTAGAACCAGTTACGTTCCCACCAACAGTGTATTAGCATTCCCTTTTCTTTGCATCCATGCCAACATCTGTTGTTTTTTGATATTTTATTAGTAGTAATGCTTAAGGAATAGGCACTTCTTTCAAGGAGATTTGCGGCAAGAGGAAGCGAAGAAATGGAGTCACAGCTAACAGAAGAATAAGACGAAAAGATGGACTTACCTTTATTGCCATATTTACAGTTTTAATTGATGGTGAGTTTGCAGTTTTGTCAAAGCAACTACACAAATGGAAGGGCTTTTTTGGTTCACTATTTAAAGAAAATTCTTTTACAGTATTTTCAGAAGCTTTCTTAATATTGTTGGCCTCAGTAGGTCCTGGCAGTCAAACTACTCCCTTTAAAAAAAACCATTAGATGCATTTGATCCTGTTTGGTTGGCACTGTGGAAGTAGAGCTGGTAGAATTGGTCAGAATATTAATAAGTTTTAAAGGAAGAGCAAACTGTATATCTTGGATTGAAGATTTAATGTGATTGGAAGAGAAGAAGAAAAAATGACTACCAAGATTCTCTTGTTATAGTTTTATTAACTGTCCGTCCATTTTTATTTTGTTATTTGAAATTATTAATGGATTTTTTCCCAGAAAAGGAAGATTTTATAGGGTCAACCCAGCTTATAGCATTTTGCTATTGCAATAATAAATGTGTATGTATATTTTCAGTGGCCGATAGAACAATGGATTTGAACTATAGCTTGGACTTACCAGATATTTGAACATTCTACCCAACAGCTGCAGAATATACATTCTATTTGTCAGCAGATGAAACATTCTCCAAGATAGACCATATGATAGGCCACAAAACAAGTCTCAATAAATTTAAGAAAATTGAAATTCTATCAAGTACTCTTTCAGAACACAGTGGAATAAAATTGAAAATCAACTCCAAAAGGAGCCCTCAAAACCATGCAAATACATGGAAATTAAATACCCTGCTCCTGAATGACTGTTGGGACAAGAATGAAATCAAGATGGAAATTAAAAAATTCTTTGAATGGAATGATAATAGTGACACAACATATCAAAAACATATAGAAACCTCTGGGATACAGCAAAGGCAGTGCTAAGAGGAAAGTTCATAGCCTTAAATGTCTGCATCAAAGAGTCTGAAGGAGCACAAATAGACAATCTAAGGTCACATCTCAAGGAACTAGAGAAACAAGAACAAACCAAAGCCAAACCCAGCAGAAGAAAAGAAATAACCAAGATCAGAGCAGAACTAAATGAAATTGAAACAAACAAAAAAAAATACAAAAGGTAAATGAGACCAAAAGCTGATTCTTCGAAAAGATAAATAAAATTAATGGACCATTAGTGATATTAACCAAAAAAGAAGAGAGAAGACCCAAATAAGCTCAATTAGAAATAAGATGGGAGATATTTTGACCAGTATGACAGAAATACAAAAAGATCACTCAAGGCTGCCATGAACACCTTTCTGTGCGTAAACTAGAAAACCTAGAGGAGATGGACAAATTCCTGGAAATATACAACCTTCCTAGATTAAACCAGGAAGAATTAGAAACTCTGAAAAGACCAATAACAAGCAGCAAGATTGAAATCCTAATTTTAAAATTGCCAACAAAAAAGTCCAGGACCAGACGGATTCACAGCTGAATTCTATCAGACATTCAAAGAAGAATTGGTACAAATTGTATTGATAAGATAGGAGGAAATCCTCCCTAAATCATTCTGTGAAGCCAGTATCACCCTAATACCAAAACCAAGAAAGGACACAACAAAAAAAGAAAAGTACAGACCAATATCACTGATGAATATACATGCAAAAATTCTTAACAAAATACTAGCTAACCAAATCCAACAGCTTATCAGAAAGGTAATCCACCACAATCAGGTGAAACCCACTGCATCCCTGCATGCCAAAAAACGCAATCATGGTTTAACATACACAAATCAATAAATGTGATATGCCACATAAACAGAATTAGATGCCACATAAACAGATATGCCACATAAACAAAAATCAGATTATCATCTCAATAGATGCAGAAAAAGCATTTGACAAAATCCGGCACCCCTTTATGATTACAACCCTCAGCATAATAGTCATAGAAGAGACATACCTTAAAGTAATAAAAGCCATCTATGACAAACCCACAGCCAATATAATACTGAACGGGAAAAAGTTGAAAGCATTCCCTCTGAGAACTGGAACAAGACAATGGTGCCCACTCTCACCACTTCTATTCAACATAGAACTGGAAGCCCTAGCCAGAACAATCAGACAAGAGAAAGAAATAAAGGGCATCCAAATCAGTAAAGACGAAGTCAAACTGTCGCTGTTTGCTGATGCTAAGATTGTATACCTAGAAAACTTTAAAGACTCCTCCAAAAAGCTCCTAGAACTGAAAAATAAATTCAGCAAAATTTCAGGAGACAAAATTAATGTTCACAAACTAGTAGTTCTGCTATACACCAACAGCAACTAACTGAGAAACAAATCAAGAACTCAACCCCTTTTACAATAGCCACAAAAATAAAATAAATAAAATACTTAGGAATATACCTCACCAAGGAGGTGACAGACCTCTGCAAGGAAAACTACAAAACACTGCTGAAAGAGATTGTTGATGACACAAACAAATGGAAACACATCCCATGCTCTAGCATCCCATGTGAAAATTTCAACATTATGAAAATGACCATACTGCCAAAAGCAATCTACAAATTCAATGCAATTCCCATCAAAATACCACCATCATTCTTCACAGAACTAGGAAAAACAATCCTAAAATTCATATGGAACCAAAAAAGAGTATACATACCAAAGCAAGACTCAGCAAAAAGAGCAAATCTGGAGGCATCGCATTGCCTGACTTCAAGCTATACTGTTAATATAAGGTCATAGTCACCAAAACAATATGGTACTGGTACAAAGATAGGCACATAGACCAATAGAACAGAATAGAAACCCCAGAAATAAAGTCAAATAGTTACTGCCAGCTGATCTTTGACAAAGTAAACAAAAATATAAAGTGGGGAAAGGACACCCTATTCAACAAATGGTGCTGGGATAATTGGCAAGCCACATGTAGAAGAATGAAACTGGATCCTCATCTCCCAACTCATAGAAAAATCAGCTCAAGGTGGATGAAGGACTTAAATCTAAGACCTGAAACTATAAAAATTCTAGAAGATAACATCAGAAAAACCTTTCTGGACATTGGCTTAGGCAAAGGCCTCATGACCAATAACTCTAAAATAAATGCAACAAAAGCAAAAAGATAAATAGATGGGACTTAATTAAACTAAAAAGCTTCTGCACAGCAGAAGAAACAATCAGGAGAGTAAACACACAACTCACAGAGTGGCAGAAAATCTTTGCAACCTTTACATCCAACAAAGAACTAATATCCAGAATCTACAAGGAACTCAAACAAATGATCATGAATAAACCAAACAGTCCTATCAAAAAGTGGGCCAAGGACCTGAACAGAAAATTCTCAAAAGAAGATAAACAAATGGCCAACAAACACATGAAAAAATGCTCAACATCACTAACGACCAGAGAAATGCAAATCAAAACCACAATGCAATACCACCTTACTCCCGCAAGAATGGCCAAAATAAAAAAATAAATAAATAAATAGTAGATGTTGGTGGGGATGCGTTGAAAAGGGAACACTTTTACACTGCTGGTGGGAATGTAAACTAGTACAAACACTATGGAAAACAGTGTGGAGAGTCCTTCAGGAAACTAAAAGTAGAACTACCATTTGATCCAGCAATCCCACTACTGGGTATCTACCCCGAGGAAAATAAGTCATTATTTTAAAAAGATACTTGCACACAACGTTTATGGCAGCACAATTTGCAATTGGAAAATATATAAAACCAGCTCAAATGCCCATCAATCAACGAGTGGATAAAGAAATTGTGGTGTATATGTATACCATGGAATACTACTCAGCCATAAAAAGGAACAAACTATTGGCATTCGCAGCAACCCGGATAAAATTGGAGACCATTATTCTAAGTGAAGTAACTCAGGAATGGAAAACCAAACATTGTATGTTATCATTCATAAGTGGGAGCTAAGCTATGAGGATGCAAAGGCATAAGAATGATACGATGGTTTTTTTTGTATGTCAAAGATATAATTGATATTTGGATAGTGAATTACAAGATTTTCATCAGAACAAAGGTCAGCTCAGCTGGTAAACACTGTCACACTCATAATGACAGCCTGCCCACACTCTGCATCTGTTCCCCAGAATGTTCCCTCACTTGTTCTACTGACTGAACTTTTCCACCCAGCTGAAAATCCATTTTTGTTTCATTTTCTCTTCTAGCCATAAAACTATTAATAGATTCAAATGAAATGCATAGTCCAGACATACCTTGCCACTCAATCAACTGATAATTCCTGAGAAATACTCTCTGGTTTGAATTGCAGGAAGAAGTTACAGGAAGAGATATTTATTTCTTAGAAATGGAGTTATCGAGCATCTGCTGTGAGCCAGACACTTAGTAGTAAACACAAAGCTGCTGTCAGTGAACTGGCAGACAATGAGAAGTGGCCATGCTATGGCTATTCTGTGAGAGTAGAGGCATGGGGTTGTCCTGTCAGTCATGTGAAGAGTGTGATGGAAAGACAAAGGCCAGGAATCACACTGATGTTTCTGTATAAAAGAAAGGAAGGGAGGGAGGGAAGGAGAAAGGGAATAAATGCG